>NC_000015.10:32367783-32670813 GCF_000001405.40 Homo sapiens | reverse complement strand
AATTCAAAACTAAATAAAGTCATGCTTTGCCTAACAAAGTTACAAATCCAGGCAGCATAATCCCTTCTCTCAAGGAGCTTGCTCTCCAATAATAGGGGACAAAATATGTCCACATAAACACACATCTGATGTTTGTGCCTGGTGGAAGAGATCATGAGCACTAGCGGAGAAGAGAAATTTGTCTCCCATAATGGGAAAATGAACACACAATAGTTTATACTTAGAGATGGATATTATCACCTCAGCTCTCCTCCCTAGTAACAGAATTTAGTTTAAGCTGTTTAGAATGGTGAGGGTTTATGTTGCAATATCCACATTCTCTAAACTCACATGACAAGTGACCCCCAAAGCACACAGCATTTGGTAATTGAGAAAAACAAAGGAATGATTCTATCTGTGCTGAATTGGCTAATTCATTGACTTGCCTCAGGGCAGAGGGCTGGCCCTGGCAGTTTGCTAGAGTGATCCTTCTGCTCTGAATTCGAGCCTGGTCCCTCACAGGGACTGCCCCACATAGCCGGCAAGGGCAGACACCCTGGCTGGCACTATCCTGTCCTTGTAGGAGAGATCTAAATTGGGTTGAGCCTGTTGGCAGATAAGCAAAATGAAACCCATTCGGATATTTTGTCTTGAAAGGCATTTGTTTTCATTCCTTCTCTTTCTTCTTCTGCTTTTCCCCCTCATACTAGGATCTAAAAAACTCAGGCTCCTTGGGGACCAAAGCCAACATTATCATCATCTACTCAGAGGCACGCAAACAGTGAAGGCAGAGACGCAAATTCTGAGTGCACTGCATTTGTAGCTTTCACATCTACATGTGGTCCCAATTTAGGATCACAAGCAGAGTTGTTTATTTTAGAAAAGCTTTTTAGTTAACTTTTAAGGTATTTTGCTTAAGCATTGCTTGCTTTCCAAAAGGAGAAAACGTGTATTTTTTTTTTTTTCTGAAGCGGTGTTTGTTTTGGCTGTTTACTCATTTGCAAAAGTTCAAATTTTATCCTATGAATTTAACTAATTTTTCTGTAGTCACCACAAACCCCACCCCCTCTAACACATACACACAAAACCCCAAAATAAAATAATCTGGAAGTGAAGCATTTTTAGGAGAGGTGTGAATTTAGCAGGTTTTGAAAAAGCCGTTTCAAATAGGTAATTTGCAATAGCACTTTTAGCTCCTTCATGTAACTTTTATTTGCCGTCTGAAATGAAGTCTCAACTTGGCAATTTGTATGAAGGCTAAGCATGTCTTTATACTAAGGTTAAGGCTCATGTTTGTCCTTTAAAAACTTTATTTTATAATTCTTGCTGAAATTATATGGCTTAGCTGAGGGTCAGAGTGGAGCTTAAGTTGAGGTATCAGTTATTATTGAAAAAATAACGGGATATAGAACTGTGGTGGTGGTGGTTGGGATTCGGTGAGGATATGGACACAAAACTGTGAAAAAGTAAAAATATGGACTTGGGCTCTCTAGCATCTGGTTCCATATACAGGCCTACCGCCTCCAATTATCTAAAGCTCCCACTTCATCTTCCTTTCTGAAACTACACTTACTTATGACATCATTTGTCCAGAACCTGAGCCCCACCTCTCTGTTCTCAATGACATAGCAGGTCCTATGTATCATTCCTTTGGGTAAGCTTCTCTACTAACATGATAATGAGTGCTAATTAACATGTAGTACTCTGCTCCTGTAGGATTTGCAACTTAGAGGATTTCTGGGATAATTCTCTTAAAGTAGTGACTTCACCAACAGGAATTCCAGGCCCCCTGGTGTGCCAGCTCAAGGGATAAGCAGAGTATGTCGGGTTCCCAGGTAAGGAAAAGGGGCAATGGCAATGACAATCCTGCAGGCAGAAATAAAGACATTAGGGGCCAAACCAGAGCCAGGTAAATGCATAGGAAGTTTATAATTAGTGACCCAGCATCCAAGGAGATAGCTTCCTACACTTAAGAAACGAGTAAAGGAGATCTGCAGGAGCTTAGGGAAGAGAGAAGCAATGAATGGCTGAGCCAACAGATGACATTAACACCAAGACACCACCGTGAGAGTGGAGGTGACCCTCCGCCCCAGACCCAAAGCTCTCTGATGGTTTCTGTTGAGGGTCACCTTCCAGTCAGCCTGGGCTTCACAGAGGAAGCAGGTCACTGGGGACTATGGTTGAGGAGGTGTGGATAAGGGTTAGCAGGAACTGTGTTGGACCCATTCTGGATGGGATGAGGTGGGAGTGGCAGGGCCTGGCAGCGCTGTGCCCATTCAGAGCCCCTTCCACCAGCTGACCTGGTTCCGCACTGGCCAGGGGAGTGGTCCTAGCACAGATTTTGGGTACACGGCTTGGGAATGTAATTATTCCATCATGTCACTTCCACCCATATGTCTGTAGACTAAAACGAGGAGACTCCATCTGAGTCTGACAAGGCCTTTTGGGCCACGACAAGGAACGTGATTCTCACTTGGCCTTACAAATTCGTACCTGAATTAATTACCATTCCTCTACTTCTTTTTCACTATCCTAAGCTGCTGTAAATCCATAAGTGTTCTTTATAAATGGCTAGAATAAACATTTGTTTTAGACAGTAATCTCATAGAAAATTCTTTTCTGTTTCTGAGTTCCCAGCAGCTACTACTATTTTTTGGCAGCTGGTGGTGGGGTGAGGGTTAATTCTAGCCTCGAGAGGAGAAGGCACGTGGTGTGTACGTTGGGGAGGGGCCCAGACTAAATCCTCTACAACCCTTTGGTAATGCTTTCCTGGCCTGTGGTTTCCCATCTCATACAAATATTCCCAATTTCTCTCTTTTATATCCATGTAACCTCTGCCTGGCAATAGGTATTAAGAATAAAGTGGGTCCGGTGGCTCATGCCTATAATCCCAGAAGTTTGGGAGGCCGAAGCGGGTGGATCACTTGAGGTCAGGAGTTTGAGACCAGCCTGGCCAACATGGTGAAACCCCATCTGTAATAAAAATACAAAAAAGTTATCCAGGCATGCTGGTGTGTGCCTGTAGTCCCAGTTACTCGAAAGGCTGAGGCAGGAGAATCACTTGCACCCAGGAGGCGGAGGCTGCAGTGAGCCGAGACTGTGCCACTGCACTCCAGCCTGGGCGACACAGTGAGACTCTGTCTCAAAAAAAAAAAAAGAATAAAACTACAACAAACCAAACAAAACAGTATTCACTAGTTATTATCAACTTTGTGCCAGACCTGGAGCCAGAACTCAATGTTATGTTAAAAGAGATAGACTCAAAGGCGGCCACAAAGCTGTGTGGACAGTGATGAGCAATTCGTGCCTTAAAGTCCAAAGGAGGTGCCTCCGGCAATACGCTCAGACAGCTGCAGCACTACACACAGACACTGGAAATACACCTCACAGAATTCTTCTGATTCTTAAAAATGGCAAGTCTCTTACCCACACATGGTAAAACGGGTGAAGAAAGCACACATAACTCAAATTCATAAAAACACCAAACTTATCTTTAAAAATGGGCTTCAACCTTCCCATCCACCCACTTCCAACCAAATTTTTAACTAGAACTATTGATGAAAAATAATGTTGGCCTGAGTCAGTTCTAGTCCCCTTTATATATTATTTTAAAATAGTATATAGCAGTGCTGTTCTATAGAAATAGAATATGAACTACATTTGTAATTTTAAATTGTCTAGTCTTCTCACTTCAAAAAGTAAAAAGAAATAGTGAAATTAAATAATTTTTAATCCCAATATATCCAAATTATCATTTCAACATGTAATTGATATAAAGAATTGCCAAAGAGACTTTTTATATTCTTTTTTGCATACTGTCTTCCAAATAGGGTGTGTAGTTTATACTTAGAGTACATCACAACTCCAGCCAGCCATATTTCAGGTGTTCAGTAGCCTCTTGGGCGTGGTGAATACCAAATCGGTCAGAGCAGGTGTATAGAGGAGGCTAGACATGGCGATCAAAAGTGCAGCCTGCAATCCAGATGCTTGAGTTTGAATATTGGCCTCATCACCTTAGCTGTATGACCTCATCTGTAAAACAAGAATACTTAAGTAATACCATCCTTAAGCCGTTGGTATGAGGATAAAATAAAATAGTCCTTGTAAGGCTTTTTGCAAGAATTCTGGCAAATATTGTGCTTAATAAATGTTAGCTAGGGTGGTCACTTTATAATGCATGAGCTCTATACTTAAAAACATATGTGGTCCTGAACAAGTTATCTTACCTCTTTGAATATTAGTTTCCTTCTCTGTAAAACAGGGGTGATAATAATACTTCATTGAGAAGATTAACTGGTACAAACATAGCACTTAATAAATGTTCGTTTCTTTCTCCTTGACTTTAGGTGCCAATGAACAGAGAAATAGCCAAAGGGCTCGCTGAGTGGGAGCAGAGGTAAATGGGCCTGGATAATTGGAAAACTGGATAGTCACGAGGTTAACTATGCCACAGGCAAGAATCCAGATGGTTCCAACCTACCTCAGCCAGTGTGAGAATGCCCAGTAGATGTGTTTCTTTTGTAGTTCCTTTACTAGAAGCTTTATAAGAGCAGGCATGTTCACTGTTTCACAGGCTAATAGAAATAAAGTATGTATGTGCATCTTATGTAACATATCCCTACGTATGTATGCTGAATTCAGTAGGCAGCCATGTTCAGTATTTTAGAGCTGTAGCCATCACTCAACTCCCTTGTGTTGATAAGAAGAAACATTCGGGGAAAAGAAGACCTATTTGTTTATTGTAAGATTCAAAATCTCTAAGGGTAATGGCCTTTATTTCTTTCCTACTCAGAAGTTTGTTTTTCCCTATTTAATAGCTCATACAGGATTTTGAAAAAGGAAAACTTAAAAATTTTAATTAGAACCATATCCTAAATATCCTTCTGCTCTTCTGCATGTTTGTTTATTTTTTCTTAGGATTGATTTGTTCAGAGTTTTGAAATTACCAGGGAAGAGCTTTTGAGGATGTTTGAGATCCATGATTCAAAACAGGGAGGGACACATGAGTGGCAGGTGACATCAGAAGCCACCAGCCATTCCTCAAATTGCCAGCTCTGGAGCCCTCCATCCTGCACTAGAAGGAGATACTGCAAACCCTGCCAAGGTGTTCATGCTTCTCGTGCTTTAACATTTCAAAAAGCTCAATTCCCAAAGACAGTGAAACTGCCACGAAAAACAAAATGAACTCTGGATGACAAGGAGGCCCAGTCATTTCTCCTATCAATGGAAAGGGCAATTTTGATCAGAGACAAATAGTACTTGATTTTACCTATAGGGACTTATGACTTATTCACAGCTCTGACTCCTCTTCTCCACAGGAATTCAATAATGTAAACCTAATAATAAAAAATGACATAAAATGAATGTAATGAGAACACCCTAAAACTAGTTTCCCTCCTGGCCTATCTCCATGTTGCATCTTTCAGAAAGTGTCAGAAACGAGACTTAAACAAACAAATAAAAAAAAAAACCCCAAACCAGAACCTAATGCTGATGTGATCGTTTAAATAAACTAAACACAACTGGATAAGGAAGCTGTTTTACAAAAATAAAAATAGAAAAAAATTTCTTGACAAGAGGCATGGATTATTCAGGATCCCTGTGTTATTCTAATTGTTTCAGTGCTATTAGGTGCATTTTAGGGGAATGTGGCCCTGATGGATAAATGCACCTTTAATTCATTTCTAAGGCAGTGATGTGAGATATAAGACTTTTTTGGGTAGGCACAACCCCAAAAATGTCATGTAAATCTTGAAAAGTTTTTCATCCAAAAACCCCAAAGGGTTTACTCATCTCAACATCTGCATTTGATAGGCAGAGGGAGAAGAATGACTACAAGAGGAAGATTATCTGAGATTAAAACTGGAGACCTCCTAGAGGCTGGGCTCCCATAGGCACCCTGGCCCAGACCACAGCAGGGAGGGAATTCCTCCATTCTGCCTTTGTGCCTCATCTCCTGAGTTAGAGATGGTAGCTTAGTTTCCTTTCTTGGTTCCCTTCTGTATTCCTTACAGATAAAGAGATGTTCAATACACATGTGTTGGCAGAATGGCCTCCATTTTATAAGAGTGGAGGTGACTTAGCAGGACACATGCTATTTATACAAACAGAAGAACCTAGCAGCACAAACATGAGTAGGGATCTCTTTATTACTGCTCCTGGAGGTGGATTTATAGTGAAGTGAATGAGGGCCCCTCATGGGCGCAGACTGCTTCCAAGGCCTGGAACCTAACTTTTCATTTGCAATTGTGTGTTATTTTTCTTGAAAAAAGTTTTCAAATTGCATGAGTTTCAGGCCTCACAAAACTTGAATCTGCTGTGGATTGCTCTTAAAAGCGGTATACAAACGCCATCTTGGATTTTTCACCTGTCATTATTTTAACTCCTAGTCATCCAAAGCAAATATAAATCAATTAGTTTTGTAGCCATGGACAAACGAGGCCTGGGTTTCCTCATTTCTGAAAATGAAAGGTGATTGAATATGATTCCTCAGATCCCAAAAGAGAGCAATGTAGGGAAGGAGGGCACAGTGAGAAACAGAAGGAGGCAAAGGCTAGGACACCCTGGTGCTGGCTACACTACTAATAGCTGGCGTATGACCTTCAGTGAAGAACTTTACCTCTCAGGGCCTCATTTTCTCTACTATGAAATGAGGCAGGCAGACAAGACATTCTCTAAGGTCCCATCTTGTCCCATGATTCCAGTGCCCTGACTTGTGCAGTGTGTCACCTCTCATGGCCACTCTCACTGGGTGCTCACAGTAGCCCTGAGACTAGTCAGTGGAACACTCTGGTGAGCTTCAGAATTCAAATTCAGTGCTCTTCTTACTATACCACATGGGAGATATTTTCCAGCTAAACCGTAAACAAGGCTAATATCATTGGTTTGATGGCCTTCAAATATGCACTGTTGTCATGCCGAGTCAAAGATGATAGTCTGACATAAACCAGCGTTGCAGTGTAGATGTGGCGAATGACAAGGGAGTGGCTCCTTTCCCACAAGAGGCACTGGACTTGAAGCTGCAGCTGGTACAGCCCATCTGCAGGGAAATGCCATTTTCTTCTCATGCCTCTGTTCAAAACTTGAGTCCCACTGCTTACAGCTAGACAATCATTAGAATCACTGGTGGCACTGAAAAAAATCCCAAGCAGCTCAGACTCCCTGGAACTACCATATTTGAATTCCTGGAGAGATTAGGGGCCAGGAATCTTTCATTTTAAGCTTCCCAGGTAATTCTGATGATCCACCAGGTAGGAAAAGTATTGTTCTACGTAGTTTTCTCTGTCCTAGCCAGCCTGGAAATGCTGTTTCTTTTAAAACAGTAAGTCTATCTGGATACCCTGATGCCTCCTGCCACAAAGTCAAGCTGGTATAGCATTGGCTAGGACAAGCAGTGACAGCCACAAAAGACCACCTATTCTGATTCCATTTATATGAAATGTCCAGAAGAGGCAAATTCACAGACATAGAAAGTAGAGTAGTGGTTTCCAGGGTCTGGGGAAAGGAGACTGAGGGAAGGAGTAAGGAGGCAGAGATGGGGGGAATGGCTAAGGGGAATGGAGTTTCTTTTGGGGCAATAAAAAATCTAAAATTGATACTACTATGTGAATATACCAAAAACCATTACATTGTATACTTTAAATTGTTGAATTGTATAGTATGTGAATTATATCTCAATAAAGCTGCCATTCATATATTATATATGTTATATATGTATATATGTATACATATGTGTATATATAACATATTATATATTATATATATATATATATATATATATATATATATATATATATATATATTCTTTTTTTTTAACAGCCCTAATCTTCTCTTCCCCGCTCTACACACAAACACACGTGCACCAACTCATGATCATTGACAGGTTAATTACAGAGGCCCAACTAATGTCCCACATGTATGAATGGCACTCCAATCACCTCGCTTGTGACCACCTTATTAATACTCTCCCCAGCTCTCCGCTCTCCTGCACCAGAGACATCAAATCGTCCCGGGCAGATGGCACCACCTGGTGGCCATTACAGGAAATCCTGACCGCACACCTCTGCACTACCTCCTCTCTCGCCATTCTTCCCTCTTCTTCCAACTTCAGGGCTCAGTTAATTCTATAGTTGAGGTGATCTCCAATTTATACAAAAGCACTCCCCTTCATCTCTCCTCCAACTTGCCTCAAGTCTTCCTCTACTGCTGCTAAATAGCTTAAAGAACTGTAGTTTTAAGTCTACATGTGAAAATGGAAAGAAACAAATCTTAAAGTGGATAGACAAAAATTAGATCTAATAAAGAAGCAATGCATCGTATTAACAAATATTTCAGAGACTAAGAAAAGCAAAAAGCTATATAATAGGAAGAGATGTTCTGTTTCATTGGTCATCAAATAAACACAAATAAAACAATGAAATGCCATTTTTGCCTATCAAATTAAAATACTTTAAAAAGTTAATACTTATAGTTAACAAGTGAGACAAGACACCCACAAACAAGTGAGAGAGAAAGCACAGCCATATAAGTCCAACACTTACAGAAAGCAACCTGACAGTATGTAGGAAATGCAGCCTAAACAATAGGTACAGAGCTTGACCCAATTATTCTTCTTTTCATAGAAATATATACCCCAGAGAATTTATCAAGACTGTACACAAACGTTTATGCACAAATATGTTCATTGAAGCTGTGTTTATGATGGGATAAACTGGAAAAACTCTAAATGGCCATTTGCAAAAATGCTTGAGTAAATTGAGGCATAAACATATAATAGGATATAATGCAGCTACTAAAAATAATTACACTGATTTTAATATAGGGATAGGTTCTTGATATAATATTAAGTATAAAAAGAGATAAAAGATTTACTGTATGATTTTAAAAACTACCTATGTGTGCACAGAAAACAGACTGGAAGAAAACATAGCCAAATGCTGAAAGTGGGTATCTCTAGGTGGTACGATTCTAAACAATCTTTATTTTATTTTCGAAATGATCCACGACAGCTTTTATTATCTTCATAAGAAAAAATACTGAAACATAAGTTATCCATATAGCATCCTTAAAGTTACCCCCAAATTTCCCTCCGAGTGTGTGATGGCAGAAAAAACAAAGCCTCTAGAGCCATGGGTCTCCACAGCGGGTCTGATTTTGACCCTCAGAGGACATTTGACAATGTCTGGAGATGTTTTCTTTCTTCTCTTTTTTTTTGTTGAGACAGAGTTTCGCTCGTTGCCCAGGCTGGAGTGTAATGGTGCAATCTCGGCTCACCGCAACCTCTGCCTCCCGGGTTCAAGTGATTCTCCTGCCTCAGCCTCCCTAGTAGCTGGGATTACAGGCATGCACCACCACAACCGGCTTATTTTGTATTTTTAGTAGAGACAGGGTTTCTCCCTGTTGGTCAGGCTGGTCTCTGAACTCCCAACCTCAGGTGATCCGCCCGCCTCGGCCTCCCAAAGTGCTGGGATTACAGGCATGAGCCACCGCACCTGGCCTGGAGACATTTTCTGTTGTCACAAATGGGGGAAATGCCACTGGCATCTAGTGGGTAGAGGCCAGGGATGCAGCCTCCACCACAGAGAATTATCTGACCCACATCTAAATGGTACCGAGGGTGTAAACCCTGCTCTGACTTGAATCCAGGTTCTATGCCCCTTCTGTTCCATCTTGGCATGTTGCTCACCTGCTCTAAACCTCAACTTTCCCTTGTAAAATAGAATCATCTGCATATGATTTCTGAGGGCAAAATACAATACATAAAGTGTTTGGCACATAGTAGATACAAAATAAATATTTGCTTCCTTCTCCTCCAACACTATTACTCAATTTTGTATTTCCTTTTGTGAGTTATAGCAAACTTTTGCAGTTATAGAAAGAATATATTCTACCCTTTAAATTATATCTCAATTATCCATTCCAAATATAATAGTGGAGTCAGTCAGGTAAGCTTTGCTGTGCTCTTCCCAGATACTAGAGCTTTAATATCAGATTGATACCATGAAAAAATTAAATTACTGGCTGTACAATATTGATTACCAAAAACTCATGAAGGCAAATGTCTTAAGTACTAGGGGTAATCGAGGTGAAAAGCTGATCTCCTTTTGGGGTCTGCCCTGCAGTCAGAAGGGCTGACTCTGGAGAGCACCTGAGAGGGGTGCAGGGCACCAAAGGACAGGAGCAGGGGTATCATGCGTGCATCTCTCATTACTCACCAAAGCTACATGTGAATGACCTAGGCTCATGTAGTCATCTGGGTTAGTTGGATCCTTTTCCTTGGCTGAATGAGCTCTATTAATAGATCTAAGGTAGGCTCACTCTTACTGCTTCTCCATCAGAATAGTGCTGGATACCTGATACCTTTGGGTAGACTGGAGAGAGGCTGATGGTCATTCACACAGTCTCCTTGATGTCCAAACCGAATGAGGGAGGTGATCTGACCTGCCTGGAGCATGGACACATTGAGGCAGTGTCAGAAGATGGCCTGGGTGGGTAGGCAGGCTGCAGGAGGAAGCTCTGTAGGTACTGATAACTCTCTCGTCAGAGTCACGGATCTGGCAAGCTGAGAGCAAGCTGACCACTCCCTGCCTGCAGGTACATCTCGCCTGTCCACAGCCCAGACCCCTAGGCACCAAAACTCTGACTGTAAAAAAAGCCAGAGGTCCTTACCAGGCTCCAGTGTGCTCTATACAGACCTAGTTAAATGATAGACGACTGCCAAAAATTCTATTCACTGACCACACAGGGAAAAAATAATCCTTCCAATATTAGTATTATGTATCATTTACTGTCAGAATAACTGCTCTTTCCTCTCCTTCCTTTGCAAACATTTTCAGACCATAGCACCTGCATTGTTGCCATGTTTTTGCACACTTCAGTGACCAAGGGCTATTCAGAGTCTGGACAAACTCAGCAAATAATTCCTCCCATCATCTGCTGAGGATTTTTTTTTTTTTAAAGGAAAGCAAGCAAGATACAGAGAAGGGACCTGCTGGTTCAATTCAGGAGCCAGGCGTCTTAGGTAGCTCACAGCAAAGGGATTCTTCCCAGCAGGCCCATCCATTCCTGCTGCTCCAGAGGAAAACGTTAGTCACTCACATCTTGTCCAAACCGTGCAGGGCTTGTTGACACAGGCCTGCTGAGCTGTCATACCAGAAAGATGGCATCAGGAAGGTCCCCTGGGCTTCTGCAGGGCAGGCTAGCCTCCTGGCCTGGCTGTTTCCTCAGCCATAACCTCTGTCTCATGCAAAGAAAAACTTGAACAGGCCACTGGGGGAACTGACCAGTAGTGCCAGGAGCCTGCCACAGATCCCTTCTGGCAAGGCCTATTGCTATGGTTATTTTAGGCCCTGGATAAGTATCACTCTGTCTTGGTCAGACCAAAAGCCAGCAGGAAAGTTTTCCTCCTGCCACTCACTGCACTGCCACCCACTGGGCACCTGGGATCGTCTAACTTGCCATGAGAAGTCCGTGTCTGACACTCTGGGAGCTTATAATCAAATATGTCCAAGTGAACAATCACCTGGAAAAGATGGAGCTCCCAGAGGAAAGATCCATTTCACAGATGATCCGGCACATGCTGTGCAGTGCGAGTGCAGGGGCACATTTCTCCTATTATCTCTCTGACAGTTTTTTTGGTTTTTTTTGTTTGTTTTTTTTTGAGACAGAGTCTCGCTCTGTCGCCCAGGCTGGAGTGCAGTGGCGCCATCTCGGCTCACTGCCAGCTCCGCCTCCCAGGTTCTCGCCATTCTCCTGCCTCAGCCTCCCGAGTAGCTGGGACTACAGGTGCCCGCCACCATGCCCAGCTAATTTTTTGTATTTTTAGTAGAGACAGGGTTTCACCGTGTTAGCCAGGATGGTCTCAATCTCCTGACCTCGGGATCCACCCGCCTCGGCCTCCCAAAGTGCTGGGATTACGGGCATAAGCCACCACGCCCGGCCCTCTCTGACAGTTGTTAAGTGCTGAGTGACTGAAGAAATACCTACCTTCATCTCCAGAGATCCCCGTGGTGTTGGTGCCATCTGTGCATGTATTTGACCAATACAAAGGGAAATATCCAACCCACCGTCCCATCCAATGCCACTGCTACTACCCCTGCCACCATCGAGGGTATCGCTAGATTTGGGGCAGCCTATTTATCTGCAAGGACAGAGAAGTGTTACAGAACATTCTGTGGGCAAGGTGCAGAAGGGAGGCTGGAGCTTCTCAGGTGAGCTTAGGGCCCTGAGTAATATAGACCATGTGCCACTGTGCCCAGATGCTCTTTAAGCAGAAAAACTTGGCGACAGCCTTAAATGCATCCAGCCTTCCCTGCCACCCTCCCTTCCCCATAACCACCCTCCACTCAACACATACTGGTTAAAAAGTATGTTTCTTTTCACTTCTTACTGCCTGAAGCTGAATCTTTATCATCTACATCCTACCCGTCCTCAAGGAAGTCTAGCTCAAGTTTGATCTGTGATGTCTTCTCTAGGGGCCAATGCCTTATTCCCCTCCTGAACTCCAGTAGTGACTGCCTGATCCACATATAGGGTTCTCAGCTTCTATCTAGTAGGTTGCAGCTATGCATTTTAAGTTTGATGTCCCTTTCATCCACCTAGACTTCAAATTCCTTAAACAAGGGCTGTGAGTCATGATAAGAGATGATGGACAGGCCCAGCTACTCCTCTTTGCCATTCCCTGGATATCAGTTTGTATCACATCCTTTTAGCCAGCCCACCTCACTGGGGTGCGGCACTGCATGAAAACACTTCGTTACTCCTAATCTTTGTTGTGTTTGGTTATTCTTACACCTCTGGATGCCTCTAGACTCAAGTACCAATGGAACATGCTGTAAGGGAGTGGGAAGTAAGGGGAAAAGCAGTCTAATTCTGTTCCATTCCTGATTTTCTGTAAACACGCTCAATTCCTCTGGTCAGAGTTTAACCTTCACTGGAAAGGTTAAAAGAAGATAGTGCCTGATGGAGATCCTACATAAATAAGTTAGATGCATGTTTATGGGTTTTGAAACATATCAGGGCCACAGTTCCTGGCATGTAGTAGGCACTCAGTAATTACTCATTGAGTAAATAAAAGTAGAAATGTATTAGATAATATTTTGATAGGCTATTTGGTTCAAGGAAGTGTACCGATCATGGGCTGCCAGAGACGCCCACAAGAGGACAGTGTGTTCTCAAACCACGGAGAGCAAGCTTTTCAATTCTGCACACCTTTCTTCCACTGACATCTGCTATATCCACATGGACAGGTTTCACTTTTGGTTTGGCAGCTGAATCATAGTCTCCTTCACTTTAAACCTGCTTCTATAACCTATTTCATGGCAGAATACAACATCTGTAAAGTCACAAGGGCAAGAATGGAACAGAGCAAATTTCAGTATGAAAAAGTTGCTATTTATGAGCTTTTAGAAAGCATCCATCCTCATTACAGTCACATGTTTCTCACGCCTAAGGTCAACACCAATACAGAGCAGAGCACTTAAGGCCAGGTGGGAAACTGATTCTGGCAAAGTTTAACATGCAACTACTGGGGGCAGTTTTCTGAGGCCACGTGAAGGAAACTTAAGATTGAAAGATATGACTATCTTCCAATCCCAAAGCCACTTACACCTGGAAATACATACATATATATATATACAGGAGGATGAAAGAAAGAATTAAGGACCATGAGAATGATGCTTTGCACCTGTGTACCATTTTATACTTTCCAAAATACGTTTATATATATTATTTAATTTGACTGCCCTGTCAAACCTGTGAGATGGACTGGACAGTTTATCTCTATTTTTAGATTGGGAAGCTAAACTTTGCGGAACTGAAGGGACTTGTTCAGTGCCATGCAGCTGGTCTGAGCTAGGACTAGAACCCCTGGGCATCCTGCCTCAGTGCTCTTCCTGCTATGCTGTACAAACCAAGTCCCCCCCAGCCTCCACCGCCAGTGCCCCTTCCTCTACTAACATCACACAGCACACCATGGTCAAAAGTGCATGCTCAGTTATATTTGCGGTGCGAAATTGTGGTCTGCTAAACCCTTCCAGCCGCCTTCGACAGTTCTCTTTACGAACTGTGGTGCCCAAGGTATTTGCACCAATTGGTTCCAAGAAGGCAGTTTGTCAGAACATTTGCTTCCAGAAGCGGCACATCTCTGAAACACCATCCACCCAAATCCACATGTGGTTTACCACGACTCCCAGCACATTATAGTTTCTCAGCTAAATATCACAGGATTGTACTAGTCTACCAGGATAGAAGACAGCTGGATGGGGAGATACATTTAAACCTAACACAGCTGTCCTGCCAACAGGACATTTAACTCGTAAAGCTTAAGCGGTGTGATTGTGGGCAATGATAAACGTTTTTAACCTTTTTAAAGGCTGTATCAAATGAGACAGAATATAGAAAAGTATTTCTGCAAGCCATAAAATATATAAAATTTAGTTACCACAATTCCACTTCCTACATGTGCCTGATCCACTTTGTCAATTACCTGTGGGAAATTGTTGATTGTGGCTTCCCTGGCGACTCAGCACACTTCCTGTTGCCTCCCTCTTTTTCCAGATGACGTGAAACAAGGTCCCAGCTTGAACACTCTGAGTTTTGAACAGATATGTCTGAGAGGACATCTGCCAGAAGCCTATTTGCATGAGGAACTTAGAAACCTCCAGGAGAAAGCTCAGACTGAAGGAAAGAGGAGTCGGCTTGCCAACTGCAAGGCACCAGACAATAAATAATGCCTTAGTGGTCAATGGAAAGGTTGGGATTTTTAGAACCTATGGTTCCCAGTGCTTAGCTTTGTCTCCATGTCCAACACCCCCATGTGAATCCTACAGAAAGTTGTGGGGCAGAGGGGCAAAAAAAATAAAGCTATGTTTCCCTAAAAAATCTCTAGTATTTAGGGATATCAAGGCACACTGTCTTGGTCCATTCAGGCTGCTGTAAAAAATACTTTAGACCAAGTGATATGCAAACAGCTGAAATTTATTGCTCACAGTTGTGGGGCTGGGAAGTCCAAGATTAAAGTGCCTGTAGATTCTGTGTCTGGTGAGGGCCTGTTCCTCACAGTGGCTCCGTCTCCTGTGTTCTCCCACGGTGGAAAGGGCAAATGAGCTTCCTCTGGCCTCTTTCATAAGGGCATGGATCCCATTTGTAAGGGTGAAGTCCTCAAGGTCTAATCACCCCCAAAGACCCTATCTTTTATTACTATTGCAGTGGGGATTAGGCATCAACATATAAATCTGGGGGAGACACAAACATTCAGACCATAGCATACACTGAGGGGATTTCCCGTTGCCCTCCCAAGTCAGCACCCACTACAACAGAACACCCTGAGGCTGCATAGCTTGGGGGCACCCACCAGCTGTAATGGGAGACAATCATAGCTGAAGGGCATGGTGGTGCCGAACTTAAGGGGACAAGGGGAGGAAAAGGGGAAAATGGGTAACTGTCCCACGGAAGTGGACCAATTCATTTTGCTTAGGATCATATATGGTGTTTGCTCTATGATCTCCAGAATTTTTTTTTTTTTTGTTCAGACAGAGTCTCGCTCTGTTGCCCAGGCTGGAGTGCAGTGGCACGATCTCGGCTCACTGCAAGCTCCGCCTCCTGGGTTCATGCCATTCTCCTGCCTCAGCCTCCTGAGTAGCTGGGACTACAGGTGCCCGCCACCACGTCCAGCTAATTTTTTGTATTGTTAGTAGAGACGGGGTTTCACCGTGTTAGCCAGGATGGTCTCGATCTCCTGACCCTGTGATCCGCCCGCCTCGGCCTCCCAAAGTGCTGGGATTACAGGCATGAGCTACCATGCCCGGCAATCTCCAGAAATATTTAAAGCACTTTCCAGGAAATTGCAGTCCTAAGTGACCAAGTGTGAGAAATGCCGGTGACTTTTAGGTTATTACCGTCAAAATGCTCCAGATATATTTACATGTTGCGAAGGCTGGATAATCTTGACTGGAATAACACGAGTCCCACTTGCTGGTGTCTCAGAGGTCAATGGCTATTTCAAGGGAGCAAATATGGCAAGGTTGTTTCAACAAATATTTAGTGGGTGTTATTTGCCTGGCCTTGTCTAGGCACTACAGACACAAAAAGCGAGGCAGATACTGTGTGCGCATTTGCAAATCTCAGTCTAGTGAGGAAGGCAAGCTCTTCCTCATCATCAATGCCAATTCACAATGAGGCTAAAGAAGCAAATACAAAGAAGTATCAACAATGAGCCCAGGAGTGAGGATCATCCTTAAGGATAAACCTTGTGGTCAAGGTTTAACACTTTCTGCATCTGTACAGTACCTATAATTAACTAGATCAACTAGCCAAAGAAGCAGTGTGATGTGCTGGACAGACAGAAGAGGAAAACACCGGGGTCCAGCTCAGGCTCTGATCCCACAAATACTAGCTGGGCTATGGATGGAATGTTTGTGTTCCTCTTAAAATTTACATGTTGAAGCCTAATCCCCAATGTGATGGTAATAAAAGAAGCCCCAGAGAGCTCTCTCATCTCTTCTGCCATGTGAATACAATGAAAGACAGCCACCTATGAATCAGGAAGCAGTCTCTCCCCAGGCACGGAATCTGCCAGCACCTTGGTTTTGACTTCCCAGCCTCCAGAACTGTGAAATAAACCTTTGTTATTTAAGCCACCTAGTCTGTGGAATTTTTGTTATAGCAGCCTGAACAGACCAGAAGACAAGCTGTATCCCTAGATAAGTCTCATCTCTGAGTTTCTTTTTCCACATCTGTAAAAGGTGGCAAGGAATACTCACCCTCCTTGCCTGCCTCCAGTAAGTGATTGTGAGGGTAAGCATGACACTGTGCATGAAGACAATTTGAGACCCAGACTCTGTTAGAGAGATTCAAAAGCAAAATACCATATTTATGTGGATTATAATAATTTTCCTTAGGAAATGGAGGCTTGATGACAGCTGTGTTAATTTTATTCCCCAACACCCTATTAATTTCATGTGTCAGACTGCCTAAGTTATAGTACCCAGTTGTGTGATCATAAGCCAACACTAGATTTTTCTGTGAAGGTATTAAAGTGAGTAATATTTAAATCAGTGAACTTTAAGAAAAGCAGATTACTCTCTATAATACGGGTGGACTTCATCTAATCACTGAAGACGTTAAGAGAAAAGACTGAGGTCCTCTGAAAAGGAAATAATTCGGCCTCTGGACTGTCTTCAGACTCAAAATTATCAACTCTTGCCCAAGTCTCCAGTCTGTCTTACAAATTTTCAACTTGCCAGCCCCCACGTTTATATGAGCCAACTCTTTAAAATAACTGTCTGTCTCTCTATACATTCTATTGGTTCTGTTTGTCTGTTTCTCTAGAGAACCCAGGATTTACATCTGGTTCTAGTGACTTCCATGAAAATACACTGGGGCTCAGACTTACCCAGGCTCCAACCCATATAGAAGTGAATATTTCACAAGGATTATTCTACAGTCAGACAACTGGCAGAGCAATTAGTAGTTGCCATACAGCAAACTTAATTTCAGGAGTTGTTATCTAGTTTTCTGTGTCCCTCTTTGACATTCTAAGATAGTCACATGTTATTTAAGGAATGGACTAAAGATCTCACTCGTGATTGAAAATTCACAAAATTCAAGAACAATCCTAATTGAGGATGATGACAGATTCTACCGATCACTGTTTAGAATTACTAAGCCTACTACTTTGAAATTGTGATTCTTGACAAATTGTTATTTGGGGAAGATTCACATTATTTCACATTTTGTGCATGCAATAAGGCTGTGCTAATTTTTTACATTGTACTGTTCCAAAGACACATGAAGTGTTCACATAAAATTCCCCAACACCCTATTAAGATTATTTTCTATTTTTGTTCTAGGTTTATGCTTCACTAAAACATTTATTACTATTAAACAAGATATAAAATAGACAAAGATGACACTTTAGATCTTTTGATCTACAAGACATCTAGGAGTTATAAAAAGTAAATATTAAAAGTTTATACTATAACTAGTAAATAACTAATAGTTATAGTTGTAAAAGTTAAAAATAGTGCTGTCCAAAATTTTAAAACATCAAAAGACATATCAGTGAGGTGTATAAATGTATAAGCTGGCAAAGAAAAGAGATTTGGGAGACTGCATTTCATTCTTGTATTCTTATTTTAATTGAGAAGGTGGCTAGAATTAGTACAGTGCTTGCAAACACCTGAGGCCAAAACCTCCAAAGCTCTGTATCCCAGCACACCTTTGCCACTTTCCTTTTTCCCCAATGGAGGAAGGAAAGACCTAAGACACAGGCCAACACCTGTGCTCCAGTCCTCATCCTCTCCCACCTCCTCAGTTGCTGCTCCCCATCCCACATCTTCAACTCTCCCTCTCTGCTGGTTCTTAGCAATTAGCACTTCAGCAAGTTCAATTTCTCACATCCTAAAACAACCTTAACAGAAACCGTCCTCAGCTCTAAATCATTCACCCTTCCCCCAATCCTTCCACAGCTATTACTCATCTCCCCTTTACCTGACATTCTGGGAACACATTTATACGTTGCATTTCTTCCTTGTTTATCCCCTCAATGCCCTGCAGGTATGGTGGGCCCCCACTACTCCCCAGAGCCGGCTCTGCCCAAAGCCCCCACAAAGCAGTAACTTCTGTGTTGCTACCCCCAGTGAACACTTGACACCCAGTGGTTTTTACTATTTCATGTGACCTCTCTGCTGATCCTGACAGTGGTAACCACTGCCCCTTCTCAGAACACTATTTCCTTGTTTTCATTACACTCTATCTTTCTGGTTCTTCTCCTTTCTGGCCGATTTATCCCAGTTTCCTTTGTGGATTCTTCTTCATCTACCTGGCCTTTGTCTTAGGTGCCCTGTTGTTCTCAATACCCACCCAGGGTGACCCCATCCACCCCTACAGTATCAGCCACCACTAACACGGGGATGACTCTGAAACCCTTCCTTCTCCCAGACTTCTCTCCTGTGCCATATACATCTAAGTGCCTTCTGGATACCCAGGACACTGTAAACATACACAAACATGTCATCGTGTTCATCTTTCCTATCCTTTTCCCCTCCCAAAAAGAACCTCCCCGTTTCTTTTGAATTTCTCATTACTATCCATGCAATTGCTCAACAGAGAAAAACTGAAAATCATCCAGAGACTTTAAGGATTGAAGTTCAAGGTGGACAAAATGCAACCCCAAAGGCATGGGCCCATTGGGCGGTCCCAGTCCATTCATAGATGGCCTACAAGCCCAATGTTCTCATTGGTTCCTCCAGGGTGAGGATAACCTAGAAACAGATTTTAGTCAAGACACATAAGAGTCAGCTGCACTGCTTTCTCCAACTGCAGAGAGAGACTAGCCAGAAACGGAGTGTCCCCTACAGTTCAAGGTTTGCTTCACCCCGCCATCCTCAAATGGGAAGCAACTGTTGCCACCCTGTGGCAAAGCGGAGGCACTGCAGCTCCTTTACCAAGGCCAAAGCTTGGCAGAGTAGAGGCTCCTAGGATCTGCCTCTTCAAGTAGCCTATCATCCACAGGACTCTTTCTCCACTTGATATTTATTAAGAAAATAACCTTGGGTCTCTATTTCTAAGTGAAAAATTTGAAGTCCAACAGTCAGTGTTATAAAAAAGAACGTATTTTATTTTATTTTATTTTTCTGAGACAGAGTTTCGCTCTTGTTGCCCACGCTGGAGTGCAATGGGCGATCTTGGCTCACTGCAATCTCTGCCTTTAGGGTTCAAGCGATTCTCCTGCCTCAGCCTCCCGAGTAGCTGGGATTACAGGCACGTGCCACCATGCC
This sequence comes from Homo sapiens, assembly GCF_000001405.40. Lineage (NCBI taxonomy): Eukaryota > Metazoa > Chordata > Mammalia > Primates > Hominidae > Homo > Homo sapiens. Next base: position 32,651,056 of record NC_000015.10, on the reverse strand, counting down.
CAGCTAATTTTTTGTATTTTTAGTAGAAACGGGGTTTCACCATGTTAGCCAGGCTGGTCTCGAACTTCTGACCTCAGGTGATCCGCCCGCCTCGGCCTCCCAAAGTGCTGGGATTACAGGCGTGAGCCATCGCGCCCGGCAGAACGTGGGTATTTTAATGTTTGGCAATATGGATTTAAAATTACTCAGAGCCATCAAATGCTAATGTTTATACATTTCTATCTTAATGGCTAGATAACTGGTGTTATCACAGTGCTAGATAGCTGGTGGCCTAGAACTGTGGGGAAAATGAACAGCTGGCACTGAGCAGCCTATCTTTTACCTGAAGCTGTTAATGTTCTGAAAACGAAAGCACATTTTCTGGTTGGATTCATCCAAGGCCATCCAAGGCCATCATCAGTGTCAGCTGGCACAACCAGTTCTAACTCCCAAGAGCTCCCATCTCACAGCACATGGTTCTCCGAATCAGTCCCCTGGACAGTTGGTGGCTTTATTTGTTTCTGGGGATAATACAACAGTAGCCATTTAGCTATGTCTTGGAGACCAGTGAGCAACCGTGGGCTTGGGAGAAGATGGTTACTGCTGAAATATATGGTGCACTGAAGCATATCTGAACTGTATTGCTAACTGATGAGTAATCAAAAATAAGACTGGGGCGCCGGGCGTGGTGGCTCACGCCTGTAATCCCAGCACTTTGGGAGGCCGAGATGGGCGGATCACGAGGTCAGGAGATCGAGACCATCCTGGCTAACATGGTGAAACCCCGTCTCTACTAAAAATACGAAAAAAAAATTAGCCAGGTGTGGTGGCGGGCACCTGTAGTCCCAGCTACTCGCGAGGCTGAGGCAGGAGAATGGCATGAACCTGGGAGGGCAGAGCTTGCAGTGAGCTGAGATCCCGCCACTGCACTCCAGCCTGGGCGAAAGAGCAAGACTCCGTCTCAAAAAATAAATAAATAAATAAGATTGGGGTAAGCCATTAAAGACTGAAAACATGTTGTTGATAATCCACAAAGTGAGAGGAGGAAGGCCTGCAATTCAGTTACTAATGGCACCCACTGATTGCATGTAAGAGTGGGCTGGAAACCCCATTTTATTTTATTTTTATTTTTCAAACACCAACTCGAACCAGACAAGCCCATTTTATTTGGGCCGATTTTATTTGAGAGAACTAGGCTTAGAAAGTTGCCAGGATTACACATAGCTAGAAAATAGTACGGCTACGGGTTAACCCGAGTTCTCTGCCATAAACATACACACTCTTTTTTTTCATGTAATGCCAAGTAGGTCCCTGTTTGTCTTTGTGTTTTTATTTGCTTTGGACTAAGAATTTACACATTTGAAAGATGCTCCTTACCAAGCTGTTTTTAAGGCGCCCACGGAGAAGTTAAACATAACCCCCAATCCTCTCTGGATGTTTTGGCAAATGCTTCTACCCCAGCGACCACTTAAAGCTATTAACGACCAGGAGGCTGGCTACCAGGGTTCAGGAATCTTCCAAAATAAACTTCTAGTCTAGTTGGCCCTCTGCTGGTTTAGTCCCAGGACTGCAAAAAGTCCTTCTAGCTCCTTGGTAGGCGCTGTACAAAGGGCACAAACCTTGCACCATGGTGATCACAGTCATAGTCAATTCTAGATAACAGACATTTTTGCTCACCACATTATCACTAAGCTCATGGCAAGAACCTCTAGGCAGAGATTTTTAAAAACAGAATAGAAATGGAATATTTTCCTTGAACTAAAAGGCAGAAAGTCTTGACAGATCCAGATGTAAAACAGTATTTACATACTTATTGCCATTAGGTATATTTATTTCCCCCTGATATTATACATTAATTCCTCAAATATTTACTGAATGCTTACTATGTGCCTGGAATATAATGCAGTTAATAAGCAGATATAGCCTCATGGAGCTTACATTCCAGTGGAGAGATAAACAATAAGCAAGAAAACAAACAATGATTATAAATGACAAAAAATGCTATGGAGCTTTAAAAAAAAAGGCTGGACATGGCGGCTCACGCCTGTAATCCCAGCACTTTGGGAGGCCAAGGCGGGAGGATCACGAGGTCAGGAGGCTAACACGGTGAAACCCCGTCTCTACTAAAAACACAAAAAATTAGCCGGGCGTGGTGGCGGGCGCCTGTAGTCCCAGCTACTGGGGAGGCTGAGGCAGGAGAATGGCGAGAACCCGGGAGGCGGAGCTTGCAGTGAGCCGAGATCGCACCATTGCACTCCAGCCTGGGGGACAGAGTGAGACTCTGTTTTTTTTTTAAAAAAAAAAAAGGAGACTGCAACAGAGAATGTAGGGGGGTGCTACTCAGACAGGGCAGTCAGGCAGCCCTCTCTGAGTGGGTGACTTTGAAACTCGCTACACAAGGAATGGGAGGTTGATAGCCTCCCATTGTTGATCCCATCCAATGTGTTGATAGCCTTGAGGTGGGAAGAGGCCGGTGTGACTCAGGGCCAGAATGCGTGGAACAAAGTAGGGAGTACGATTGACTGGAGCTGTGGATCCTCGTAGGTCATGGCAAGAAGGGTTATTTTTATTCAGGGTACGATGGGAAGCCACCAATGGAATTGTAACTACGGAGATGACACTAATATGGTTTAAACTTTTCAAGTTTAACTCCTGAAAAAAGTTTAACTCCTGTTCTTCCTGTGAAGAACAATCGAAAAGGGATCAAGAATAGAAGCAGGAAGATGAGTTAGGAGGCGATTTCAAAACTCCATGCCAGACATGATGGTATCTTGGACCAGGGTGTTTGGAGTAGAGCTAGAGAGAAGCAGACAGGAAATTGCACATGGATTTTAGAGATAAAAATGAAATAAATTACTTAAAATTGAGGCATGAAGTGTGATGGAGAAAATCAAGGGTTACTGTAGGTATTTAGTTTGCATATATGGCTAAGCAGGGGCACTACTCATTTAGACAGAAAAGACTGATATAAACAGGCTGGGGAAGGTGGTGGTTTGAGAAATCAGGATCGAAACCTGGCAATTTAGCAATTAGTGTAAGCCTATGGATATGCAAGAAAGAAATGTGGGCTGAAATACAAACACCGGAGTCACCAGCCAAGAAATGGATTGAGAGTCAAGAGAATGAATGAGATCAAGTAGATAGAGAATTGAGGGAAATAAGAGAAGTGGACCCAGCACTGAGCCCTGGAGAACTTAACTTTTAAAGGCCGCCAGAGAAACCTGTAAACGAAACTAACAAATGGGTAAAGAAAAAAAGGAAAAAAGGAAAGCCCAATACTTATTTGTTTATTTAAGGACTACATTTCCTCGCCCTGCTACTTTGCTGTTCACGTTTATTTCCTCAGTACCTAAAACAGTGCCTGGCACTCAATAAATACTAGTAGGTTTAATGAATGAGCGGTGAGAACAGTGGGCTACAATGGACCAGGAGAGAATGAGAGGTGAAGAAGTACAATTGGCATGTGAGGAAAGGCTGTGAAAGGCAGCTGTGAAAGGTTGCTGTGAAAGGCAGCAGAAAATTGGAACAGTAACTAGAAGGGATATGGAATCAAAGAAGATATGTTTTTTTTAATGGGATATATGATACCTCACTGACCTAACATTAATTTATACTGATACTATATTCCTATACTAAAAGGCCAATTTATAATTCTATATTTGAGAGCAAATATACACATTTGTTAAGATCCATTGATCATACAATTAATTTATTTAAGTAGACAAGATAGATATTTGTCTTCTATGTACCATGTGTTGGGCAGTGAACAACTCTGCCTGCAAGGAACTTAACATCCAGTAATTATCTAAAGTGATGATGATGATGATTTGTTTAGAAATTATTTCATCGTAGCACAGTTATCCATGCTAAAACTTTATTTTTGCTTCTGTGGACTGGAACATTACCTGCTTACAAGTAAGTGAATTTAAATCCTACCCCTAAGCTAAACAGAAGGTTATAGGAGTTAAGTAACTTGCCCAAGGTCATATTAGTAATAAATGATGAAGCTGGCATTCAAATTCGGGTGTCTCTGACAATGGTTTGTGCTCATAAGCACCATGTTAAGTGTATTTGAAATTCACACCAGAATACAGTATTACTATAAAATATGATAATATATTATGTATATTCTTTCTGTAACAATTAAAAATAAACTTTCCCAACTTGGTTCTTCACAATAAAATCCTAAAATCAATGTTGGAAGGGTATGGAAGATACTCCATGTGTCTGTCAGAGGGAATTAGCATCAGGGAGTGTGAGCAAAGATAATGCAAATAAATGGATGAGGTGAAACAATAACTAACTCACATGAATAAATGATCAGACCACCCAACAAATTCAATGCCAAGGTCCCAGACTGGGAAAAACCCAGGCTTTTTATTTTGTTGTTTTTGCCCCAAGTATCTTTGGACTATTTTCTTTGTTAGTTTTCATCCTAGCTATAGTATACAATTCTAGGAAGACTCCCAAGATTCCCACCTGCTGGGAATATAATGAGATATCAGTCCCTTGTTATCCGAAAAAGGTCATGGGATAGTCACTCCCAGGATCATATTACATTATAATTAGAAGACTAAAGAGATATTCTCCTTCCAGCTATGAGAAGGCATGTGGCTTACAACCTGAGGCGGCCTCTAAGAGCTGAGAGGGGCTTTGGTTGGCTGACAGCCAGCAAGAGAAAGGGAACTCAGTCCTACAATATAATTCAAATGGAATTCTGCCAACAGCCTTAACGAGCTTGGAAGAGGACGCAAGCTGCAGCCAAGACGACACCTCTGGTCAGCACCTGAACACTAATCCGCACCAAACTCCTGAGCAGTGGAAAACTCAAATAATAAATGAATGCTGTGTGAAACTGCTAAATTTGTGGTAATTTGTTATACAGTAATAGAAAACTAAAATTCAAGTCAGTATTCATCCCTTCCACAGATACTGATAGGGGAGACTTAAGATTGCTATGTTAGGCCGGGTGTGGTGGCTCACGCCTGTGATCCCAGCACTCTGGGAGGCCGAGGCAGGCGGATCATGAGGTCAGATGGAGACCATCCTGGCTAACACGGTGAAACCCCATCTCTACTAAAAATACAAAAAATTAGCCGGGCGTGGTGGCGGGCGCCTGTAAACAGCTACTCAGGAGGCTGAGGCAGGAGAATGGTGTGAACCCGGGAGGCAGAGCTTGCAGTGAGCCAAGATTGCACCACTGCACTCCAGCCTGGGTGACAGAGTGAGACTCTGTCTCAAAAAGAAGAAAAAAAAATTGCTATGTTAAGCACATTATTCCAAGGGTAATAAGGGAAACAGAGTTTTTAATTCTGAATTGTCCTAATCCATGATCTTTCATGTCTCCATGCCTTTTATTTTTTTAGTTTTTGTGGGTACATAATAGTTGTACCTCCATGCCTTTACACTTATGGTTCCCTGATGAACTCTTACTCAAACTTCAAAACCCAGGTCAAATGTTGCTTCTTCAAAGCAGCATTTCCTTATAGCCACCCCATCCACTCCTAAGCAGACTAAATTACTCCTGTTTGCTTCCACGGCGGCAGCTTGTGTGTACATCTATCAAAACACCTGCTGGGATGCACTGTCATAACTTTTGATGTGTGTCCCCACTTCCCTCTCCACTCAGACTGTGAATCTTTAGGGCAGAGCTGCACCAGTCTCCTGCCTAGTGCCTGGTATATAGTGGGTACTAAATAGTTGGATACTGGAGGGAATGGAGTCTCTGGATAAAGAGGCTTTTGATGCCCCGGGAGTGGCTGTTTCTTTTCCAGCACAGCTGATCAGGCCTCAGGTATTAGTGGAAACTCAGAGAACTCCATGACAACAGCTTAGGTGAATAACCAAGCACTTCCTGCCTTAAAAAGGTAGATATTTATTGTTTGTCTCAAAAGAGCTGGCCTGAAATATATAGGTGTGCTTGAAGTAACGGTGACAGATGCTGAGAAGGACTGAGATTCTCCCTAAAAGGGATGACAGGAAGCTCTGTCGGATTTGTTCTAATTCAAGCCATGTGCTAGGTTTGCATGCTTGCCGATTCAACGCATTTGTGTTAATCCACTCCTGAAATCAAATGTCAACCTAAACAGACTACAATCTCACCGAATTAGTTTTACTCAATGGCTTAAAACTATGGGTAACAAAACAGAAATAAGAATCATCTATCAACAATATTCATGGCATTCACAGAACCCTAGGGCAGATAGCATTTTTAGAAAATCACAGACTCTGGCAAAATAGTGCATAATCAATCTGTAGGGAACAAACAGCATTTGGTTGGTATGCTTTTAGAGATAATTCTCATTTTCCTTCGGACCCACTCCATGGGCAAATCCTTGAACTATAAGGAAATGCTCCCTTGCATTTAACTGAAATTAACCATGCTACTTCTTTAGGATTCTGCCTTAGTGGAGAAGGAGATCATTAGAATCAGAGGATAAAAAGCAAAGCATGGAAATAAGGAATCTGTCTAACGCTGCATCACCAGCTCATAGAAGCTAGATTCTCTTTATAAACAAATCATTAAACAACAAACAAATGAAGTACTGCTTTCTAATACAAGTATTATGACCACATTGCCAGAAACTTGGAAAACTTCAGGGGGAAAATGGTCTTGCCACCTTAAAACGATTTAATTATTCTTAATTTATTATTTAATAAAATTGTTATATTTTTAAATATTTTCAAAAGCTTTCACGTAAACTCTTAATGTCAGTACCTCTTTTGTCTCCTCTTGGGTATACTGGAGTCATTCCTAGGAATCAAGTCAGATCCTGTAGGTTCTACATTTTGAAGCTCTTTTACAAGTACTGGCTGGCATTGACTCAAAAGGCAGCTATCTGATGACACAATTTCCTGAAGATCAGCAGTGAGGAGAAAACATCATGTCTGGGTTCTAATCTTTCTTTAGTGATAACACTAGATGCTCCTTCATTCATTCAACAAACATTAATTGAGCACCTATTATGTACCAGACATTGTGCTAGGTGCTAGGGCTACAGCTATGAATTAGATAGATAAGGTCCCTGCTCTCACAGGACTTATAGTCTCATGTGGGTGTGTATATGTAAGTATGTAGACACTGTGTAGAAGAAGAAAGGGAAAACCATGAGAAAGTAGAGTCTCTTAAAAATTAGCTTCCTCCTCTGAAAAAAATAGGATAATAAAGGCATCTACTTATAAGGTTGTTGTGAGAAGTGTGCAAATATATTATTTAAAATGCTAACGGAAACTTCAAACCATCAGAACACAGTAAATACCTTCAATGCTCTGGGGGCCCACAAGATTCATGGCCTGGTGAGCTGGATATTCCACTCGGGGCCTGGCAATGCCCAATTGCTCCATAACACCATGAAGCAGCCTCTGGATATCTGCTTCTGAGACCCGGTCAGGGGTCCGGGGGCTGTAAGCAAATGCTGGAGTCCATCCAGATGCCAGCCAAAACAGTAGGCCAGATAGCATGGTAGAGACCATCCTGGAGACCATTGTCAACCTGCAGATAAAAGACCAAATGTATACTGATAGGCTACAATCGGCAATTGTGATAATACAATTATAATGATGCAACCACTCCAGGTTGTGGTTCGAGGACCACCCAGAAAGGGGTTGTAACAAAGAATCCTTAGGAGGTTGCTTTTGTCTTAAGTTTCCATGCTAGGCAGAGCATCATTGCAGAAAGGTATTAAACAAAACAGTTGCAGGTATCCAATTCCCTCTGTTTGCATTCTTGAGAAAGCTAGGCTGGAATGGCGGTTCTCACTCATAATTTTTATCCTCCTTGTAGCTCCCTGAAAGTTCTGCATTACTCCTAACTTCATCACTCTCTCCCTCTCTTACTAAAACAAATAAACCAAACTTGCTTACATTTTGAGAAAGAGATAGTGGCATCTTGGGTTTTCCCAGTCTCTGGGAATAAAAGTCTAACAGGAGGGAGTCAGGAAGACACAAATCAAGAAGCTCAGGAAGGTTGGGAGTGGTGGCAGGGAAACATTTCAGTTTAGCAAACATCCAATACGTTTGCGATCCTGAAAGGAAGGAAAATGTTCCTTAGATCCAGCCCTGCAATCTGCTGGGGTAGTTTGAGGTTTGTTTGCTCAGCCACATGCTGAGTGATCGTAGGCAAGTCCCTCAGTTTCCTCCTCTGCAAAACGGAGATAATTAAAGCATTTACCTTTTAGGGTTGTTGTGAGGGTGTGTGCAAATACATGTTAAGAGTGTTTAGGACAATGCCAGGCACAGAATGAGCCCCTATATTGCTATTATTATGTTGCTAACATTGCCTTAACAGTTCTGGAGGTTAGAATATGGGGAGGCAGTGGTGGTGAGAGGGAGTTAACTAGCCTGGGGGTGGGAGGGTCAACCTGTCCAAAATGTTGGTTTCTATGGGTATGTCTGCAAAACAAGTGAACATTATCCTTGCAGCTTACCCCACAGCTGCTTAACGTGTTTGGATGCATGCTTCAGGCAGCGGCCTTGCAAACCCTTTTTTTTTTTTTTTTTTTTTTTTTTTGAGACGGAGTTTCACTCTTGTTGCCCAGGCTGGAGTGCAGTGGCGCCATCTCGACTCACTGCAACCTCCACCTCCCAGGTTCAAGTGATTCTCCTGCCTCAGCCTCCCGAGTAGCTGGAATTACAGGCGCCCACAACCAAACCCGGCTAATTTTTGTATTTTTAATAGAGGCAGGGTTTCACCATATTGGTCAGGCTGGTCTCGAACTCCTGACCTCAGGTGATCCACCCCCTCCCCTCAGCCTCCCAAAGCGCTAGGATTACAGGCGTGAGCCACCAGGACCGGCGCAAACCCTCCTTCTAATCATTCTTCTACTGAGGATGGGGGATGGAGAGGTGGGAGGAGGCAAAATCGTGCATTTCCTTTACTGAAACAAAAATTTTTATACCCTCCAATTTCTTTTTCTGCAAAGAAAAGGCCTTTTCTAGCCACTAGATATAAAACCTTGCTCTCCAAAGAGCTGAGAGTAGCTGTTTAACAGCAAAATCTGCAATTCTGATGGAAAAGGCTGGAGGCAGACACGAGGCTCTCCATCTCCATCTTTCCCTTGTCCACTCTGAATGCAGGATGTCATCCCAGCAAACGCCGCTCTGATTTGATGAACTACACAATCTCCTCCCTCAGTACTCCCTTCCCCTTACTGATAGCCAAACATTCTAATCCCCTACGCATCCTTCGTCTGACCCCAGCCTCCACCTCAAGGATTTTAGCAGGACGCCCTCCCACAACTGGCAATACCAAATCTCGGGTTGGCGGCAGGCGGCCGAGCCGACATCAAAACTGTACTCACCGAGGGGCAGCCCGAGGAGCCTACTGCGGTATGGGCCTTGGTGGGGGTCAGGCCAGGAACGGGCGAACTGGAGAGCTAGTGCGTCACCCTCCTCCGCATCTTAGCTCCGCCCCGGCCCCTCCTCCAGCAGGTGGAAGCTGCCTCGCCAGGACTCCCCAGACTGCATCCCAGATAAGTGTGCCTCTCACCAGGAGCCGCACAGCTCTTCAACCCCCACATTCTGCATACAAACCTCTTGACTATGACATTTCCTAGAGACCCTCTTCAGCTCCATCGACCTCCATGTAAGTCATTCACCTCCTCAGTCTCAATTACAACGTGCCAGATCACCACTACAGCACACCTTTAATTTTGTCAACTTCTAGAATATGTTTTTTGTTTTTGTGTCTAAAGCCTTTCAGCTTCAAGAGGGAAGAGGCAATGAATGGTAGAGAGACAAAAGATGAAGTCCTAAGAACTTTTAATGGTGGCTATGATAAGGTATACCCTGCTCTGAGGGGCCTCTTACTAATCAGGAAAACTATGGGGATATTTAATACAAGAAGCCAGAAACTTCCATTAAAGTGATAAACTTGAAAATCTGTAGAAATATCAGCTCTGAGTGTTATTTCTAAACGTCCACACAAACCATCAAGTAAAATTCCACTTTGGCCTGAAGAGAAACCATACTCCCAGCATACTGTAGAAGTATGTCCAGGTAGTCCCAGATTCTTAAATAAGGGTTTATGGAGCACCTACTATGTGCAATCTTGAACACTGAAATTTGTTCAAATACTAAAATCAAAATGTAAAGCCATACAATAAATATGGCACTACAAATTTGATCAAGATGGAGGATGAGTAAAGAACCTGGGGGTCTCAAAACAAGTAACCTGATGAGGTTAGAATCCAGATCTATTTATCTTAGCTCTAGAGAGCAAATCCATTATCATCTACAGCAATTTTTATGCAATAAATAGAGGCTGGCAAAATTCATTTATGAGACACATGGCCTTTCATTTTGAAGCCAAGCCTCTTTCCCAGTACTTTTTCTTTCACGGATGCTCATCTGCTTCTTGCTTCTTGTTTCAATGCATGCTAAATCAACAGGACAAACACTATCCATTAAATGGCTCTAGGCTCACTGGCCATGCTGGAGTTAGTATTTATTATTGATGCACAGAGACTTTTTTCAATTCTGAGTTTTACTTTAGCTTTGTTCATTGTTATCTTCATTTTGTGGTTGAAAAAAATGAAGTCACTACAATTTACTGCTTTTGTGTTAAATTTAACTGAAATAGATCAAAATGCCTATGCTTCATTTGAAATTTGGTGTTTCAAAAATAAAACTTCATATATATTTAAGAGATCACAGAGGTTAGGTGCAGTGGCTCACGCCCATAATCCCAACACTTTGGGAGGCCAAGGTGGGAGGATCACAAGGTCAGGAGTTCGAGATCAGCCTGGCCAATATGGTGAAATCCCGTATCTACTAAAACTACAAAAATTAGCTGGGCGTGGTGGTGCATGCCTGTAGTCCCAACTACTTGGGAGGCTGAGGCAGAAGAATCGCTTGAACTCGGGAGATGGAGGTTGCGGTGAGCTGAGATTGTGCCACTGCACTCCAGCCTGGACGACAGAGTGAGACTCCGCCTCAAAAAAAAAAAAAAAAAAAAAAGAAAAGAAAACAAAAAACAAACTAACTAAAAAAGATCACAAAATTAAGGTTTAAATTCTGCCACAATTAAGAAAAACATGACTATTAAAATCCTACATTAAGTTCTTAGTGATCATATTATAGAATGTGGCCATGCAGTCTACTAAGTTCTATGTATTAAGTTGTTATTAGATAACCAAATTAATATTAGATCTTTATTTACATTTATAAGACAGTGAGAAGAACCCATGAGGTTACTGCACGTCCAGACACTTTCATATCATTTCCTCAAATATTCCATGAAGTTAGCAACATTATCTCTATTTTGTATAAGAAAAAATAAAAACGCATTAAATCAAGTTTAAAACAAAACTTTTCTGGCTCTCTAGTTACCCTACCTTCAAGCTAGTCACCTTCACATTCCTGTAATACTCCGTATAGCAGCTTTCAGCTAACAAAAATAGGAGTCACATGTGGTAGTTTTTAAAACAGACATGTTTCATTATTGATTCATCTCTCAGAAAAGCCAGTTCAGGTAGTATGTACAGTTAAACCCCTAGGACTTCTTACTGAATTAGTCTTCAAATTCAACATTTCATCCTTCCCTTGATGGATATAAAAAGACGTTAATGCATTTTTAAAATTTAAAAATTGTTTAAAGCAGACAACATATATCTGACTATATGAATATTTTGTCTCTACTTACAATTAGAAATGCCATAAACATCTACAAACCTATTTGATATCAAATAAACAAAGTAGAACCTAGCCAAGCAAACATCTGATGATTTGAAATTCCTCGTACATACTTATGCTGTAAGTCTGGTTGCTCCGAGTGGCATGAATGCTGCTCTAATCTGCTCCAACATCTAAACATGACATTCTAACAACCAATCTGAAAAACTACCTTTAGTGGTTGATTCTGTCTGCTTATTCCTTCCTCTACAACCTAGAGAATATGTTCTATTGTTCATAATACTCTTTCCTCAAAGATGTGTAATTTGTAATAATTTAAAATATAAATTTAGACAGATTTACTTGACAATTTGGTGCATGTTCTAAATGGCACTTTGAATTTCATGAGAGCCTTAGTCAAGTCATTTTCCAGAGAGTTATCTTTAATGTCTATGCTAAATAAATAACATTTACACACAGGACAAAATCATCATAGGTTTTTATCCAAGTAAAAAAGGTAAAGAGGTGCATCTACTATTTCAAATTCCAAAATCGAGCATCTACATATAAGAAATCACCTTGGTTAATTTTTTTCAAGATTATCCCTCTTTAAATAATTGCCAAATCTATATTGGACAGAACAGACACAAACGTGTTTGTGCAAATTATCTTTAAAAACATAGTATGGCTTAAAAGTTATCAATTATTTCCACATCATAATATATGAACATATTTTAGTCATTATTCTGCCTTAACCATTGTTCTTAGTTCGAGTGAACACAAGGTACACCTACTGGCACTATAAATGAAATTACTCTGCCCCAAATAAAAATAGAGTTTTAGGATGCTATTGAAGGAAATTAATTTCTAGGAATTTTGGCAAGGACAATAAACATTAATATAATTCCAGACATAAGATTTGCAGAGTTTATCTCTACCCTTTATATGCTAGAAATTTATTTATTTTAGAAACCTTATCTGACTTGGAGGAAATAGGCACAACTTGCTCCATTCTTTCTATCACACAAAAATATGTCATTTTCAAAAATTAACTTCTTATAAATCCAGTAAACAATTTCTTTAGAAAGGTAAAGTCTAGCCGGGCGTGGTGGCTCATGCCTGTAATCCCAGCACTTTGGGAGGCTGAGGCGGGCGGATCACAACGTCAGGAGATCGAGACCATCCTGGCTAACACGGTGAAACCGTCTCTACTAAAAATACAAAAAATTAGCTGGGCGTGGTGGCGGGCACCTGTAGTCCCAGCTACTCGGGAGGCTGAGGCAGGAAAATGGCATGAACCCAGGAAGTGGAGCTTGCAGTGAGATTGCGCCACTGCACTCCAGCCTGGACGACAGAGTCAGAAAGGTAAAGTCTAACCTCTGCTTTAAGAGATCACAATAAAATTAAAGTTTAAAAATTGCCATCATTAAGAAAAACAAAGAAGTAATTTGTACAAATAAAAATCTAAGTTGCTTGTACAGTGAAAAAAATGAAACATTTTCAATAGAGCAAATCTATTGCTTAACAATCATCCTGAGCTACAAACTAACATGTACATCATCCTGCAAGTCATACCAATTACTCACTTTATTTACATTAATGACAAGTATAACATTTACCAATTACAAATCTACAGGTTTACTTGTTGGTAGTAATTGAGTTTTTCCGATAGGATGTTTTGGAGAACCTTTGTACCAGGCCCTTCCTCTTTCTGATGGTCTCCTAAGGACCCTGTTATTTATCCCAGAAGAAATGCCCATGTTGTTATTTACAACTGGTTTTACTATATCATGATTAGTCAGATCATCCAAGGGAACCTTAACTTGGCCATCAGATAAGATCTTCTGTTTATAAACTGTAGTAGACCTAAGAGAAGCATTCACTGAATCTGGGTGCTTCCTCATCTTTAAGAAAGATTTCGAGGGTAACTCCATGCTTGACTTTGAAATTGCACCAATATTTGACTCTTCACATGACATGGACTTCTGTTCTTTAGGACCTGATTTGATACATGAAACAGAGGAATCTTTTGATGCACTTTCTATACAAGAGGAAAGAGCACCGTCACAGCTCACTGATTTGACCAAAGGAGAAGCTGTATCACCAAGACTCGCCAACTTATGCCCTGTAGGTTGTCTGCTATACTCCAACAAAGAATTAATTCTTCTGACGGACTGACGAACAGGAGTACGCTGAAACTTAAGAGGTGACTTGACTTTTATTCTATTTGGTTCATTTAAAGAAAGCTTGTTAAACCACTGTATGTGATCAGAAACCTTTCTATGTTCTGTCATTTGTGAACTTTCAGAAACTGTTTTCTCACATGTTTCCAATGACTGCTGTTTAGCAATTCTCATAGGCCTAGGTTTTGACAAGTTTGTTACAACACATGTACTCTGCTGTGAGAAAGAGGATCTAGCCTCGTCCTTGCTATGTGCTGCACACTTCGGTAAGTTACCTTCCATCATATTCTCATTCTCTTTTAATTTATTATTTAGTTTATCCTTTGGGGACTGCTGTTTCTTTATTTCTTCATCACTGGAGAATTCTTGCTTGCTTAAATAATCTTTTGGCATATTTGAATGAATGTCTTTTTCATGTTCCATCTTCATCTGAGTTGAATAACATTTTATAGTTGTTTCTCTATTAAATGTTTGAGTTTGAAGGGGTGAAAAGTCCCTCTCTGAAAAACATTTTTCACCTTTACCAGTGTGGTGTTCATATTTCTCCTTTGATTCTACTATAGTCAAATCATTAGTTTCAAATAGATTTTCCTCTGGGCTATCTTCTAAATAAGATGGTTCAGTTAATTTTACTTTCCCCACATTAGTTACTGATGACTGCCTCTGATTCATCAATGCGTGAAGATTACTTCCAGATTCAGAAAACGCTTTTTGAACTTTCACCAAAGTCTCTTTGGTCATGTTATTTTCATCCCCGCTAAGAGGGCTACTTGTTATGTTGCTATTATGCTTATTGTTTAAATTGGAAGGGGTGAGTTCACATGAAGTAGCAGGTGACTTTTCTACCATAATATCAGGCTCCAAAGAGTTTTCTACCTCAAGATTTTCCACCATTGAAGAAGCTTCATTTGCATCTACTTCTTGAAAACTTGAATTATTAGGTCCTGTCCAAGACATCCGGTAATTTGTTCCAACTAGTCGCTCTGGAGTTAGTAAGGTTTCCTCAGACTTACTGATCTTTTCTGAACCTAAAATAAAGCAGTTCAGTGCTTAATCCTTTGTATTTAACCTTGTTTTGAAATAATACCCAAGCACATGGCAAATAAGTCACTAAGCATTTAATTCTAATAAAGTATTTGTGTTACAAGAAATAATTTTTAACATAAGAATGTCAAACATTTTCATATTTACATGTATAAGCATTTCCCAATTGTTGATAGAAAAATACATTGCCAATTCTAATATTTTCACTATTCAAACATGAACTTTTAATCTCTAGAACAGTAAATTAATTAATATGTTTTGCCATTAAAAAAGCAACTAAAGCAGGATTTTTAGGTAAAACTCTAACAGTAGTATGTAAATGTACCTTTCTTTGGTAACTTTTCATCAACATCTGGGCTAAAAAGCAAACCTGTTTTTACAGATTCAATTCGATTTTTTAAACTTTGTTGATTTGCAAGTCGCCAACCAACACTTTCATATCTATTGACACCAGAACATCCATTCTGTACAGAAAAAAAAAAGTTTTAGTTAAGAAATAAGCCTAGTTAATTCAAAATATAAAGACAGAATAATTTTTTGTAGTTATCAAAATCTTTAGCTGATTTAAAAAGGGATATATAATTGAGAAACAATTCTTAACAATGACAAACATTCTTGCCTGCTAATGAAAACTGTAATCATTTGATTTTGCTATTAGTTGATATTTTATGATCTATTTTTAAAACAGTCTCACATATTAATTAAAATAATTTCTGTGTGTGCTCTGACTCTGTGCTAGGGCCTGTTCACAAATAGTTGGGGCAGTGGGGTACCTAGACCAAAATCTTATCCTTATGTAATTTACATTCTATTTAGATGGGGAAATTTAGACTTAAGATAAACAGTAAATTATATTGCATAAATACAATATACAAGGTGAAAAGTGCTACGGAGAAAAGTAAAACAGAGTAAAAAGGATATGGAGTGGTGAAGAATGGAGGTTTAGTTTAAAATAGGGTGATGAGGAGATAATTTGTGAGTAAAACAAAACAAAGGTGAGAGCCATGAAGATTTAAGGGGGAAGAACACTACAGAAAGAGCAGAATGCCAGTGCAGTCTCTGAGACTGGAGCAGAGTGAGCAAGGGGGACTGGAGGAGAGCTCAGAAATGCAGCCTGAGAACAGATCACGTGAGGCCTTTGCAGGTCAACATGAGAACTCTGGCTTTTATTCAGAGTGAAACGAGGAGTCACTGGAGAGTTCTGAGCAGAAAACTACATAACCTAACAGATTTTAAAAGATAAATTTCAACTACAGAACTGCAGCAAGGGTAGGAGAAGGAAGAACTATTAACAGGAGTTTACTAGAGTAATCCAGCTGAGAGATGACAGAACTTAGAGAAAGTGGGAAAAGTAGTAATAGTGAGAACTGGTCAGTTTGGAGATACTCTAAAAGCAGAAGTTAGACAAGATTCTCTAATGGATTAGACATGGTGTCTCAGAGAAAGTGAGGAATCAAGGATTTGACCATGGTTTTTGGCTTAAGTGACTGGAAGAACGATTTGCCATAACTGAGATAGGGAAAACCACAGGTAAAAGTGTTGTTTGGTGCAGGGCATAGCAGCAGCAAAGAAATCCATCTGCTTGGGACAGGTTACATTTGAAATGCCTATTGGATTAGATATCCAAGTAGGAGAGTCAAAAAAGCAGA
This sequence comes from Homo sapiens, assembly GCF_000001405.40. Classification (NCBI taxonomy): domain Eukaryota; kingdom Metazoa; phylum Chordata; class Mammalia; order Primates; family Hominidae; genus Homo; species Homo sapiens. The sequence continues at coordinate 32,634,591 of NC_000015.10, read as the reverse complement.
TGTTAAGAGACAGCGGAGTCATTCAGAAGAGCATTTGGGACTAGAGAACATAAACTTGGAAGTTTTAAGTAAATACAGGTTGGGCATTCCAAATCTGAAAAGCCAAAGTTCTGGATGCTCCAAAAATCCAAAGCTTTTAAGTATTTGACATGATGTTCAAAGAAAATGCTCACTGGAGCATTCCAGACTTTCAGATTAGGGATGCTGAACTAGTAAAAATAATGTAAATATTCCAAAATCCCCCCCAAAAATGGGGAATCTGAAATACTTCTGGTCTCAAGCATTCTGGATAAGTGCTACTCAACCTGTATATAATGTTTAAAACTGATGATCACCTTGAGTGAGTGGAGAGAAAAAAGAGAAGTCCAAGGACTAAGCTTTGGGTACTCCAATGCAAGGAAATTTGATATCAACTCAAGTATAAGAGTTTTGGATAAAAAGAACAGAATGAGACAGTCACTGGAAGGAAGGTAGGGCTATGAGTGTTTTTTAGTATCAAGTTTATAGCGTTATGCTAATATAAAGATCAATAAAATGGTAAGAAACTTACTACTTCTCTGCCATTTTTCCCTAGATTGAATTTCAAACGCAGAGATCTTCGAACCTTTTCTTTATGGCTGATTTTAGGAGAAAAGCAGCCTGCTTTTCCTGATTCCACTCTAGAAGAAGTGGAATTAAAAATGTCAGTTTATAGTATAAACACCAGAGAAATACTTGAAATACGAAATTTGAAATAAAGTCCACAGCAAATCATATTGATAATAATTGGATGGATTAATAATTCTTTAAAAACAGTTCAACTTTAAGATACCATACATGAACACACTGCATTTGCATAAAAAATGATCTGCTAATCTTAAAAGTTAGTCAGTCAGTTATAACTCAGAATTGTTAGAATAGGCTAGCTTTTTAACCTAACAGGAATTTTTTTCTTTGTTTTTTATTTTTTGAGACAGGGTCTCACTCTGCGGCCCAGGCTGGAGTATAATGGCATAATCACTGCTCACTGTAGCCTTGACATCCCTGGGCTCAGATGATCCTCTCACCTCAGCCTCCCAGGTAGCTGGGACTACAGGCATGTGGCACCATGCCTGGCTAATTTTTGTACTTTTTAGTAGAGATGAGGTTTTGCCATGTTGCCCAGGCTGGTCTTGAACTCCTGAGCTCAAGTGCTCCACCCACCTCAGCCTCCCTAAGTGCTAGGATTACAGGCATAAGCCACCGTGCCCAGCCTCTAACAGGAAATTTTAAAATTACACCATCAACATAAAATAGGATTTTAAGCAAGCAAAGCGGACTCAAATTAGTAATTTTTCTCTGGTGGGTATTGAAAAGGCAATTGATTAATAAGACTATAAAGGCAGAAGGGATTTTAAAAAATTATGACTCAAATATGATGCTTGACAGAAAGACAAAACATTTTATTAATTATGTGTACACCAAATATTTATCCGATGAAAACAAAATGTCCTGGATAAAGTACCTGCAAACTTTTTTGCCTGCAATTCTTTTACTTCGCCTTGGCACACCTGCAGTGATCAAATGGTTTCCACCAATGAGTACAGGAGAGAGTGAACTCTGAGATGACCCTTCTGAGCTTGTATCGATGTGAACTACAAAAATAACCACATGTAATATACCACACATATCTATTTTCCTTTTAAAGTATAAAATAGTAATAGCAGCAATTAGATTCAAAGCCTTAATTTCTATCCCAAGCAACAACCGAAATCACTTAATTTCTGGTTAGAAACTTCAAGTGTCAAATAACCCAACTCAGCTAAGAAAAAGCATTCATTTTTTACTTTTGACTTGCCAATTAAAGGTCAGCTTAAGCATTACTTTTATATTAGAGCTTTTCTTTAAACTCTGTTAATAATACAAGGCAGGGATAGGCACCATTGCAGACTGGAAAAAGAACAAGATTTGGAGACAGGCTTGAGTTTGCTCCATCACTTACTAAATGGCTTTAGGCTCTGAAAACGGACTTCTATGATGAATATTACTGTTATCTATATAAAATATTTAGTCAGTATCTAGTACATAATACCAATTAATGGTATTATAAAAAATAAGCTATTGGCAAACAAGTTGGAATCTGAGTATTTGAGATATACCTGCTGGCCAACTGCTACCCACCTGACTCCGGAATGTAATTTGTTCAATATTTTTGGCAAGTAAACAAAAACTAATTATTCTATAACACATTCCTAATCCCTTGGCTGCTGCTGTGTTCCATGCAAATAATTACTGGTACAACAGAAGCTCAATTATTTAACACCATTTATATTATGAAATCAACTATAGTAAACAATTACGAAAGAAGTAAAATAGTTATGAACAAAGGCTCCATATACATTTATGTTTGAATCACGCCCAGGACACATTCAACAAACATGAACCCTCTCAATTCATCTGAGTTATTAATAAAGAATTCACAAAGTTTCCCAGAGACATTCACATTTTTTCAATTATGAAAACGGAAAAAATACAACCACCTTAGAAACTTTTGGGTGCATTTAGCTAAAGAAAATTTTGGAAGCCAATATTATACATCTAAAGTGACATAAGTAGCTTTATTCTAGGGCTGCAGTCTAGTCACTTTAAAAATGTGTCCGGCCAGGCACCGTGACTCACGTCTGTAATCCCAGTATTTTGGGAGGCTGAGGTGGGCGGATTGCTTGAGGCCAGGAGTTCAAACCAGCCTGGCCAACATGGTGAAATCCCATCTCTACTAAAAATACAAAAATTAGCTGGGTGTGGTGGTGCATGCCTGTAATCCCAACTACTCAGGAGGCTGAGGCACAAGAATCACTTGAACATCGGAGGTGGATGTTGTAGTGAGCCAAGATCATGCCACTGTACTCCAGCCTGGGAGACAGAGCGAGACTCCGTCTCAAAAAATAAAAATAAAAAATGTGTCAATGGTCGCAGGAGGCACAGTCAGAATATATGGAACAATGCAAATTTATCACATCTGTAAGAAAATTATGGCCAGGCATGGTGGCTCACACCTGTAATCCCAGCACTTTGGAAGACCAAGGCAGGTTGATCAGCTAATGTCGGGAGTTCAAGACCAGCCTGGCCAACGTGGTGAAACCCCGTCTCTACTAAAAATGCAAAAGAAAATTAGCCAGGTGTGGTGGTGGCCACCTATAATCCCAGCTACCTGGGAGGCTGAGGCAGGAAAATCGCTTGAACCTGAGAGGTGGTGGCTGCAGTGAGCCGAGATTGTGCCATTGCACTCTAGCCTGGGCAACAAGAGCAAAACTCTGTCTCAAAAAAAAAAAAAAGAGACAATTATGAATAGATACTCTATGGACTACAGACTAATGTTGCCTTTATATATTTTTAAAAGCATCATATTTGTTATAATCTAAACTTAGAAATCAATCTATTTTCAATTTTGCAAATGGAATTTGTTGAATTGTGGCTGAGAAAGTAGGGTCAAAGAAAAGTGGTGTAAAAATAATACGATTACTATTGTTGAACTTTTAAATTTTTTTATAAAAAAATTCATTGATTAGGCAAGCTCAAACTAAAAATAGCACAAGACTGTTTAACCTCTGTTTTGGGAGCTTGGAGGAGGAGAAGAAGGAATCAGTATGTTCATTCCTTGGGGAAAATGTAATGCTAATAAGCAAAGGCAGGTAGAACTACAACTCCCATTTGCCATTTGGAAAAAGTCCTCCAAACTGCAAAGGATATATTCAAAAAAAAAAACAACTGAACTATGTTACTTAAAAAAGTTTAAGTCTCCAACCTGTGAACACTGCAAAAGCTACAGACATAAGCTTCAGAGTTACTATCATCACATTTCAATGAGCCCTAGAGAACCTGTGAAGAAGTGTTTTTTTCTGGAAAACCTCAAGTTGCTATTCTGTTCAACTTCTCAATAAAACAAATAAGAACCCTTTTGGACAACAGAAAAAAGAGACAGGCTTTGGGAAGGAACTCATATAACTCAGATAATGAATCAAAAATGAAACTTAACATTGTCTGAAACCAACAAAATAAAAAATCTAAAATAATCAGAGATCACTCACATTTTGACTAAATGTAAGATAAATGAGATGGAGGACCCTGGGCTTAGAGTTTCATTTCATTTTTGGTTGATCGTAAGGTTAATATGAGCCAACTTGAATTCTGTATATGCTAAAAGAGCCAATTGAATCTAAGACCCAGACTAATCTCCGGATTAGCATGATCATACTCTATTACTCTCTGAAGGCTCTGGTTGGCCACATTAGAACTTGTAGTTAATATGGAAGAAAATGGCTGGGCTGGTAAGGGATCTGGAAGCCATGGCACAAGGAACAGCGTCAACAAAGTTCTAAAGCTTTTACAAAAGGTACTTGAGTCTAAAACTTTAAAAATACCCTCATTTTCAAACCATAACCTGCAATAGTAACGCTCCCACTTGGGAATCAGACATGATCAAACATCTGGCAACCTCAATTCAACAAATGACAGCAATAAAGCCACAGCTATAGACCCAGATGTAACTATAGCAGGATTCAGGATGTCTAATCACATAAAACCTAAGCATCAATGCTATCACCAGAAGCCCAAACTACTACTCTGGGTTATCACAACTTTCAATAGATGTTGTCATAACACACACACACACACACACACACACACACACACTATATTGAAACAGTGTCTATTTTAAAAGGCAGGGGGTTTTATAAAAATTCATAGGTTGGATAAAACAGAATAAAGTTCTAGTTCCTAAGGGTGGTATTATTAATATGAAATTGCACTGTGCCCAGAATAGGCACTCATTTTAATCTTTACAATCCATTTATATAAATTCTATTTGCTACCTGATACCGGTGTAGAACTGCTATTGAAGAGATTACTTGGCAACAGCTCAAAGTTAAAATTGTGCTTGATGGACTTCCTTTTCTTACTTGAGAAACCATGAGAAGAATCTACTGGCAATGTACGCTTAGCATTTGGTGTAAGAATCACTGGTGATTCAGATAGCTGGGCTGAAAAAATATCAAAACAAAACCAACTTGTTTCTACTGCAGAGTTGACAACATATAAAAGCTTTACATAATTTCTTCTTATAAAGCTATTACTTAGAGCTAAACAAAAAATGAGAATATATTTACATCATCAGTTAAGTAGATGTTGTTTAACTAAAACACTCTGCAATTACTTAAATGAAAATAAGGAAGTCGCAGAGGCAAGACTCTTAAGAGACAGCAGTTACTTAAATCTAACAGACTAAAAGATGCATATGATATACATTAAAGAATATTAATGTAAGGAAGAAATTACAATCAAGGAGTTGAAACAAAAACTAATCTAAATATTATTTTTGCTTTTCATCATAAGTGAGTATTAACCAGTTCATTTCTTCACTCTAGAAAACAGAAGATCATGTTGACTCTTACTGGCTGAATAATTTCAGCCACAAGCAAATTAGAATAAAAAATTGAAATATACAATAATGAACTTCTAGTCCTAAGATAAAAATGAGGTTGAACTATTTTCACACGCTTAATAGCATCTAAATTACAAACAGAAAAGCATGATTAAGAAGATTAAAGACAGGAGACTAAAAAAATTTTTGCCTACAATTTTGGGTTCATTATAGCCTATGTAATTAGCAATGTCACAACATAGTGTGTATAGTACAGTATGACTATTAAAAATAATATTTGATTTGATTAAACTAAATTTGATTACTAAGTTAGGTAATTATTATTGTAATTGTATTTTATAGAATACTATACAAATTTTAATTTAAATAAATGCATATAATAAATACCTACCAATTCTTTCTTCTTGAGGTGTAATAGAAGGTGTTCTGTTAGGTTTAAATTTATTTAGTGCTCCACTAACAAAATCTGAAATGCAAGGCATAAGCAATTACAACTTCACATTTACTTGTCTTTCACCAATAATTCATATTAATATTTGCAGTCTTCTTTCAACATGTAACTTTACATCGGCTTATAAATTTTAAGTTATTTAAGAGGAATTATTTCAAAATAGGAAAAATACTAAAGGATATATTTTTATTCCATTCCCCACTTATACTTCCATATCCCTAAAATAAAAAAGACACAATACAGAAAGAAATGTAATACAAATACATATAATGTACAGTAAGGGTAGGGAAAAAGAAATCATTACATGTTAAGGCAAAAGATGAAGGTCTGAACTGAGGCAAGAACCATGGAAATGGAGGCACGAATAAAAGTATTTAAAAGATCAGTAGAGATGGAAGTAAAAACATTATATCAATAAATAGTGTAAGCAAATGAATAAAAGTGTCTGGAAAATAAATAACATAGTTTGACTAAAGTTGCTCAAAGACAGGAAATAGTAGACAGGTATGCTAGAGCAATCCTATGAAAGACCTTTAATGCCAAGCTATAAATATCCCTATTACCAATTAAAATTTCTGAAGGGTATGTGTGTGAGATACTTGAGTAGAGTTATACATTTAAAATGTAAGCCTTGGCCAGGTGCAGTGGCTCACACCTGTAATCCTAGCATTTTGGGAGGCCAAGGCAAGCAGATTACTTGATGTCAGGAGTTAGAGACCAGCCTGGCCAACACAGTGAAACCCCCTTTCTACTAAATATACAAAAATTAGCCAGGCGTGGTAGCGTGCACCTGTAATCCCAGCTACTTGGGAGACTGAGGCAAGAGAATCGCTTGAACCCAGGAGGTGGAGATTGCAGTGAACCAAGGTAGCATCACTGCACCCCAGCCTGGGTGACAAAGACAGACTCCGTCTCAAAAAAAAAAAAAAAAGTGAGCCTTAATAGCAATATGTAGGGTAGATTCAAGGAGGAGGCATAAAGACCAAGAAGATTCTTTTTTTAATTTTTATTTTTGAGACGGAGTCTCGCTATGTTGCCCAGGCTGGAGTGCAGTGGCCCGATCTCAGCCAACTACAACCTCCGCCTCCCAGGTTCACACCATTCTCCTGCCTCAGCCTCCCAAGTAGCTGGGACTACAGGCGCCCGCCACCACGCCCAGCTAATTTTTTATATTCTTAGTAGAGACGGGGTTTCACTGTGTTAGCTAGGATGGTCTCGATCTCCTGACCTCATGATCCGCCCACCTTGGCCTCCCAAAGTGCTGGAATTACAGGCGTGAGCCATCGCGCCCGGCCAAGAAGATTCTTACAGTAACAATGCAATAAACACTACGGAGATAGAATCTTATACGACATGAAAACTGTCTGATTATAGATGGTAGAGGAAGAGGTAGAACCCATGGTTAAAGCCTGAGTATCTAGGGAATAGTGGTGCTGTTAGAAGAAAATGGAATTCACACAGAACCAGGATAAAGAGGATAAAGATGGTCATTTCAAAACGTTAAGCTTAAAGCACCAATGAAAAGCAGATGTGATGAGGTCTCCCTAGCAAGCCATTAGTAAAGTGGAACTGACATTTTCAAGATAACGGTGGTACAGATGTGGTGGTTATCTATTTAGATGTGATAACTGAAACTACAGGACTGGTGATAACTGAAACTACAGGACTGGGAAAGAGGGCAATAAAGATGATCTGCATCTGAGAAATATCTCCATTGGGGATAGGAAGTTTTATGGGTTGCATTGTGTTCTCCAAAAAACCTATGTTTAAGTCCTAACCCCCAGTTCCTATGAAGGTGACCATACTTGGAATTCGTGTCTTTACAGATGTACTCGAGTTAAAATGAGGTCATTTGGGTGGGCCCTAATCCAATGTGCCCTGTAAGAGGGAAGTTCTGACACAGAGCAACATCATAGGATGACATAGGCAGGGATTGGAGTGACGCGGCTGCAAGCCAAGGAATGCTAAGGACTGACAGCCACTACCAGGAGCCAGGAAGAGGCAAGAAAGGATTCTCCCCTGCAGGTTTCAGGCATTCTGCCAACACCTTGATTTCAGACTTCTAGCCTCCAGAACGGTGAGACAAATTTCTGTTGATTTAAGCCACCTAGTTTGTAGTACTTTGCTACAGTAGCCCTAGGAAAATCATACATAAGTCATCAGTATTATCCTATCTACAAAGGAGGTAAAGAAGAAACACAAGTATGCAATAACAAATAAACCAAAAGATGAAAAAGGGATTGGGATAGTTAGTAACATTTGGTTCTGATATTCAAAAGATAATAAATTTCCTAAAGTAATTGGAAGAATAATGGCCTCTGACTTCTTGATCAAGGAGATTGCAAGTTTTATTACCAACTCTACCATCTTATGATGGTCTTTTGGTCTTTCTGATTCTTCCTTGATAATATTTCCTTCATTATTTAGTTCGTACTCCTAACTAATCCATGTCACTAACAAGTTCAAACAATAATCTGATGCCTGGACTACTGACACACATTGCTGACCATTCTCCCTACTTCCAAGTCTCAATTCTTCAAATCAGGTAATTTTCTAAAATTTTTAAATCATATCATGCCTCACATCATAAATCTTCAATGATTCACCAACACCCAGGTTAATATTCTAATTCTTTAGCCTGGCATTAAGTTTACCATAATACCATCCTTTATCCTTATGCTGAACACTTCACTCAAGTCATACTGCACTATCTACATTAGACATAGGTTACTTCTTCCCTACACAAACCTTTCTTCATAGCATCCTTCTCATCTAGAATAGGATACAAGTATTCTGATCCTCCACCCAATCCCACTAAATTCTATCCATTATTCAAGAAGGTTCAGTTTGGCTCCTCTTTGACAAGTCCCTGATAATTACAATCCAGGGAACTTTTCTCCTTTTAACACATTTTATGTTTGTGCTAAAGATGTAGCACTTAACATTAGATTGTACTATCGCTTTAACTTTTTACACGCATACGTCCTATCTTTCCAGCTGTGCTTTAAGCACCAAAAAGGCACATACCACAGTTCATGCTTCTTTATGTGAAATGTACTTTCGATTAAAGCAAATCACTGTACCTCCATAAAATGGGACCGCCACTTACCTCCTACACTTTGTCTTCTCTTTCTCTTATATTCACCAGGAGTTTCATATTCACCTTCTTCAAAGCCTTCCAGTGATGGAGTAGCACAGAGACCATCAATACCCAACATGGCTGGTATCTTTTCCAGGATAAAATCTGGTACACGCCCTAAATGAAAATGTTCACAAGTAAGACAATTATTATCCTTCCTCCACTCTTCCCCAAAAATGTTTAGATACTAATATACCAATTTCTTTTCTTTTTTTCTTTGCAGGAGGGGCCGGTACTGTAGGGTGGGGGTGAGGTCAGTAATATACCAACTTTCTAACAGTTGCCTTCATAGTTCCTTTGAAAGAAACAGAGATTTTCCTCATTTAAACAAATTCTGTTAATAATGCAACTACATCTTACCAATATCTGATGCATAATCGATAAGAGTCTGTACTACTGCAGCCTGTAATCGTAGCTTCTTTTCTGTGTTAGAAGACATCTTTTCATGTCCTTCACTTGTCTGAAGAAGATTCGGTGCAAATATTACTGCAAGATTGCTGCTGTCCATCTTATTCTCACTGGATCTTAAGTGAATAAACGCTTTATTAGATGGAGCCAAACGTGAAAATACAGAAGAGTTAAAATAACGTATGTAGTACATTTTGAAGACCTTATTATCAGTCATACACAAGTCAAAATAGTTACCCTTCATCTACATGATTGGCTTGAACACAAGAAAGAACCAGAAATATATAGCCTCTCTATATTTAAATATGTATTCTAAAAACCATGCTAATCTTAGAGTTCATACTTTGCTTTTCCACACAAATTGAACATCTTTATCTGATTTTCAGACCTACACATAAAAAGTTGGAAGTATCAGAAGGCAGCAAGTATGTCTAGAATAAGCAGGCTCACTGACAGCAGGGAGAGGGAAATTTTGAAAAGCAAAACAGAAATATTTTAAAAACCCAGTAAACAAAGGCTTTCAGTGGACAATGAATCTTATAAACACCAATGAACCATTAAGGCATTCATGATGATGACTTTAAGATAAGGAAATATTAAATCATTTGGTATGCTGTTTCTTAAATTGGAGTATACTCCTCATAGTAATGAAATATGGAATTTTTAAAGAAAAATTTCCATTCCAAATGAAATTGTACATATCTACAAGCATAAAACGTTAGTTGAAAAATTCAACTATTATTTGCCAAGAGTTTTAATTACCACTTACCTAAGAGAAACATTCCTGAGAAAGTTAAAGAAGTATCTTAATACATGAACTGTGTGGTCAGCCAGAAGACAGGAGAGCAACAGTGTAGCTTTATTCTTTTCCTCTGTGCCTAACTGTTGAGCTTTCAAAAGTGCTTCATGCAAATCAGCTGGGAGAATGGGCTCTGGCAGTTCCCTAAAAAACTGCTTAAGAAGTCCCGCAATATCACAAGGAGGTGCAGAAGATAGGCAACCTTCACCATGATCCACTTTATTCTGAAATAAATATAATAATCTTGAGTATTTTGGCAACTTAAGAGTTTATTGCAAATAAAGTATCTTTTGTTATACTCTAATTACACTTTTCTTTAATAAATTTCTCTTAACTCTTATTTTAATATATGTCACTACTTTATTTTTAATGATTTTTGAATTTATTTTTATTTTTATAGAAATGTGGCACAGACTATGTGGCCTGGGCTGGCTTCAAACTCCCAGGCTCAAGCAATCTTCCTGCCTTAGCCTCCCAAGTAGCTGGGACTACAAGCATGTGCCACCACACTCAGCTCTATCACTCCTTCTAGAAGGCTAACAACAATATAACTTAACACATTTTTTTCATTTTACATAATACTTGATAGAAATAAGGACCATGAATTTAAAAGTACCCTATTAAATTTTTAAAGCATGATAGAAATAATATACCATTTCTTTTGGAAAAAAAAAATCTTCTGCCATGAAAAAAATGCAAATTCAATTTCTGTCAACTATTCATATTAATAGTTCTAAATATTTCAGTTTTAAAAACCAAATCAGAAAATGGCTCAAATGAAAAATTAATAGTTCAACAATATGCTCACCTTTAGTGCTTTTAGGCGAATCACAGATCCTGATTTCCGAAAAAGCCCTTCGGTATGAATATGGTCTTCTAAAGATGTGCAAGCATCGACAAGAAAGCTGAAAGAGAGATTTTTTCAGGTGGCTAGACATACATATCACATCCTATTCCTCTGCTAACATACATGAGCAGGCCAAGCACTACGTACCTTTCAGAGGCTCTAAAGCCACAAATCTCTGTAGTCTTTGAGATGAAATGTTACTTTTAGTTGTCTACTGGCTTCCCAAATTCTTCTCCAAGGCCCATCTTTTTACTTCTAACAACTCCAATGTGCACACTAAATTTTATCTTTCTCAATCCTACTTCATTTCTGCTTCCCTTCAGAGCGTAAGACTTGTCTTTTTTTTCTGCCTCTACTTCTTCATATCTCAGTCTCTACTCACCCCTATCCAATCATTCTCATACCTCATTACTCCAAAGAAATAGCTCTCTTCAAGCTCACTAACAGCCTCTGCCTTGCCAAATCCATGGTCAGTGTGTTGTCCTCGTATTGCTCGATCTATCACCATTTGACACACCTGATCCCTTCCCTGTTCATCTCAAAAATACTTTTTCACTACTCTTTTAGTTTTCCTGCTATCTCCCTGCCTGCTCCTTCTCAAATTCCTTTTCTCACTCCTCTTATGTGAAACCTCTACATGCTGGAACAACCCAGGGCTCTGTCCAAGGCCACCTTCTTTTATCTACTATCTCTTCATGGGTGATTTTCTCATCTCCTACATCACCCAAAAACAGGGCGAGGTTTTTTTTTCCTCACCCCAACATTATCCCTCAGAAAAGTAGGATATATCCCAGTCCTTACAAGCCTTTTCATATTAAGGGGAATGTGCTCAATTTCTTTATTTTGAACAATGTTCAAATAAATCTCAATGTTGGCTTTAGATACCTAGATATTGAACAGCTGGGACCCACAAATTAGAATGAATATCGGCTACCAACAATTGATACAGCTGTATTGGTGCACAGTGGCTGAATGTCAGCCTTATTTACAGAAGGTAACTGACAAAACAGTCTTTTTAATTAAATAAAAAGTAGGTCATGAAATTACAATGAAGATATAGTCATGATTCCTGGGAATATGACTTTGCAATTCCAGACGCCGAAAATCTGCTTTTTTTTTTCTTTTAGTTTTTATTTTGAGACAGGGTCTCGCTCTGTCACCCAGGCTGGAGTGGTGCGATCACTGCTCACTGCAACCTTTGCCTCCTGGGCGCAAGTGATCCTCCCACCTCAGCCTCCCGACTAGCTGGGACTATAGGCACACATCACTACGCCCAGCTAATTTTTCTATTTTTTGTAGAGACAAGATTTCACCATGTTGCCCAGGCTTGTCTTGAACTCCTGGGCTCAAGCAATCCACCACCTGGGCCTCCCTAAGTGCTGGCATAACAGGCATGAGCTCCTGTGCCCGGCCTGTTGAAAATCATTATAGGTGTTCATTATAAGAAAATCAAGCCTTTCATAGGTCATTTAAAGAGCAAAATGGTTAAGCGGTTACCTAAGAAGACAGTGAATCTACACCTATAGGATGAATGGGGGGAAACTGTCCTAAGGCAACCAGGTGTTCGATAATTGCTTTTGGATGACATGTCAATTAAAACCTAGATTATTGGTCTATAGTAGCCCAAATGAACCCTACTTTAGATGGAGGGGAAATGAATTAAGGATAAGTTTCACCATATGCATTTTTAGATTACATTCTTTTTTTTTCTTTTTTTTTTTTTTTTTTGAGACGGAGTCTCACTCTGTCGCCCAGGCTGGAGTGCAGTGGTACAATTTTGGCTCACTGCAAGCTCCGCCTCCTGGCATGCCATTCCCCTGCCTCAGCCTCCCGAGTAGCTGGAACTACAGGTGCGTGCTACCACACTCAGCTAATGTTTTGTATTTTTAGTAGAGACGGGGTTTCACTGTGTTAGCCAGGAAGGTCTGGATCTCCTGACCTCGTAATCTGCCCGCCTCGGCCTCCCAAAGTGCTGGGATTACAGGCGTGAGCCCCGGCGCCCGGCTAAATTATATTCTTAAAACATAAACTTTCCTAGTAAGTTCTGATGCAGTTAGAATAGGCCAGCACAGTGGCTCACGCCTGTAATCCTAGCACTTTGGGAGGCTGAAGCAGGTAGATCACCTGAGGTCAGGAGTTTGAGACCAGCCTGGCCAACATGGTGAAACCCCATCTCTACTAAAATACAAAAATTAGCTAAGTGTGGTGGTGGACACCTGTAATCCCAGCTACTCCGGAGGCTGAGGCAGGAGAATCACTTGAACCCAGGAGGTGAAGGTTGCGGTGAGCCGAGCTCACGCCATTGCACTCCAGCCTGGGCGACAAGAGTGAAACTCTTGTCTCAAAAAAAAAAAAAAAAAAAAAAAGAATAAAAGGTTATTTATAAATAGTAAGTGGCATAGAAAAGCTAAGTGATACATTTTCACAAACACTCTAATATCTTAGCTTAAATATTCTTTTATCCAATATTTGTTTTCAAGAGACATGGTCTCACTCTGTTGCCAATGCTGGAGTGCAGTGGCAATGAGCATAGCTCACTGCAGCCTCAAACTCCTAGGGTCAAACAATCCTCTGCCTCAGCTTCAGAGGTAGCTGGGACTACAGGTGCACACCACCTTGCCCAGCTGATTTTTCTTTAAAATTTTTTTTATACATGGAGTCTTGCTTTGTTGCCCAGACTGGTCTCAAAATCCTGGGCTCAAGCGATCCTCCTGCCTCGGCCCTCAAAATGCTGGGATTATAGGCATGAGCTACTGTGCCTGGCCAATATTTTTTTAACAAACAAAAAAAAGTCAAAATTATTACTGAATTGGTAAGTCAGTATATTACTTAATCTGAGTTGTGGCAAAAGAATTCACATAGAACTGAAAACTGACTTAACAGAACAAAAATTTTTTGTGATTTCTAACATTTACTCATTACTGGACTTTAAAATTCAATCCTGGGAATGAGTACAAATTATAAATTTAAAATATGTAAAAGTTAAAAAAATATTTTTAACATTATGAGAGATTAAATCATTTGCTGGTTTGAAACAATTATGTTTTAATCAACTATTTCTTTTAAACTCTCTAAAACCAGTTTGAAATGCTTACTCTCTTCTTCTTCATTTCCCTGGCTAGAAGGCTCACTGCAGCCTCCACCTCCTGGGCTCAAGCAATCCTCCCACCCCAGGCCCCTGAGTAGCTGGGACTACAAGTGTGCTCCGCCAAGCTAATTTTTCTATCTTTTGCGACAAGGTCTCACCATGTTGCCCAGGCTGGTCTTAAGCTCCTGGACTCAAGTGATTTGCCCACCTCGGCCTCTCAAAATGCTGGGGTTACAGGCATATGCCACTGCACCCGGCCTTCTTCATTTCAAACTCTGCTTACCTTGGAATGTGTCCATATTCTGGTACAGCAGAATGGGGCAGTGCATTAAAAGGTACTCCAAATATTTTACCCTAAAATGACAAATTCAGTTACTCTAACACAAATATTAGGCATAATATCAGTTTTCTTAAACTTTAGGCAAATTAAAGAACTCAGGAAATTAAAAAAAAATCAGAAATAAATGATAAACTATCTATCAAGACAAAAATAATCATTTCAAGTGCATTTGATAACAAATAATTACTATATTAGACAGTATGCTGAGTGCTGGGAGTACAAAGATGGCCAAGATAATGTCATTCCCCTCAAATAATCTAGTAAACTCAAGTTTCCAATCTGATCATAAAGTCAATTTGGTTAGTGGTTAGTCAGTAAATTCTTAAAACAGAATTTGGTCCAAAACACTAACATTTACCCCAAAATACTATAGGTTGCTTTAATGACCTTATAAATACTTACTAGATACTTTCTTTTGGTCACCTTATAAATACTTACACAAAAGACTAAGTCAATTGAAAAGCAAAACACTAATTCCTGTCATTCATTGAGTCTTCCTAAAATTACATCAGAAGAAGTTATTTTTATACCTAATACATTTTCCACCTTCTATAGAAGAGTGCTTTTCAAACCATGCCCTGCAGTAAGCAAGGCAGGAGTGTGCAAATATTTAAGTCAAACTTCATTTAACTAGCTGGAAACCCATTTTTAAAACCTCACATTCAAATTTTAATACACTGAAGATCCCAAGAGTAAAGCTGTGTGTTGGTTAACTTGAATGTTTTTGCACACTGAAGAATAAAGAATCTGCCACTATCTTTGTGCATGCATTCGAACCTCTTAAAAATGTGTCGCTTTCCACAGCACTGAAAGGTAAATTCAAGCCTGTAAATGTCTGGTTATTCAAACTTAAGTGGGTATGCATAATCTCACATGTTAATTTAGTTTACATGCATCTGCTCTGTGAATGCTGAAGTACTTTTTTTGATGTCACAAGTTATCAACCAAGAAGTATTTATGTTTTATGAGCATTATATTTAACTTTATATTTACAATAAAAACCACTCAGCATTGTCAATGACGCAACACAGTAACAAAATTTTACTAATTCCCTTTCAAGCACCTGGCTCCAATTAATTTACAAATATTGTAAGCTGAAAAGACAGTATAGTATAGTAAGTGCTTAAGAGAGTAGGCTCCTGAAGGCAAAAATGACAGGTGTATTTTTTTTGAGAGGGAGTCTCACTTTGTGGCCCAGGCTGGAGTGCAGTGGCGCAATCTCGGCTCACTGCAAGCTCCGCCTCCCGGGTTCACCCATTCTCCTGCCTCAGCTTCCCGAGTAGCTGGGACTACAGGCGCCCGCCACCACACCTGGCTAATTTTTTTGTATTTTTAGTAGAGACGTGGGGCGGGGGGGGGGGGGTTTCACCGTGTTAGCTAGGATGGTCTCGATCTCCTGACCTCGTTATCCACCCGCCTCGGCCTCCCAAAATGCTGGGATTACAGGCGTGAGCCATCGCACACACAAAAATGCCAGGCTTTACATCTTAACTCTTGCTTAACAGCTGAGTGACCTGGATCAAATTAACATTCTGTTCCTCGGTATCCTCACACAGATCCTAAGTCATAGAGGTGTAGGAAGAATTAAATAAATTAAAACATACAAAACACTTGTATCAGTGTCTGACACACAGTAAGCATTCAAAAAATATTTGTTAATATTATGATCATCATTTTAAGCTGAACTATTTTAAAAAATGTTAGTATGGGCAACCCCTTTATTGGGTAAATCAGAATTTTCTTGATACTGTGCAGCCAAACCAAATGTAAAAATAAACCAGATACTTAAGCTGGTAAGTCTACTTCTGCTATATATAACTAGAATTCAGCGTGTTTTTTTCCTTAAGTCTTATTATTTAGAATAACTGGCCTCACAAGTAACCACTATAATTTAATCTCATAAAATGTTTTTAAAACTTAAAACTACAGTTAGCTAACAAACACCAGTCGGCTAAAGAAATTGTTTTCAAACAAACTATCCCATTAGATCTCCTAACACAATGATCTTCTATATTTCTTCATTAGAATATTCTTATAAGTGTTTCTAGCTGAATTTATATGGCATGATTACCAATTAGGAGGCAGACCAATGATATGACAACTATCATTAGATGAAGAAGTGGCATGTTACCCGCACTGTGCTAGGCCTACATAAAGAGCTTCACTTTTTAAAAATCCCTAAATAATCCAAGGAGAAATACGTTCCCACTTTATATATATAAAACTGAAGCTTAGGGAAATCAAACAAGCAGCCCAAGTTTACAGATGTAGTAGGGGTGGAACAGCACTCAAACTCAGGTCTATCTGACTCTGAAAACAGGCAACAGTTTTTCTTGTTAAGCGGTGAAAAGGCCGAGTGCAGTGGCTCACGCCTGCCATCCCACCACTTTGGGAGGCCGAGGCGGGCGGATCACGAGGGCAGGAGATCGAGACCATCCTGGCTAACACGGTGAAATCCCGTCTCTACTAAAAAATACAAAAAATTAGCCAGGTGTGGTGGCGGGCGCCTGTAGTCCCAGCTACTCGGGAAGCTGAGGCAGGAGAATGGCGTGAACCCGGGAGGCAGAGCTTGCAGTGAGCCAAGATCGCGCCACTGCACTCCAGCCTGGGCGACAGAGGGAGACTCCATCTCAAAAAAAAAAAAAAAAAAGGAAAAGAAAAGAAAAGGGGTGAAAAAAAGTCCATATACAAACTCTTCCATATACTTACAAAATCAGCTACATTTGAGATCTTGGAAAGCCAGTTTTACAATCAGAAAAAAATCACTGTAGCTTTTTAAATGTAAGTACATGTATTGCCATTAATTTGCTACCAACAAAAATAACTTCTCCAAAGTTTATCAGCGATTAAGAGGCACACATATTACTTTTGTTAGTGGTTTTCTTCTCCAAGCACTTTTTTTAAGAAACCATAAACTATTAAAAGCAACGTATATTAATTTTATTAGCTTGTCTCCAAGTACTAGGAAGTACCATATAAATTAGGCACATAAATTTAAAATAAA
Source organism: Homo sapiens (assembly GCF_000001405.40). Classification (NCBI taxonomy): domain Eukaryota; kingdom Metazoa; phylum Chordata; class Mammalia; order Primates; family Hominidae; genus Homo; species Homo sapiens. Next base: position 32,617,117 of record NC_000015.10, on the reverse strand, counting down.
ATGCTTTACATTCAGCTTATTTTTCACAATGGAATTCCTGATTATGTGGCAGAGCTATTAAAATCTCATTCAAAATCCCTTTATTTCAACCACCAAAACATCAACAACTTCTCAATTATTCCACTCTGGCTTCTCAATTTACTCATACAAAAAAAAATTTACTGTCCCAAAAGTATGACATGGCCAAGCAGCAAATCTGTTTCCCAAATTAGTGAATATGCAGTCATCATTTGAAGCCTATTTCTAATGTTCTGTCATACTTCTTCATCTACAGATTCATGTAGAAAATGCACTGGTCTCCCTTGTCCCTCTACAACCTTACTCTAAAACAAGGGTGGAGGGGTAGAGTTTTTGTCCCTCCCAACGTACTACCTGTTCCAAATACAGTAAGCTGGCAATATCCGGAGACATTTTTAATTGTCACAACTGAGAGATGCTACCAGCATCTAGTGGGTAAAAGACAGACATCCCGCTAAACATCCCACAATTCACAGAACAGCATTTCGTCTTCCCCTAACAAAAATTATCTAATCCAAAATGTCAATAGTGCTGAAGTTGGAAAATCCTGCAACTTTCTCTCAATGATCAAAAATCCTTGGGGGAAAAAAAACAAGAATGTCACTTTTTAAATATCAGCAATCGACCATCTGAACTGAATTACACACCTAACCATTCTTTTTGATACACAGAGTGAACATTTTAGCACGATCTGGTAGTAAGTGATGATAAAGGGTGTGCCCTTTCTTTTAAACCTAAATCCCTTTTCACAGAACTTACCCCTATTTCCGTGGCTGCTGTTTCATGTCTCCTGCGATCGCACTGCCCACGGACACCCTTCACCTTAATACCATAGAAGGCCCGCAGATGCTGCAACAGGGCCAACCTCACCAGCCTCTGATCCCACATTCCGGATACGTCGATAACTCTCTGAGGCAGGATGCAGGTCCTGACCCTCGTTCGCCACCAAGTCTTCCAATTTCCAAACGCTCTCAAATTTGAACTCCGCTCGGCTGCTTTCCGGCCCCGTCTGGCACTTCTGCGGCCCCGACCCCCGGCCACTTCCACGGCTTTTCCTTGATCCTCACTCACATCCACTTACACAGACCCGCTTCTCTTAGCCCTTTGATCCAGCCACACCTCACTCTTCCTTCACTTACACCGACCTTCTTTCTGGTCACCCAATGCTTTCAGCTACTCACATAGACTTCTTTCTGATTCTTTCGGTTTCTCGTCTATTGCCAGATTCTCTCCACTTCTTGCTACTTCCAACGATCCCCCTTCCTCCAAACCTTACTGTCCCCGTCTGGTTCGCTCTGAAATGTGAAGAAAACCCTTCTCGCTCCTCCAGCCCCAGCAGGCTCAACTGGGCGCTCGCCCCCGCCCTAGCCTGGCCGCCGGACCAGCCGGCTGCTCAGGCAACTCTTCCAGTCCCGGTGCCCGCCCGGGCTGGTAGCCGCCGTCACCCCGTCTCACAGGCTGCTCGTTCCCTCCCCCATCAGCCTGCCTCTACCTCCCGGCCTGCACATCCCGGTGCGTTCACTGAAGCCAAGCCGTTAGCCTCATGCTTCCGCCCCCAGCTCCTCCGCAGACACCCAGAGCCACCACGGGGGGGTCACACCCGCAGTTTCAGCCCAGGCTCAAATGGCAGCGCGAAACAGCGCTCCACATCTGATTGGTCCACTCCTCTTTTCAAAATCAGGACCCCGGAGGGTGGCCGAGAGCTGCCTGTCTAGATAAGTGCGGGCGAAGGGGTGTAACGGGCAAACCCAGCAAACATGAAAAGCAGGATGAGTTTCACTTGTTCCTTCAAGGCCAGTTTTTGGGGCGGGGGAATACTGTTTAAAGGTTTTTAAATACACCTGACCTGCGCCTCAGACCATTCACAGTATTTGAGGAAATATAAAAGACAACTTATTCCCGTTCTTTTCCGAGCTTGGCTGTCGCTGAAGGCCCTCTTATGAAGAAACCGTTCTTACGGAAGCCCAGATGAGACAACTTGAGACAGGATTCAGAAACGCTGATTTTAGTAACCTTAACCCTCGGCCCTTGGTGGGAACTTCGGCTCTGTGGGAATTAGTCTTTGGGGGACTGATGGTCATGCTGAAATCTTATTGCGTAGGAAATTAAGTACAACAAAGAAGACCCGTCGTGAGAGGAGAGTGCGGAAGAAATGCGAAGTCTACGGGAGGTGGCAGCTGCAGAAGCTTGGTGTTGGATTTGGCGTTAGGAGACCGGGAGGAGCCCAGCTTCCGGTCCAGACGGTTATCTTGTTGACTTGCACGACTGCAAACGCCCTGAGCTGCTTTTGCAGTCTGAAACATCAGCGATCCCATCAAAATATTCTGTTTCTTGGGATATAAGAAACATCCCAAGGCGGGCTGTAGAGCGAGAGATTTGGACTCGATTTAAATACAGACAAAATAGTATGCATTTACTAACACCACATCTCACCCCCACGAAACTTGGTAAGGGCAGCAACAGAACTTTATCTGCCATATGCACTCCTGTATTCCTATTACCAAATAGTGCCAGGGACTAAGTGAATATTTGTCCAATGAATGAGTTTTAAGTAGGAAACGTTTGCATAGAATCATTTTGTTTCTTTTGGAGTTCAAATCTTCGGATATTTTACCCTTCCCAATCCAAAGAAAAGTCTCTGAGTGAAGAGATGGGAACAAAATGTAAGTTAAATATGTTGCTTTAACAACTGTTTATTGAACTCGTGCTATAGACTATAGAATGATGAGCAAAACCAGGCACAGTTTCGGCCCTGGAAGAGGAAAGGCAGGCATATATTTATCAAGTAAGTACATTAATGGCGGCACTTATCAGTTGAGAGAAGTGCGCTAAGGAAAGGAATATGATTCTATGATAGCGTATAATAAAAGATCCTTGACCGGGGAGGGGAAACGTACCAGTGATTAACTGATCTGAAGAATCAGTATAAATTGACTTTGTAGAAAGTATAGGTGGATGGCTGAGTGGGACCATCATTCAGGAAGCAAATGCCTGCAGAAAAAAACATCAATTTTAACAAGAAACGGTGTATCAGAGATGAAACTGAACCTATTCCTTGTCTTTTCTTCTTGCTTCAGACATAACTTTAAAAAATTGCTTACGCTGTCTTTAGCCACATCTCTTCCCCAAACTCCACACTGTTCGGCGTTTTAGCCGTCTCAAATTTCCTTTTCTTAAAGACCCATGACAATCTTCAGTGTTGTGTCTTTTTCTACGTCGTGATCCTTTTTTAAAGCTGAGCTCTTCTTGTTTTTCGTCTCCTTTCTCTTTTTTTTTTTTTTTTTTTGTGATGGAGTCTCGCTCTGTCGCCCAGGCTGGAGTGCAGTTGCACAATTTCGGCTCACTGCAAACTCCACCTCCCACGTTCAAGCAATTCTCTGCCTCAGCCTCCCAAGCAGCTGGGATTACAGGCGTCTGCCAGCAGGCCCGGCTAATTTTTGTATGTTTAGTAGAGACGGTGTTTCACCATTTTGGCCAGGCTGGTCCTGAACTCCTGACCTCGTGATCCACCCGCCTCGGCCTCCCAAAGTGCTGGGATTACAGGTGTGAGCCACCACATCCGGCCCTTCCTTTCTCTTAAGATGAAAATATTGGTTCTTTTTTCCTACACACAAGGAGGCAATGAAAATATTGGTTCTTTTCATTGCCTTATTATTAATGTTACTATTAATAAATATTAATATTAACATAATGGTTATTTGCTTCATCTACCTATATTCACAGGTATATAAACACAACAATAGCAATAACAGGATAAAGAATAAAAACAGAATAACAATAGAGATATTGCTAACAGATAAATGAAGTTTAACTTTGCATGTACTTCCTTTTTTCTAAAATTGTATCCAACTAAGGATGTAAAATCAAGATACTGTGTTTTAAATGAACTGGGCATAATTATTCTTTTTGGTTATATATGGATGTACTGTAGTTTATTTAGCCAGGCCCTTACTAGTGGATATGTTGGCTATTCCCAGTCTTTTGCTATACAAAAGTTTCCTTGTGCATATATAATATGCTTTTGCCAGTGGGTCTTTAGCATAGATTTCTATAAATGGGATTGTTAGGTCAAAGGGTAAAAGAACATGTTATTTTGTTTAATTCTGCCAAATTCCCCTTCATAGGGGTTGTGCAGTTTTGTATTCACACCAGCAGCATTTCCTGTTTCTCTGCAGCCTCTCCAATAGAATGAATTGTCAAACTCCTAGATGTTTGCTAAATCGATATGTGGGAAATGTTATCAAAGTGTAGTTTTTTTTTTTTTTTTTTTGAGACGGAGTCTCACTCTGTTGCCCAGGCTGGAGTTCAGTGGCTCTATCTTGGCTCACTGCAACTTCTGCCTCCCAGGTTCAAGCGATTCTCCTGCCTCAACCTCCTGAGTAGCTGGGACCACAGGCAATCACCACCACGCCTGGCTAATTTTTGTAATTTTAGTAGAGACAGGGTTTCGCCATGTTGGCCAGGCTGGTCTCGAACTTCTGACCTCAACCTATCCACTCACCTCGGCCTCGCAAAGTGCTGAGTTTACAGGCATGAGCGACTGCGCCCAGCCTCCAGTATAGTTTTGTATTTATCTTTTTGTCAATGAAGTGGAACATTTTTTCAAATGATGCATGCTTACGACAAAGTATTATGAAGCTGTTAAGGAATGTGGAAGATATATGACTATGATGTGAAGTGAAGTGAAAAAGCAAGGCATAAAAGAGTGTATATAGTATGCTGCCTTTGGTATACGGGGTGGTAGAGATACATATACAAATGGATACTTACTTATATTTTCAAAAATAAACAATAGAAAGGTAAACCAAAATCTAATAAAAATGGTAAACAATAGGAGAAGATCAAGAACAGGTGAAGTAGAAAATAGGAATGGAAGCTAGACCTCTCTGAATATATCTTGTTTTATATATAAACTTGGAACCCTGTAAATGTGTAACATGTTTAAAATACAAAATAAGGTGGTGGCTCACGCCTGTAATCCCAGCACATTGGGAGGCCGAGGTGAACGGATCACCTGAGGTCAGGAGTTCGAGACCAGCCTGGCCAACGTGGTGAAACCCCGTCTCTACTAAAAATACAAAGATTAGCCATGCGTGGTGATGCATGCCTGTAATCCCAGCTTCTCGGGAGGCTGAGACAGGAGAATCGCTTGAACCTGGGAGGCGGAGGTTGCAGTGAGCCAAGATCCGGCCACTGCACTTCAGCCTGGGTGACACAGTGAGACTCCATCTAAACAAAATAATAATAAATAAAATAAAATAAAATAAAATGTAAAAGCAACTCCTAAAATGGAAAACAAAGTGCAATAAATCAATCTTTTCACCTGTTTAAGGGCTATTTGTACTTCTTTTTATTTAAATTGTCCATCTTTTACTTTCAGGATGGTCTTTAAAAATATTTTAGAAGCTTTTTATATATTAGTCCCTCATGATATAAGCTACATATATTTTTTAGACTTTTTGCCTTGCTTTTTTGTTTGTTTAAATTATAGTTAATCTCTTCCCTTAATGCTTCTGGATTCTGATCATAGATAGGAGTATTTTCCCCACTTCTGAGTTATAAAGGTATTCACTCTTGTGAATTCTAGTACTTAATTTTCTAGTACTGCTATGTTTTCATTTGTTAATGTTAGATCTCTGAGGCTGGAGTGCAGTGATGCGACCTCTGCTCACTGCAACCTTCACCTCCCGGGTTCAGATGATTCTCCTGTCTCAGCCTCCTGAGTAGCTGAGACTACAGGTGCATGCCACCACACCTGGCTAATTTTTGTGTTTTTAGTAGAGACGAGGTTTCGCCATATTGGCCAGGCTGGTCTTGAACTCCTGACCTTAGGTGATCTGTCTGCCTCTGCCTCCCAAAGTGCTGGAATTACAGGCGTGAGGCACCGCGCCCGGTCCTTAAATTTGGAATTTATCCAGTGTAGAAAGAATGGATCCAATTTTATGTGTTACCCCACACAGCTATCCAGCTGTAGATATTGTAATTTTATTTCATTTAGTGAACTCCCACACCTACTTCTAAAAGTAGGAAAACACTACTGAAAACCTCACTGAGTTCCCTGACGATGAAAAGGGAAATCTTTCGTTAAGCATTAGGCTTTGCTTTTAGTGCCACTAGATGGCACACATCCTTTTCCTTAGATGTTAGTTCACCTAGCCCTCATTTCTGTGAAATCAGTCCATAAAGTGTCTGCCAAAGGGCCTTCCTGAACCTTTTACCTGCATCCCTGCTTGAAATAAGATGATTTGTGCAACTTTCAAATTAGGTCCGAGTTTTTTTCTGTAAAACCAAAATGATTGTTCCTAGAATCACTGCTTCTAGGGCCTGGCACATTCCACAGACACATTGTTCCATTTATTTATTTATTTATTTATTTATTTGAGACGGAGTCTCGCTCTGTCCCCCAGGCTGGAGTGCAGTGGTGTGATCTCGGCTCACTGCAAGCTCTGCCTTCCGGGTTCACACCATTCTCCTGCCTCAGCCTCCCCAGCAGCTGGGACTATAGGCGCATGCCGCCACGCCCGGCTAATTTTTGTATTTTTAGTAGAGACGGGGTTTCACCGTGTTAGCCAGGATGGTCTCGATCTCCTGACCTCGTGATACGCCCGCCTCAGCCTCCCAAAGTGTTGGGATTACAGGCGTGAGCCACCGCACCCGGCCACATTGTTCCATTTATTAATAAAACAGAAATGTCTATCATATTCTGTCCTAAATGTGGACTAAGATGGAAAATAGTACAGTGATTTCCTGAGGTCACTGGGCTATCACCAGAATAGTAGACACTGTGGTGCTTCACCTAGATCCCCCTCCAGGCTGAGGTGCTCACTCGCCCCACTTGCAGAAGTGTTGGTTCCTCATGGCTCACAACAAAGTCCCCCTCTGAGAGCTGCTCCATGAAAAGGACCTGCCTCACCCCAAGTGATGCCTTCCTCTGGGCAGTCTACATTCCATGCCTGGTTAATATGGGGTTTCATAGGCCTGGTCCCCATATCTCAAGACAACGGAAGGACCTCCCAGCTCTAGAGCTTCCTGAAGGAGCAGCTGAGATGGTGGCAACTGTTTCACAGGCTGCCCAATCCTGTTTCTTTTACTCCTTTACTTGTGTTGTTCCAAGAGCCTTCCCAAGTAAGCCTCCTGTGGGGAAATCTCCATCTCAGTACCTGTTTTTCAGGCAACCCAACTTAAGATACAGGGCCAGTGGTTTTCCCTAAACAGTGCTCTAAACTAGAGCCTTGCTATTCAAATACGGCATAGGTATCGCCTGGAAACTATAGCCATGTGTCTCTTAATGACAGAGATACCTTCTGAGAAATGCATTGTTAGGCAATTTTGTCATTGTGCAAACATCATAGAGTGTACTTACATCAGCCTAGATGGTGTAGCCAACTACACACACACCTAGTTATGTGATATAATCTATTGCTCCTAGGCTACAAACCTGTACAGCAGATTACTGTACTGAATACTGTAGGCAATTGTAACACAATACCAAGTATTTATGTATCTTAACAGATTTAAAATTTATGATATAACATTTAAATTTTTTTCTTTTTTTTTTTTCTTTTTTGAGATGGAGTCTTGCACTGTCACCAGGCTGGATTGCAGTGGCACAATCTCAGCTTACTGCAACCTCTGTCTCCCGGGTTCAAGCGATTCTCCGACCTCAGCCTCCCGAGTAGCTAGGACTATAGGCGTGCACCACCACGCCCAGCTAATTTTTGTATTTTTAGTAGAGATGGCGTTTCGCCATGTTGGCCAGGGTGGTCTTGATCTCTTGACCTTGTGATCCGCCCACCTCGGCCTCCCAAAGTGCTGGAATTACAGGTGTGAGCCACTGCGACCGGCCACAGATTTAAAATTTTACCTGCGTAGGGTACTTATGAGTGGAGCTTGCAGGACTGGAAGTTGCTCTGGGTGAGTCAGTGAGTGGTGAGTGAATGTGAAGGCCTAGGACCTTACTGTACATTGTTATAGACTTTATAAACAGCATATACTTAGGCTACACTAAATTTATTAAAATTTTTTCCTTCAGTAATAAATTAAGGTTAGCTTACTATAACTTTTTAATTTCATCAGCTTTTAAATTTTCTTAACTTTTGACTCCTTTGTAGTAATAGCTCAAAACACAAACACATTGTACAGCTGTACAAAAATATTTTCTTTCCATATTCGGTAGGATTTTTTTCTATTTTTTTTACATTTTAAACTTTTTTGTTAAAAACCAAGACATGGCTGGGCGTGGTGGCTCACACCTATAATCCCAGCACATTGGGAGGCCGAGGCAGGTGGATTGCTGGAGTCCAGGTGTTTAAGACCAGCCTGGACAACATGACGAAACCCCGCCTTTACAAAAAAATATGAAAAATAGCCAGGCATAGTGGCACACACCTATAGTCTCAGCTACTTGGGAGGCTGAGGTGGAAGGATTGCTTGAACCTGGGGAGCAGAGGTTGCAATGAGCTGAGATCGCACCACTGCACTCCAGCCTGGGCGATAGAGCGAGACCCTGTCTCAAAACCAAACAAAACCAAACAAAACCAAAATGAAGATACAAACTCACACATTAGCCTAGGCCTGAGCAGGGTCAGGATCATCTATATCCACTGGTCCCATAAGATTATAATGGAGTTGGGGCCCGGCGCAGTGGCTCATGCCTGTAATGCCAGCACTTTGGGAGGCCAAGGCAGGCGGCTCACGAAGTCAGGAGATTGAGACCATCCTGGCTAACACGGTGAAACCCCGTCTCTACTAAAAAATACAAAAAAAATTAGCCAGGCGTGGTGGTGGGCGCCTGTAGTCCCAACTACTCAGGAAGCTGAGGCAGGAGAATGGCGTGAACCCGGGAGGTGGAGCTTGCAGTGAGCCCAGATCGTGCCACTGCACTCCAACCTGGGCGACAGAGCAAGACTCAGTTTCAAAAAAAAAAAAAAAAAGATTATAATGGAGTTGGAATGTTCCTATTGCCTAGTGATGTTGTTGACGTAGTAGCATCACTGTAGCACAGTTCATTACTCACATCACATATTTGTGGTGGTCTGTGGGGAGCTATTCCAGAAAAAAGCCTTGTTATCATAGGAGATGATAGCTCCTTCTGTGTTATTGCACCTGAAGACCTTCCAGTAGGACAGAATGTGGAGGTGGAAGACAGTGATAGATATATATGTAGTCCATTGTTGACCGAAACATTGCTATGTGGTGCATGAAAGGAAGTAAATCAGGGCCGGGCGCAGTGGCTCACGCCTGTAATCCCCGCACTTTGGGAAGCCGAGGCGGGTGGATCACGAGGTCAGGAGATCAAGACCATCCTGGCTAACACAGTGAAACCTCGTCTCTACTAAAAAATACAAAAAATTAGCGGGGCGTGGTGGCGGGCGCCTGTAGTCCCAGCTACTCGGGAGGCTGAGGCAGGAGAATGGCGTGAACCCGGGAGGCGGAGCTTGCGTGAGCGGAGATCGCGCCACTGCACTCCAGCCTGGGCGACAGAGCAAGACTCCGTCTAAAAAAAAAAAAGAAGTAACTCAGGCCCCACCCTAGACCTACTGAATCAGAATCTGCATTTTTATGATTCTCAATGATTCTCTTATGATTCTCATTTTATTTTTATTCCATGACTTTTAAAAAAAAAATCCCGTAACTTCTTTTTCATAACTTCTTTTGTAACTTTTCATAATACTGTTTTCTACTTTTTTCCCACAAGTTTTTTTGCCACAACGTTTTTACATTTTTTATCCCATAACTTTTTCACCCCATAACTTCTTTTAATCCCATAACTTTTTAAATCTTGTGTTAAGAAACACTTGCATAGTTATATTACACCTTTGTAAAAATGAAACACATTATCTCATGCCAAGCATGCCCAGCATTTGCACAGTATCAATACCTTTAATACTATAGTTTTCAAGAAACGCAAAATAAAATTTTAAGGCAAAAACAACACATTGAAACAATTTAATAATTTATTACATTACAGTGGCATCACACCAGCAGTCAATAAGGCCACTCTAGGGAAAAATCTTTCAGTATTTCCATGACACATTCTGTTTACAATAATTCATAAACTGGTAAAATTCATTCTAAGAAAACTTGGCAAATAAAACTTTGGACTGGAATTGGCATTTCTTTCTCTGCTTTTCGTTCCCACCATTTCTTTCTTTTATACTACAGTATTCATATTTTAAAATGTTTTAAATTATTTCAGAACATTAAGATAGCAGTTACATTTTTTAATAGTTATATTATTTTAAAATGACTAAGATAAAGTTTTAGAGAAACTATATTATGGATAGGGCTGATTTACATTTTCAAATTTTCTGAAATCAGCTTTGGTTTTAGAGCTGATTTTTTTTTTTTCATTTCTGGAAAATTAGGTTGAATCAAATACTTTTAAAATGATTATTATATATTGCCATCTTTAAATAGGTGTTTTGATTCTTCCTACAGACATTAAAATGTATTCAGTGGAACTCACAGTTTAAAATTCTATGTTTCTCATGAACTCTAACATTCCAATGTTGCCTTCTAAGCAAACTGAAAGCTTCCTTATACTGAATGAGGAAGAGTACAAATACTCGGCTGAATGAGGTATCGCAAAAGACTGCATGCACTTTGGAGAAAGACTTAAGTTATTGTCATACAATTTCCATTCTTTTTAGTGTTTTCTTAAATATATGACAAATACCTACACAAAGAGTGGTATTTCAGTCAATATAGTAAATTTATTTTCCAGACTGACCTTCAGCTTAAATATGCCAGTGTGTGATTTAATCCATAGGCACCTCATGAACACATTATTGTCAGATTGGTTACAGATGCTAAACGCTATCCGAAGGTCATTCCTAGTCACTGATATTTATCAGGGTAAAAGTGAAGTGATTTCAACGATAAAAGTACCTTTGAAATAATTTATCAATGTATTAGATAAACCCAGTTTCAGAATGATAAAAGAAAAAACGTTAGACCAAATAATGTGGCTGATTAACAGTGGTCCGATTTCTAGCCCGAGGGTTTAAAATGCTCTTAAAGTAACTGTCTTTAAACTGAACTCAAAGAATGCAAAAGCGGCAAGTTCAGAAAATAAAAGGCGAGAACAGGACTTTAAGTGCATTTTAAACCCACGGGCTAGAAATCGTACCACTGTTAATTAGCCGCATTATTTGGTCTAAGATTTTTTCTTTATCATTCTGAAACTGGGTTTATCTAATACATTGATACATTCATAAAATTTGGAAGAGTCAGTGGAAGTCACAAGGACCGAATATTTGCACTCTTTCAGTGAATGCCAGCAAATCTGTTATTCCATCGGTAAAATCGTATTGTTGCTCTCCTGTTAATGTCATATTTATAGAAGTATCATGAGGATGCCAAATGCTAAAAATGGAGATGATCTAGTAACTAGAAATCCCCACCGCAGGGAGCACACACACCTATCTCCCTGCATCCTAACAATGTGATGTGTTTTGGAACACAGACATTAGAACTTCATGAAGTTTTAACTGTTGAGTCTTTCCCAAGCATCATCAAGTTACGATTTAGGCAATACATAACTGAAATGCATTCATTCATCATGCATAGGCACAATCACATAAATATCGCACAAAATATGTCCCGAACAGAAACCCAGAGGTACAAAAACATATTTCACTTTGTAAAGAAGTTTGTGAGAAAATATAACTCTGTGGTTGTATAGACACGTTTCCTGATAATACATTGACATTCACGAACAACAGTAGATTGCACTGCAGTTTGTACACATTTTAAGTTTCATAAACTTCTCCTTGATTTTCAAAGATAGTATAATACCATCTACTAAAACTCCTTTTTGTTTCAACTATCTCACATATATTAGTTTATAAGAATGTTTCTATTTTTTTTAAAGTGTTTTCCATTCAAAGAAAAAGAAGTAAATTCCTATATCAGAGTAACCAAGGTGGTTGAAGAATAGGTATTAGCCAAAGAGGTCTAGATGGTAAAATCAATCTTCAAGCCTCAAAGAATCTCCGTGAACAGAGAGGAATGCCAGGAGTCACACAGCTTTCCTTCACTCTAATTCATTCTTGACTAGAGCCTGTATGCCTGTTCCAGGGACATTTGAACTCGTAAAGGATTTCTTATGATCTTCACTAAATACATTAAGAAGAATGCCAACCAGTGCCCTTTTGTGTACTGGGGCATGTAGTCATGTGATTAAAACAGGTAACATGAACTCTGACTTTAAAATGTATTGTAGATACAAATGCTCTAAGCTAGGAAAGGTTTTCCACATCCACAGTCAACGATGGGAACCTTTCATTCCTCAGAAATAAGCCCTTTTTAGGTCATCGAAAAAGAGTGCAACTGCTGCAGCTCATGATGCAATATCTTCATGAGCCCAGAGCACATACAAATCCTAAGGGCACCACCATAATACACCGCTAATTCCTGGCACCGGAAGAGATGAAACACACTCTATCCTGCACATACCTGCCAGAGGAGGCCACTTTCCTCTTCTGTGAGATTTAAAAAGCTCCCCCAAAAGGTTATCACTCCCATCACCAATACACAGAAAATGGAGGAAAGGCTGTTTCCAATTCTTGGCCTTTAAACAACTCTAAATGTCAGTACTCATAGTGGCGTATTACAAAGTAATAAACAGTGCACACTTGGGGGCAAACTACATATTGAGCTAAGGAAGAGCTCACTGTGATTAAGATTAGATCAAACAACAGCAGAACATAGGCAAATTTTGTCTGAATGCTGTAGTGAATATACATGCTGCAATAACATTAAAAAAGCATGGCAGCCTATTCCAAACCAAAGAGAACAGTTTTGGGCAAAGAGTGGGTCTTTGTGTGTTTGAACTCCCACCACGTAAGGGCAAACTCGATATGCATGCTAATGACCTACAATTATGAAATTAAAAAAGAAAAATGCTAAAGGATGCCAGAGTGAACATCAGTGAGAGCCACAGACACACACTCTCTTTTAACTTTTTACAAATAAACTTAAACTATAAATTAGAAACACAAATAATCATGAGTGAGTCTAACATTCAAAGGAAGTAAATGAATTGTGTAGGAGATTAACCCCATAACTTGGTTTCTTATTTAAAAATTTCTTGAGCAGCTGTTTGATGATGGTGATGTTTATCTCCTTCTTCTTGGCAGCCAAGCCCAACAAAATAATGGCACACAGCAGTTGCTGCCCAAGCCTGGGTGCTCCTGGTGGTCCTGCACGATCGGCTGTGCAGTAGGCTTGTCAAGGAGAGGATCCTCCCTGGCCTCTCCTTGGGCAGAGGAGGTGAGGGTCACCTCACGAAGATCTTTGGAGAGAGGGAGGCGGGGATCTGAGCACAGTGGGAGCCCCCCTCTTCCTGCCTACCCACCCCACCTGAGGGCTCTACTCACCACCATGCTTGTCTGCAGCCCCAAGCTCCTGGGGGGCTGGGGCTCCTGGACCGGGCTCATCAGCAGAGTTGTGGGCAGCGGCCAGGAATTTTCTGTGCCCATTGTTGTAGTTGCTGTAAGCCGCAATACCATCTGCTGCAGCTCCAGCAGCTTCACCTGGAGGGAGGGGTGCTCAGCTGCCATGCCGCTGCCTGCGCCCACCCTCACACCCACCCCCACCCCCACCCCCACAGAGATGTTGCACACCCTACCTTCATCTCCTCCCTGAGCTCCAGCCTGATGGTGTCCTCCTCCCAGTGCTGCATCTTTGGCACGGCCCCCTGGTTCTGATAAAAGGTGATGGATTTTCCTGCGGGAGGACAGGGCTCAGATTCTGGGGCCCCTCTGATGGCCCTGTAGCTCCCCCTGCCGTGCCCTGGCCTCCCACTCACTGATGGCATCTCTCTTGCCAGTATTGAATGAAGCGAAGTTCTTGTTTTTTCACCAGCTCACTCAGGTCTGCCTTCTCCTTCAGGTGGTCCATAAAGCTGCTCTGGAGCCAAAATATTGCAGTCACATCTCGGCAGCGACCTGCCCTCAGGTGGCATTTTCAAGTCATGGAGAAGGCGGAGGTGAGTCCTGGCATGGGCCAGCTTCTCCGTGACTTCCTGCAGGGCCCAGTGGGTCTCCCCACTCACAGACTCGCCCCCAGGCCCTGGGGCTCCAGGGCCTCTGGCCGCCTCTGGCTCCTTCTGGGCCGAGGCCACCGGGTGAGCCAGGCGCTGGCAGCACACCCTCTGCTCTTTCACCTGCTCTTGTAACTGTGCCTGCTTCTCCTGGGCACTAGCTCCAGCGGACTTGAAAAATGCCACCTGAGGGCAAGATGTGAGCATTCTTCTAGGGGCATACACAGAAGAAATGGGGCAGAGAGGTGGAGCGCAGCCCCTTCCCTTGGGGCCTCAGAGAGTGCACCTGTTGGCCACAGGTGAAATGGTGTCTGACCACTGGCTCTCGGAAGGGGTGAGGGTCCAGAGAAATCAGAAGGCAGGGAAACGAAGAGCATAAAGGGGTCTTGGAGGGACCACAGAGAAAGGTGGCAAAATGGGTGCAGGGGGAGTCAGGCTCACCATGGCCTCCCTGCTCTCCAGGTCCTCTGGGACACTCGGCATGGGCTGAGGTGCCTCCTCCCCCTCACTGTCCAGATGTTCTCCTCCGTGTCCTGTGGGGGGTGGCCAGAGGGGTCTTCAGACAACCCAACAAGGGAGGTACTGTGGGCCCACCTCTACCTCCACCCTCACTGTGTAACCCTGAGCCAGCCCCTCCCCAGAGAGGAATGAGCTGTTGTTCTTTATTTTTACTTTTAAGAATCAAGATCTTGCTATTCCGCCCAGGCACACTCCCACTACTGGTCGATGTGGGAGTTCTGACCTGCTCCCTTTCTGACCTTGGCCAGTTCAGCCACCCTTAGGCAACTTGGTGACCGCCCGCTCACAGGAGGTCACCACACTGATGCCGAACTTAGTGCAGGCACCCGGTCGGCATAATGACCAGCTGCTCTAAAGGTCTCTTCCAACTCCTCAATCCTATGCTGCTAGCAGTCCCCCCTTCCTCCTGGGGCTCTCTCCTCTTCCTCTGAGCGGTCTCCCGTACCTTCCCCAGGGAGAGCCATGAGGCTCAGCTGGGCCGTTAGCTGCTGGTTCTGCTGGCTGGCCGCTTCCAGGTGCTCCTAAGGGGCCAGGAAAGAGTGAGAAGGGATGGAGTTTGCCAGGTCGTCCCCCTCACAGCCCCATCCTCGGCAGCTCCCTCCCCTGGGTCTCCTGCAACTTTTGGCAGGCCATCTCGGCCACTGCTTTGCCCCAAGCTTCCTACTGCTGCAGCTGGTTCATTAGCTGGGTCTGTTGCAGTCACTGCCTGTACAGCGCCTCCTTCTCACAGGTCAGCTGCTGATAGGCGGCCACCTGCTGCTGATAGGTGGCCACGTACTGCTGCAGGTGACCCAGGTAATGGTCTGGCTGCTGCTGCAGACTCTGAGCCTCTTGGCTCTTCAGCTCCACCTGCAGGAAGACCCTGGGTGTGAGGGCACGTGGTGGCTGGTTTCCAGATTCTGGGCCCATTAATAGGGTAGCGAGGGCACTGTGGGGCTCTGTCAGCTACCCAGGCCCCTGTCCCCTTACTCCAGGCCTAAGTGACTGCCTCCCTTTCCTAGAACCCCATGCCTCCTTCCCCAGCCTCAAATCTCATACCCTCTTCTCATTTAATCCTCAGCACCTCTGTAAGGAAAATGCTAACTTCCCTTTGAAGTTAAAGAAACAGAGACTTAGAGATGCAAAGTACTTGAATGGTGACCAGTGGAACCGAGGCTGGAATCCAGTTTCAATCTAAGGAGTCTTTTTGTTTTGTTTTCAGACAAGAGTGTCACTCTGTGGCCCAGGCTGGAGTGCAGTGGTGCAATCTCAGCTCACTGCAACCTCCACCTCCTGGGTTGAAGCAATTCTCGTGCCTCAGCCTCCCGAGTAGGTGGAATTACAGGCATGCGCCACAATGCCCTGCTAATTTTTTTTTTTTTTAATTTTAGTAGAGATGAGGTTTTACCACATTGGCCAGGTTGATCTCAAACTCCCGACCTCAAGTGATTCTTCTGCCTCAGCCTCCCAAAGTGCTGGGATTATAGGCATGAGCCACTGCACCTGGTATAAGGAGCCTGTTATAGCACTGTCTCTTCCCCTGTGATTGGGGGCTCCATGCCTCTAGCTGGGATGATGATGTCCAGACCTGAGAGGAGCCCAGGGCTACCCACCTTTAAAAGTCAGAGGCAGGAAGCGAGAAACAGTCGCAGGACTGCCCTGCGGGGTGCTGTGGTCACCAGCCCCCAGGCTGGAAGCTGCCTCTGACCTGGCACCTCCCCTCCCAAGAGGCTGCTGCCCGCCTCCCAGCCCTTCTTGGATGGGGTGGAGGTTTCCGTCTCCTTCACCTCGCCAAGCTTCTCCTGTAGCTCCTTTACTTGCTGCTCCAACTGCAGTGTGCTCTTGTTCTCATTGTTCTGGACAGAGAGAAGCAATCAGCAGCCACCCACTGCAGCTGGAGACCCCAGAACTTGGTGTCTGCCTCCCATGGCACTGGGAAGGCTGGAGGCAGGTTAGAAAAATCACCCCCTCTCTCCCACAGCCACCTGGCTCACAGGTGCCTTTAGAAGTAACCTTTCACGCGAGGGCTACACTGCCCCATTTTAGAGGTGGGGAAACAAAGGCCCGGAGGGCTAGGGAGGAGGGCAGGCTCCCCAGTTGGGGCAACGCACCAGCTCCTCGAAGACGCTCTGTGGCTTGGCCAGCTGCCGAAGCTTCTCGTGCTGCTCCTGAAGCCTCTCCTCCTGCTTCCGAAGCCTCTCTTCCTGTTCCCGAATCCTCTCTTCTTGTCGCCGGTTCAGGAGACTTATGTGCTGATTGTTTTTGACCTGGGACTGGAGCTCTCCTGCCACTCTCTCTAGTTCCTTCCTCAGGTGCTGCAGCTCCACCTCAGAGGGCACTGCTGGGGGCTCCGGGGGCAAGGGTTCAGCTGACAAAGGAAGCAGATAATAAGGGCCTCTGGATTCTCGGAAAAGAAAAACCCTCCTCTTGGCGCACAGCTCCTCTCAGGCTCCTCAAACTTGGCCTCACTGCTAATGATTCCTCGCACCCAGATGGTAGCCAGTCTTCCAAAGGACTTTCAGAGAAAGAGCACTGTGGGTGGCTGGCAACGGGCCCTCTTTGCTGATGGGGACACTGAGACACTGAGACTCATTGAGATGACAAGACTCGCCGTCTCCTGGCACAGATCTCTTTCCCTCTGCCTCAAAGCCCTTCCATCCACCCACCTCCCTGGGGCACTCTAAGCCACCCTCACAGCCCTCTGATGCCAGTCCTGCTCCCAGGTCATGCCAGCCCCATCTTACCCATCTGGTTTTTGAGTTTGGACAAGCTCCTCTCCAGCTCCTCTACCCGACGCATATCTTGCTGCTTCTCTTTCTTTAATGTGCAAATCTGCCCAAAGCACAAGGGGAAAGGGCCTTGGAGAGAGGGGCTGGAGGCTGGACAGGCTGCCCTCTCCCTCTCTGCCCCCACCTCCACAAAGCCCAGACCCATGACCACCTCTGGCTCTACTATTCCCATTTTACAGATGCCCAGAAAGATCCAGTGACCTATCTAATGTGGGGGGGCTGAAGGGTCAGATCTCACCTCCTGCGACATTTTACTCATCCTCTGATGCCACCGGGCCCTCTCTCCTTCTATATGTTCAGCACACTCATCTCTTTCTAATTGGAGTTGTTGAAATGACTCCTTCAACTGCAAGAATGGGCACAGAAGTTAGGAAGGGCTGTCACTGGTCCTCACCTGCTCCTGGCCACCTGGGGTCATCGTCCTTCCACATCCCTCCCTCGGAAAACCTCACCTGTGTCAGCTGCGCTTTCAGCAGTGCCTGGTCCTGTAGGGACTGCTCTAACTCCCACTCTGTATGTGCTTTGCTGCAGCTGGACAACTGGATGGTGAAGAGTGAGAAGTTTCAATCTGGAGAGCCTGGGCATTTCCACACAGTGCCCCTTAACAGGGCTAGGGCTAGGCCCAATATACAACTCGGTCAGTAAAGATCAAGGCATTTCCAAGCCCGTGGTCTGGTTTTTAAAAGAACACAGTAAAGTTGGAACGGACAGGGAATGAGACTGAGTTTATAGCTGGCTAACAGAGGCCCAGAGAGATCAGATAATATTGCTGTTGTTATTATTGTCATTATTACCACTGTTTGAACCTTTGTGGAATGCTTCACCAGGTACCGTGCTAACAATCCCATTTAATCCTCGCAACCACCATAGGAGACAGTTACTATGATTCCCTCTATTGTGGAGATGAAAAAACATGGAGTATTTGAGGTTAAGTGCTTGCCTAAGTTCACTTAGGCAGAGCTGGGATATAAACACCCAGGTCTATCCAATTCTCTAAGCCCGTTTTTCTTGCTGGGGATGGGGGCACAGATAGGAAGGGGAAAATTAATCTTTTGTTCACTTTTTGAAAGGATGATAACATTTGCATAGTCCAAAACTCAGAAGGTACAGAAGGGAAGTATCTCCCGGCCATCTTGTTGCTCTCTCCTGAATTTTTTATGAACCCTTGCAGACATGTTTTATGTATATTATCACAGTATGCACACACACACACACACAACGCACACACGTTTCCTCTTTCTACAGAAATGGTAACATACTAAAGGTACTCTTCTGTACCTTCACAGTACAAGTACCCAATACCCCACCTAGGACTAGGACTTGCCCAAGACCACAGCCAGGTAAGGGCGGGGCAGGCACTTGGCCTCCAAGCTCTGCGTCCAGTGCTCACTCCCCACAGTACCCCCCAACTCACCCACAGCAGCTGACTCGGCCCCAGGCTGCCACTAAAAACCATACAAAAAAGTAGCAAGAAATGGCCATGCTGCCTTCTGGGCAGGACACGCCATCCTGCAGAAGGGACCTTTAGGCTCACTCCTCCATCTGCAAAACCAGGCTCCCAGGGGATGGGGCAGGTGGCTGGACTCACCTGGTTTGCCTTCTTCTTCTCTGTGGCGATGACAGCAGACAGAGCGCTCTCTAACTCTCCTTTACACTGCAATGAATGTTGCAGACGGACAGCCAGGTCCTTGGACTCTTCTGTAATGAGAGAGTTGAGATGGGGCCCAAAGGACTCCCCCTGAAGACCTGTCAAAGTGCCAGGTTGAAGGATGACAGGGTGCCCAGATTCCCACCTTCAAAGTATCTGAGAGAACGTTCCATGTGGTACAGGTCCGTATTTAGTTCCTCTTTCTGTATGATCAATGTCTGGATTTGAACCTTTGGGAGAAAAGCCAAGCAAGTGCTGAAAGAGAAGGAAAGAAACATTCTCCGGAGGACAGGAGGAAACTGCACACCCTCCACTCACCTCTAGCTCCCTTTCGGCTTTCTGTCTCTCGTTGTTTGCTTTCTTTTCCTGTAGGAAGAGGAAGACAGAGCTCTTACCAGGGGGAGGCAGAGATGGCACAGCAAGAGACATGCCCCCAGAATGCCACCAATGCCCCAGGACAGGCCCACCCATGGGACCAGGTTATCAGGGGCCCTGTGGGGATGGGGTGGAATCTGAGGGGTCAGCCTTCTTCCCCAGGCTGGGAGTGGGTGAGACGAGACTGGGGCCTCTATGTCTGAGTGCCCCCCAAACCCAGCAGTCATGTCGCGAGGAAACGAAATCACGTTACTTCTTCCAGCTGATGTTCCACTTGTTTCTTCTGTTGTTTCTGTGGGGAGAGTCAAATAAGGTGATGGAGGGTGGCCCCCTCAACTCTATTCCCCAGACCAGGAAGCGGTAGGCAGGGGCCAGGAATGGATTTTAAAGGCAAAGTTCTCAGACATAATGGGAACACGAACCGGTAAACTCTCCTCAAGCTCCCAAGGACAGAGGATTTGGGTCTTTGTTGGCTTTTGCCCACAGCCACAGAACTCAGTCTGAATCTGGAATCTCTTGAGAGGACAGCAACATAAACCTCTAGAGATGGAGTTTCAGAAAGGCCCCTCCTTCTGGCAGCTTGTGATTTAGAAAAGTGGGTTCATTCAATAAACACTTACTGAGCACCTATGGGCCAGGTACGGTTCTTCACAGCAGATATAGGATGGAAAAGGACAGACAGGAGCCCTTAGCCCTGAGGTTTCCATTCCCGGGGGCCTTTAAATCTCAGACTCGAGAGCTAACAGAGACCTTTGATACTCACTACCTCCTCTGGAAACACGAGCCCAAAAAGGAGAGGTGGCTTGTCCAGAATCAAAGAGCAAATTAGGGACTGAGTCATGGCAGAAATACGGGGCCCTTGACAACCAGTCAGGCTAGCACTTCCCCAAGAGGCAACAACCCCAGGGCGTGTGTAGCAAGGACTCGAGCAGGGGTGTCTGGAGAGGAGAGAGTCGGCAAAGAGGGCAGCAAAAGAAGAGCCATGCTGCATGCTCTGGGGTCCCTCCAGGTGAGGCCTGGGCACCCAAGCTCCCTATTTGTCCCGGGCACCAGGGACCCCCAGCCCCTTTCTTCAGGGCCCCAAGGGGAAACTGGAGCCCAGGATTGGCAGCGTGGAATCAGGGGACCCCACCGGACTCTTACCAAAGATTTGATGGTGTTCTTCAGTCGACTGATTTTTACGGACGTTGAATCCAGGACTACTGCTCGTTCTTGGCACGGGCTCTGAGGTGCATGCAGAGAGGAGGAGGTGGAGCAGGAGTGGGGAGAGAGGTAGAGAGAACGATCGTTAGGGCTGGGGTGTGTGGGCTGTCTCAGCTGGCAGAGGGGCACCCAGTCCCACCTGGAGGAGGAGGTTGGAGGGTTGACCCGAAGGGTCACTGCACCTCCACCCAGAGCCTCTTACCTCCAGATCTTTCAGGGTAGCAGATGATGTAGGGCCTTCCCTGTGGAAACCTGTTGCTGACTACAAGAGATGAGAGTGCACATGGAGATGTTCTGTCCCCCACAGTGTCTGAGCCCTCTGACTTCCTTTCTTCCCCATCAACTGCAACATTTTCTTTTCTGCCTATCTTGGACCTTTTGTCCCATAACTCCTTTGTGCCAACTTCTCTCATGGTTCTTATCTCCCCACCATCCCATCCTGGGGCCCCTTCAGTGACTCCTGATGGCAAGTGGCTGTTCTCTTTGTCCTGGTTTCCCCTTGAGACTGGGGATGAGGAAAATCAAACCATATCCTGGGTGTCCTGAGTGTTTACAGCAGGCCATGTACTAGGGATTAACATAAAAACAACAATAACAAATCTCATTTAAACTTCACAAATGGAAGTGAAACAATAACACCTCTATTATACAGATGTGAAAAGAGAGGCCCAATGAGGTCAAGCAACTTGCCCTAAATCATATCCCTAGCAGAGCAGATGGAGAGGCAGGATTCAAACCCAGAATTCCTTTTTTTTTTTTTTTGAGACAGAGTCTTGCTCTGTCACCAGGCTGGAGTGCGGTGGCATAATCTTGGCCACTGCAAGCTCCACCTCCCAGGTTCACACCATTCTCTTGCCTCAGCCTTCTGAGTAGCTGGGACTACAGGCACACGCCACCACGCGTGGCTAATGTTTTTGTATTTTTAGTAGAGACAGGGTTTCACCGTGTTAACCAGGATGGTCTCGATCTCCTGACCTCATGATCCGCCTGTCTTGGCCTCCCAATGTGCTAGGATTACAGGCGTGGGCCACCACACCCGGCTAAAGCCAGAATTCTTAACCAGTACCCAGCAGTCCATCCACAATCTTAAGAATTACCCTCTATTGCCCCTTGGGCCCCCTGTCCCCAGAAGCCTGGTCAGCCAAGACTCACATCCCCAGGTGGCTGGCAACCACCGGAAGTGGCTGTCTCAGGGATACTGCCATTTGTTTTCCTGTTCCTGTTCACTCCTGCTGGAACTCTAGGTCTGTTTTTCTGCCAATATTCTTTTAACTGTTGGAAAGAAGAGCAGTAATATTCATGAGAACCGTCAGCCCCTACAGCCACAACCTCCTTTACAGTTTTTACAAAATACACTTACACACCGTCTGATTTAATGACACCAACAACTGTACAAGGTGTTGTCACACTCATTTAGTGACTGAGAAGGATTGATATCATGGCTAGAAAAAAAAAAGAAAAAGGCAATACTGGAACTTTGAGACTCAGTCTTCTGACTCCAAGCTCTGAGGTTTTGCCAAGAATCAGCAGCTGCCAGGGACCAAAACCAGAGGCAGAGGTAGAAAAGTAAACATTAAGTAGGCAGGAACTGTATGCCATGTGGTTTAGTCATACATCCTCACACGTCTGTTAGTGTGAAGAAGTGCACCAGTACCTCTCAAACTTTTATATCAATGTGTCCTCATGGCAGAAGGCAGCCTTTCTCTTAAATCAGAATTTATCAGAAAGAGGACAACCCAAGCCTCATTTCAGAGAGAGGTCTGGTATACTCTTAGAAACCTATGTGACTGTCATCCCTAAGTACATTCATGTTTTTTCTCTTGATCTCAAGAGAATCAAGGGAAACTGATGCTTCAGAAAGATGTCCCACATTTATCCTGTGGCACTCAAAGTACCCAAGGTTGAGATAATATGAGGAAGATTCAAGGTGTCAAGTTCAGTTTCCCAAGATCTATTCCACAGAAGATGAGCAAATCTCACTTCAGAGACCACTGACTGAAGGAGAGTCTGGTCCCAGAACCATGGAGAATTAGAATATGAGGTGGAGAACTCAGAAAAAAATGTTAAAATCTCTCTGGAAAGTAGAAGCCTGGGAGAAAACCAAATCAAACCCATTCTCTCATTGCCACCCAGAGATACTGTCATTGTTTTGAGTTCATGGGGGAAGTGTAGGCTTTTCCCACCGTCAACATCTGTAAGGGAGTGAGGCAGCCTGGAACCTCTTGCTCCTAGGTCCCATAGTCTCCATTCCCCTTCCAGCTGGAAATTTGTGCTGTGACCAGAGGAACCAGAAACGGGGTGAGAACGCTTAGGGGACTGGGTCGTAAGGTCAAAGGCCAGTCTTGCAGTAACGGCAGTTACTAGGTGGACTGTGACATCACAACATTCCACTCCTCCTGGTCGGGGGGAGGGACCATGTCAGCACCATGTCCAAGTCGCTGCTCCACGATGGGGGAGGGAAGCACAGGGTTGGGACCCAGCTCCTTGGAGACGCCAGCACAAAGAACCCAGGGAGGTCGACCTTGAGGCAGCAGGAGGGGAGGGCACAGTCTGCAGCAGGGAGTCCCAGGAGTCACCAGCCCAAAGTCACCCAAGGATGACTGGCGAGGGTGGGGCCTGGCTCCTTGGAGATGAGAGCCCAAAGAGCCCACGGAGATCAAGCTTGGGGCGGCAGGAGATGACGGCCCAGTAATGGAGCGGGAAGCCCCAGGAGTCACCCACCCAAAGTCACCCTGGGGTGATTGGCGAGGGCAAGGACTGGGCTGCTTTCTGAAGGGGTGGGGCTGACTGACAAAACTTTGGTGGGGGTAGCCCAAGGCACCGGGGTTGGGGGGACCAGTCCAGTGTGCCTCAGGAGTCGTATAGACTCTGGCAGGGGTCTTGTCATCAGAGGGGATCTGTGGCTGGGTTGAGGGGCTATGACCTAGTGCGTTTTTACCTTTTTCTTGGCTGCAGCCAATTTGTTGTGTTGAGTTTCTTCTGCCATCGCAGGGTGGGGAGGGAGGAAGGGTTGGGGCCACAGCAGCAAAATCCCAATAAGAACCGATCAAGGCCTCCAGTCACCTACCAGGCAGCTGTGTGACTGAGCCAGAGGAGGCGTAACCAGGGCCCCAGTAGAATGCGGAATAGGGGCGTGGCCTTAATGCTCCAAGCCCATTGGTCAATGAGAAAGATGAAAGGGAAAGGGCGTGGCCAGACAGCAGCGTGTCCAGAGGGCCCTGTGGCTCACAAGGAAAGCTGCCCATGGCAACCGCTCTCCCCACCCACTCTAAGAGAGGGGAGAGGCCTCCCACTCTGGAAGAGAAGAGGGGCTGGCTTTTGCTTTAAAAGCTTTAAAACTTTAAAAAATATATGTGTGTATACTTTATATATATATGTGTGTCCGTGTGTGTATCTATGTTTTTCTCCATAGCTGTCTTCATTATCCAGCTTCTATGCAAGGTCTATGATTTTGGCCTATATTTTTCATCTTTGATTACAGTACAAAAATTACCAGTATTACCTTAACTGAGATACAGATCCTATAAAAATGGAAAATGCATAGCATGCTTGATGATTAATGAAGCAGACTATATTATCCAACATTCTAATAAGATAAAATAATCACAATGATTTCTCTTTTTTGGAAAAATGTTTCTCTTATTCTCCTACGTTTTCGTTAAGATTTTTTTTCTTAAACAAGAAACATGTCTAATATCTGTAAAAGCACAAAGCTTTTGGGCTGGGTGCAGTGGCTCATGCCTGTAATTCCAGGACTTTGAGAGCCCAAGGTGGGTGGATCATGAGGTCAGGAGATCGAGACCATCCTGGCTAACACGGTGAAACCCCATCTCTACTAAAAATACAAAAAAGGCTGGATGTGGTGGCAGGCAGCTGTAGTCTCAGCTACTTGGGAGGCTGAGGCAGGAGAATGACATGAACCCCCGAGGTGGAGCTTGCAGTGAGCCAAGATCATGCCACTGCACTCCAGCCTGGGCTACAGAGCAAGACTCCATCTCAATTAATTAATTAATTAATTAAAATAAAAAATTAATAGTAAGAGCAATGTGAACAAAAGATGCAATAAAATAATTTAGAAAATACAAACTATTAAAAAATAGATTTTAAAACTTGTGCAACGAAGTCAAACAGCAGCCAACGAAAATGTATACCCTTACACGTTTGTTTAAAAAGCAATTTAAATTACATTGATCCACTAAACTAGGAAAAGCAAAACAAACAAAAAGGGGGAAATAATTAAGACCTAAGGAAAAAGGAAAAAGAAAAACCACTAGATTTAAAAAATAAAACTAAAGGAGGATTCTTTCAAAAGACTGAGATAATAAAACAGTCAAGCCTCTGATAAGTAATCAAGATAAAGAAAACTTTGAAGAGAAAAGGGCATATAGCCACATGTGAATATGATGCAAAAAGTGAAAACTTTACACATCTTTACAACACCTTAGAAGTATGGATGACATGTTCATTTTTTTTTTTTTTTTTTTTTGAGACGGAGTCTCGCTCTGTCACCCACGCTGGAGTGCAGTGGCGTGATCTTGGCTCACTGCAAGCTCCGCCTCCCGGGTTCACAACATTCTCCTGCCTCAACCTCCCGAGTAGCTGGGACTACAGGCGCCCGCCACCACGCCTGGCTAATTTTTTGTATTTTGGCTTAGTAGAGACAGGGTTTCACCATGTTAGCCAGGATGGTCTCGATCTCCTGACCTCGTGATCCACCCGCCTCGGCCTCCCAAAGTGCTGGGATTACAGGCATGAGCCATCGCACCCATCCAAAGTGTTCATTTTTTTTTAAGAACCTACAGTTACGAGAAGTAACTGAAGAAGTGGGAAATCTGGAGACCAATATGCAGAAGAAGGAAAAAGACAAAGACTCATCCTCCAAATTGGATATTTAAACCAGAATTTGTCATCCTCAGCAATATTGATATATTGGGCCAGATAATTCTTTGTGGAGGGTTCTCTTGGTGTGTTGTCGGGCATTTAGTAACATTCCCTCTACCCACAGAATGCCAATGAGACCTCCCGACCATGACCAGTTGTGACCACAAAAATGTCTCCAGATATTTCCAAACGTCCCATAGGAGGCAAAATACTCCTGCAGTTGAAAATTACTGTGTAAACCAGATCTACATCCTAGATCTTAGAAAAAAGATGTAAAGCTTCCCAACTCAGCCCTGCATACCCTTGATACTGAAATAACAGCCTTAAAGGAAACAAACAAAACTATAATCTTATTTAATACAGAAGTAAAAATGCAAAAATAAAATATTACCATAGCCATTCTAACAGTGTTTATTATAGGAATGCAAAGATAATTCAAAATTAGGAAAATTTCATCAGGCAATTCACAAATTATATTTCTACATATAATTGAAGGCACAATCATGAAAAACAAAGTAGCTCTATATGCATTAAGTCCATGATCTATTCAGTGAAAAACACAAGTTGCACATGTCTTACAGAAGGAAAACTTAACACTGAACACAGATTCTCACCATCTGCTCTTTGTCCTGAGGCTCCAATAGAAATACAGTGAAGAATAAACATTGTATAAGCACACCATTACAAAAAAGGAATGGGGTTACCAACAGAAGAGAATTCATCTTCATTAGACAATGACAGTACATGGAAAATGGTTAATTCATGGAGCAAAGCAACAAAGGTGGAGGTCAGGGGGATACTGAGAACAAGGAGGCTAATCTGTCCCACAGCAACCTGGAAAGGTTCTAGACTCAGACACGAGGTACCCCCGACAGTGGGACTGATAGGCAAGACTGAAAACAGAGATTAAGCAAAAGCCCGGATAGAGAACACATTTCACAGGCCCTGAAACACACTGCTGGCCCCATCTCCTTAAACAGAACCCAAGCAAACGTATCCACCTCAGGCAAGAGAATGTAGATTTTACATCCAGAGGAATGGAGTAGTCACCCAGCCATCATTTATGATTGCACCAGGAGATAAGATAGAGGGATGGAGGATAACAATTAGGAATCAGCATACATTCCCCTTAAAGCTATCAGTTGACAAGTCTTGGCCACAAAGAACTCCCAATCAATTTTTATTTATTTTTATTTTTATTTATTTATTTATTTATTTATTTTGAGACAGGGTCTTGCTCTTTCGCCCAGGTTGGAATGCAGGAATGCAGTGGCATGATCAGAGCTCACTGCAGCCTCAACCTCCTGGGCTCAAGCAATCCTCCTGCCTCAGCCTCCCAAGTAGCTGGGACTGCAGATGGGTGTCACCACACCTAGCTATTTTTTTTTTTTTGTAAAGATGGGGTCTCACTATGTTGCCCAAACTAGTCTTGAGCTCCTGGGCTCAAGTGATCCTCCCACTTCGGTCTCCCAAAGCACTGAGATTATAGGTGTGAGCCACCACACCTCGGCTCCCAGTCTTTTAGTACCTCTCTCAAATATGAATGAACAAATAAAGGAATGGAAAAAAGACTACAGGTCAGGCACGGTGGCTCATGTCTGTAATCCCGCACTTTGGGAGGCCGAGGTGGGTGGATCACCTGAGGTTGGGAGTTCCAGACCAGACTGACCAACATGGAGAAATCCCATCTCTACTAAAAATACACAAATTAGCTGGGTGTGGCAGCACATGCCTGTAATCCCAGCTACTTGGGAGGCTGAGGCAGGAGAACTGCTTGAACCTTGGAGGCAGAGGTTGTGGTGAGCCAAGATCACATCATTGTACTCCAGCCTAGGCAACAAGAGCGAAACTGGGTCTCAAAAAAAAAAAAAAAAAAAAAAGACTACAAATGATAAGCAACATAGAATAGATATTTAAGGAAAGGCTTTAAAAAGAAAAATAAGACCAAAATAAACTAAGAAAAAAATTATTAAAGAACAAGGAGATGCCAGGGAGAAGACAAAGAGTATCAAAATCACTTCATAAAGACACTTGTGAATATATTACATGTATAAAACAAAACAATATGAATAAGAAATAATCAGAGAAGAAAAAGTTCTTAGAACTCATGCTCCATCTTGGGAGTTGGTCTCCAATGAGCCATACCTCCTGTCATCATGTCCTCAGACAGGCCCATCCCATAGTCAATCTGGGTTGGCCCCAACACTCACTTTAACCTATAGCATGTGGTAGAAATGACACTGGACCTGTTCCAGGTCTAAGCCTTAAGAACTCCTGGCAGCTCCATTTCTGTGCTTCTGGAAGCCAAAAATAAGAATTGGCTACCTTCTTGGAGAAAGAAAAGCCACATGAAGAGATCCGAGAGGATGAGATGCTATGCAGAGAGAAAGGCCACATCAAGAATTACCAAGGCAGCAGACCTGTGGGTAAAGAAGCCGTCTCAGACATTCCACTGCAGCTGAGCATCCAGATGACCAGTCCCTGACACTGTTTAACCACACAGTGAGAGCTGCCAAATGAGACCAGCAGAAAAACTGTCCAGCTAGCCCCAGGTAATCCATACAGTCGTGACAGATAGACAGATGTGTAGTTTTAGGCCATTAAGTTTTGGGATAATTGGTTAAGCAACAATAAATAACCAAAACAAAACTTAAAGTTATGACAGTCCAAATAAAATTTCCTGAAAGTCGAAAGATAAGAAAATATTCCAGAACTGAAAATTTAAAAAACATTTAGAAATAACGTGAGATATAAGACTCAAGACAAGAGGTCTCAAATCCAATTAACAGACACTTCCAAATGAACAAATAAAATGGAAAAGAGAAAGTTAACAACAAAAATATGACAAGATTCAAGACTCCAACTTTGAAAGAGCCTATCCATAGGCCTGTTCATTTGGTGTACCCAGCATAATGAATGAAAAAAGACCCACACTAAGTACACTGTTGTGCTATTTCAGCTCACCAAGGAAAAGACAAACTCCTAAAAGCTTCCAGGGAGAAAGTCATGCATAAACAAGTGAAACTCAGGATGGCATGAGGCTTCGCCACCACGACTGGTTAGAAGACAACAGCACAGACTTTGAAATTCTAAGGTAAAATTATCCTCAACCTAGAAATACGTAATCAAGCAAACTATCAATCAAGTGTGAGGGTAGAATATGAGAGACGTGAATACTGATGGGGATGTGATATGCAGCAGGCACTGTTCTAAATGGTTTACATGTACCAACCCAATTAAGAAACTTAAAATACACACGTGCACACACACACACACACACACACACACACACACACACACACACAGTTTTTCCTGCTAATCATTTTACGATGAAACAGCCAAGTAGCTAACCCAGAGCCCACAAAGGCAGAGTAAAAATTCTAACACTTGGTAAAATAAAAATGCACATATACCCTGTGATCTAAAAAAAAAAAATGCTTAAATATTCAAAGACAGACAGCAATTACAGCTACTGAGAACATCACTGTAAGCAAACTGAGGCAGAGAAAACAAAGGTGCTAATGAGGATTTGAACCACCTAACATGCAGAAACCCACTGGATGCTTTCCTAGGTTCCGAGCTGGCATTGTCTTTCAGAATGATCTAGAAGAGGTCACATGACACTGTTACAAAGGATCTAGAGAAAGGGACCCTTGCTTTATCACTCCGGCTCTCCAGTCATGCTTCACATTTTCACTTCTTACACTCTTTCACATGAAGTCAATTTACAGACCTCCATCATGCCCTTAGAGACCTTTTTGTAATATTCTGACAAGTTCTGGATGTCATCTCTGCACTTTTGACAAATTCTTAGCAGTTAACGTACAAGGCAGTTAACATTTTTGTTCACGGTATAGCTAGAAAAGGGTCATATACTCAATAAAACAAATATTTACCAAGCATTCATTGAGTGGAAGATAAAACGCACAAAGCATAATTATAAAATATTCTCCCCTGCCATGATACAACAAAATTTTTAAAGGCTTACAGAATATAGCATAACATGACCAAAGCAAAAATAGTAAGGACTAAAGAGGGGAGGAAGGGAAAATATCAGCATGAACTGAATATGACCCAGAAGAGTCTTGATGGTCAGACATGTAAAGATGTATTGGGCAGGGTTAAGGGGTGGAAGTCAGGGGCACAGGTCAGGGGCACATTCTACAAGGGAAAAACAGCTGATACAGAAGCCTGAAAGGTAAAGTGGGCAGAGCACCTGTACAGGACTCTTACCTGCCACAGCGAGGGCACAATGCGCCTTTCCAGAACACAGCAGCGCGCAGCCAGGCCTGGGGCAGAGGGATCACTCAAACAGCACCAGAGGCTGCATTCCTACTTTTCTTCCGTCAACAAGTCCATTTTCGTTGTTAGTTTCTCCTTCAACACAAACTTAAAAACAAATGGCTGAACACGCAGGAACAAGGAAAACCTGACTGAAGAATGAGACGTTAAAACTTAAGGGCCTTGGGTCCTGGCACGGTGGCTCACGCCTGGAATCCCAGCACTTTGGGAGGCAGAGGTGGGTCATTTGAGGTCAGGAGTTCAAGACCAGCCTGGCCAACACGGTGAAACCCCGTCTCTACTAAAAACACAAAAGCTAGCCAGGCGTGGTGGCCGGCGCCTGTAATTTCAGCTACTCGGGAGGCTGAGGCAGGAGAATCACTTTAACCAGCGGACTGTCAAGAGAGGTAGGCTGCAGTGAACCGAGATAGCGCCACTGCACTCCAGCCTGGGCTACACAGTGAGACTCTGTCTCAAAAAAAAAAAAAAAGAAGTCATGGTCATGGTAAAAAACCTATGGCTTTGGAAGGCTTTCTCGGTAACGTCCTAGAATTAAGGTTAAGCCTGCGTTTCCTGTTAACTGAACAGGAAACCAGCCTGACCAACATCCTTCTGCCCGGTGGCTTGCTCTCAGCTCCTCTTCGTTGGGCCTTGGGCAGCCAGACTGTCTAGTTTTAATCCTTGCTCTGCCACCTGTGACCTTGGACAAGTTACCTACCTTCAGTTACCTCATCTACAAAATGCAGATATTAATAATAACCTCTTTTTAATTTATCCAGAGGATTAAAAGAGTTAATAAAAAGTAAAAAATAAAAAGACTTGGTAAGCATAGGCACAGAGGAAAAAAAAGTAAAAATAAATAATTAAATAAAAAGACCAGTGCCTAGCACATAAAAGTTCATCAGGAATTAATTCTATAATATGAACTCAATTTTGCAAAACTTCAAAGTACGTACAACTTTTAACTTACTAGGGTATACATACCAGTAATAAATTCACAACGGTAGACATGTTTGCCTACTGTAAATATAACAAAGACTAAACAAGCAGATACTAAATCATTAAGCAATTATCAGTTAGTATCTTTAATTTTCTTATACTTCTATATTTTCTATAGATCATCTTTGTAACAAGAAGAAAACCAACCAAATGAAAATGAAATGAATTCTCTCAAAAAGAATTAAGTCAAGACAGGAAGAAGGCTCGCAAAGTAATATAAAATATATCTTATGGTTTATGGAAAATTCTTAATAAAATACCTTCTTTGCTCCAAGCTGCACTCTGGCTTTGCCTTTGAGTCAGGTGGCATGTCTTTGCACGATGACTGGTTCTATTGAGTAGGCACTGCTTCAGCCCTACAGGAAGAACAAAACCTCTCTGGAACACAGCAGCATTCCTGATTCCCACTTGAGGAGGCCTAACAAAACGGCATATGCCTCAACAGCAGCAGATCAGTGTTAAAAAGTCTGGAGTCAAGGGGAAAAAGTAAAATTGGACCATTTCCAAAATCTCACAAAAAGCAACAAACTGACGTTCTAAGTGCCCAACATGAGCAAATTAGAACCTTAAATAAAGGTCACTCTTAATGCCTATCCCAGCATAGATGCAGCACCAAGTACAGTGTCATTTTACTGGTTTACCTTTTTCATTCTTGAAAGTAGGAGCTATGAAAAAAAACACTAAAATTTCTCTAAGAGAACCTTCTACTTTCTGTCTAACTTACATAATCAAAACACTGTATTGAGGGTGAAAATTGAATATTATAAGAAAATAATCACGTGTTTTGCGAGAAGTTGCAAATATAATGCTCCTCCACCCAATACCTACCTTAAAAAGAAAAAAGG
The DNA here is from genome assembly GCF_000001405.40 of Homo sapiens. Taxonomy (NCBI): domain Eukaryota; kingdom Metazoa; phylum Chordata; class Mammalia; order Primates; family Hominidae; genus Homo; species Homo sapiens. The sequence goes on along the minus strand of NC_000015.10, from coordinate 32,585,533 downwards.
AAACATACAAAATTATCTCGAGAATTATTCCTGCTTAAACAATGTCTACGTGCCATTACTAAGTATGCACACAGTAAAGATGAGAAGAGGACATGCAAGCGTGAACATACTTGTTAGGGATATAGGACTATGGGTAATTTAAACATTTTAATGGTATTACTCTCATGTAATTGCTCTGAAATTCTAGTCAGTTGTTTGAAATGGCTCTTAGAACAGAATACTTTGACATTTTTATGATGTCAAAAACTAAGAACTTAGCCCTAAATATTCCAAAGAATAGGTGCAGAAGAACCCGTTTCCTTAAACGGCATTTGAGTATTCTTCACAACTCAAACTTTCTCTCCCATCCTGTGATGGCCGAGAGTTTTTCCTCTGACGATGGCACTGACCTTACCCTATCCAAAATATGAACATCTGCATGGTTTCCTGGTTCAAATTGCTTTTATCCATTCTGTCGTGAGAATCAAATGGTTCAGACCATGCAGCACCTCTCTGGGACTTCTCAAGTCCTTTCTAGATCTGAAGACTATTCTCTGAACCAAAGACAACTTCTGGGGGTGTACCAAATCTCCCATTAGAAAATTATTAAGATCAAGATGTTTTAACCTTTTAACTCTTTCTCAAACAAAATAAATTCGTTTCTCCTTTACCGTTATTTTAAATTTCAAAATACACAGATAGTATGTCTAAAATAAAATCAAGAGAATGACAGTTTTAGAACACAAACTGTGGTAATTTTGAAAACACAAAAGCTGAGACCACTAATTAGGTCTATGTGGACACCAAGTCCACCACAACCTGTTCTGTCCTCCGGGGCTCTGCCCACGCCTTTCCCTTGCCTGAGATTCCTTCTGCTTCCTACCCTTCCAAATGCTGTATTTCCCCCTGGAAGACTTGCCAAGACCACTCTAACATGCACATCTCCCATTCCAGCTAACCAAAGGCATCCTTGGGTTGACTAAACCAAATTATTTTGCAGACAAGGCATCTAAACACTTCCACTGTAGACTATTCACCTTAATAATTGATATTGTGACATTATTCAATAATAAAATGAGGGAAAGAAGTCCTCTTCAATCCCTTATCCTGGAGAACCCAAGCAAGTGTCTTTCCCACTTGCTTTGCCCAAACCCTGGGACCTTTCTAAGTAAAAGTTTAATGGAAGGGAAAGAAAATCTAAAAGAAAAACTCTCCAAGAAATTAAACTCGGGCAAAGATTCATGGGATTAAAAATTTTTATTCTTTGTGTATCTGATTTCCGAAACACAGAAATCTCTCTCCCACTCCTTAAACCTACCACTGGGCTAAGAGAGTATTGTACAGAATATGCACTCACTGACTTAACAGAATTAGAACATCCAGGCACTCACTGAGATTTTGCTTCCACAACCGCTCAAAGTCTAGTCATTAGTTCATGAGTTAACACCACACTTGACCTTCAAATTTTGGAAATGCTGACGGTAGACAGGGACTTGTTTTGGGAAAGGAAGTACACAGTAGACATTGTTACCCATGACCCAACCACCACCACCTTTCCTTTAAAGAACCCCACTCTTCCTTTAAGGTTGCAGAGTCTCAGAAAGTGGGAAGAAAGGAAGTTTTTGCATTTTCAGGTCAAAACGAAGTACATTTGTGCAACCACATAATGCCCATGCAAAGGTTTCTTGAAATCTAAACACAAGACAGAAGTAGTTCTAGCACCTCCACAAAAAGTAAGGTAAGTAAACTTTTCCTTAATATACACTTTCAGCAGCATCAACACCTAAAAGTGGTTGACTTTACTACTGTACTAAATTAAATTACATTCATTTTGTCAATAGGTGTTCCAAATTCGTACTGATCTTTGTCTCCAAGGGGTTCCTGCTGAATATTGAGACAGTTGAAGATTACTAGGGGAAAAAATTCTTAATAATCGAAGTAAGGATCATCTAAGGATAATATGCCACATATACAGACACAGTCACATTTTCAGCTTTACAAAAGTTCAGTTATCAAAGTTGTACAGCAAACACTATCCTAAGCTTAGCGTCTTCAGGCATTTGATTTATAATCACTGTAAAGAAAAATCAGTCACAAAATGCCACTGTTGTATGATTCTATTTATATGAAATGCCCAGGATAGGCAAATCTACAGAGATAGAAGTTAGATCAGAGGTTGCCAGGATCAATGGTGGGGGAGAGAGGTACAGGGAGTGACTGCTAGTGGGTACGGGGTTCTTTTTGGGGAGATGAAAATGTTCTGAAATTAGGGAGTGGTAATGGCTGCATAACTCTGAATATACTAAAAACCACTGAACTGTACACTTGAAGGGTGAGGCTTATCATACAAAAACTGTATCACAATAAAGCTCTTAGTTTAAAAAATGTTTGTCTATGTCAAGAAACAAAGAAATAGGGTCATAGCTAGAAGATATGGGATATAAAATACTGGAACAAAACTGCTTAATAATATATCTAGAATCACACAATGCTTAGTCTTTACGCTGACTAAAATCACGAGATTTGTGTTTTATCGGTATTTCACGTTTTTTACTTCTTCTAAGTCAGCCAGTAATTCCTCCTTCTCACTTAATCGTTGACTACAAAGACCAAGCCATTTTGACTCTGCCACCGATGAGCTTTCACATTTCTTTCCTCCTTCCATTCCCATGACTACCAAACCAGTGCAGGTTCTCCTCACTTCACTCTAAGACAACAGCGTGGCCCTCAAATACTGTCACACTCTTCAAGGCTCTGTGAGCACAATCTGTCTCATATTCTCTTCTGCTGTCACCAGATTTATTCTAAGACCGTTTCTTCACTGTTACTCCCCTGTTTCTCAACCAGTTACACAGAAAGACGAATATCCAGGCATGGTGTCATGTGCCTGTAGTCCCAGCTACTCAGGAGGCTGAGGCGGCAGGATCGCTTGAGAATGTGAGATTCAGACTGCAGTGAGCCATGATCATGCCACCGCACTCCAGCCTGGGCAACAGAGTGAGATTGTCTCAATAAATAAATAAATAAATAAATAAATAAATAAATAAATAAATAAATGAATAAATGTGGTCTATCCATGCAACGGAATACTATAAAATTATCAGCCTTAAAAAAGAAAGAAGCCCTGTCACATGCTGCAATATAGATGAACCTTGAAAACATTACACTAATTGAAATCAGCCCATCACACAAAGACAAATGCTGTACAATTTCTCTTACATTAGGTTCGAAATTAGTCAAACTCATAGAAACAGAAAATAGAGCGGTTGTTTCCATAAGCCAGGGGATAGAGAAATGGGGAGTTGTTGTATAGTGGCTATAGTTTCAGTTCTCCAAGAGAAGCAAGTTCTAGAAACTTGTTACTCAACATGTATATTTTTAACACTACTGCACTGTATACTTACAAGTGGCTAATATGGTAAATTTTATGTTGTGCCTTATCACCATAATGTTTTTAAAAGAAGGGGTTTGTGTTTCCCTTCGTTGTGATCACCCATTTTTCACTTCAGCATTTTGAACTTGAGATTTCCTGTAGCGGTTTTACTGAGCCCTGCAGTTACCGGCTCAGAATGTCTCCACCGCCTTGTAACCTTGTAGGCAGACACTTTTCAGCATCTTATTGGGCTCCGTGTGCTTGATGCTTAAAGTGACATGGAGACATGCCACTTGCTGAGAAGCAAAGAAAGGCAAAAGGTGACTGACTGCTTTCCTGGCATCGATGAAGGCAGAGAGAAGGGATCTTGGAGGCACAGATATTAAGCCATAAGCAATAACATGGGTTGCCAAAAAGAGAACTAACCCCTCTCCTGGTAACATTTCCAGGTGTTTTTCACAGGGCCAGTGGATTTCACAATGTGAGTGCTGTCCAGCACCAAAGGGAATGGCCAACAGGCATGGAGCAGCCTACAGCGTCCAGCACCCAGTAGGATGGCCAGGAGGCACGGAGCAGCCTGCCTGTCCCAGGAAAGCAGGAGTCACAGGACACAACTGGACCCAGGTAGGCATGTATGTTACTTTCCTGTGGCTGTTAGAGCAAATTACCAAAAATGTGGTGACTTAAAACAACAGAAATTTATTTTCTCACAGTTTTGGATATCAGAAGTCCAAAATCAGTATCACTGGGCTGAAATCTAGGTCTCAGCAGAGCCAGTGCTCTCAGAGGCTGAGGGGAAAATCCATCCTTTGACTTGCGCAGCTTCTGATGGCTGCTGGCATTCATTGGCTTGCAGCTCCACCACTCCAGGCTCTGCCTTCTTGGTCACAGGGCCTCCTTCTCTTCTGTCTGAAGTTAAATCTCCTTTATCTCCCTCTTATAAGGATATATGTGCCAGGATTTAATGCCCACGGAGACAATCCAGGATAATCTCTCTTCAAGATCCTTAACTTAATCATACCTGAAAATCTGCTTTTTCCAAATGAGGTAACATCTACATGTTCTAGGAGTTCCAGACCAGCCTGGACGACATGGTGAAACACGGTCTTTTTTTTTTTTTTTTTTTTTTTTTTTTGAGTGGAGTTTCGCTCGTTTTCCAGGCTAGAGTGTTTTCCGGTCTCGACTCACCGCGGCCTCCACCTCCCGGTTAGGTGGTTCTCCTGCCTAAGCCTCCTGAGTGGCTGGGATTGCAGGCATGAGCCACCATGCCAGCTAATTTTGGTGTTTTTTTTTTGTACAGACGGGGTTTCTCCGTGTTGGTCGGGCTGATCTCAAGCTCCTGACCTCGGGTGATCCACCCGCCTCCGCCTCCCTGGGTGCTGGGATTGCAGGCGTGAGCCACCGTGCCCCCGGTCCAATTTAGTAACCAGAAAGGAATAGATCGGCCTGGCGTGGTAGCTCATGCTTGTGATCCCAGTACTGTGGACGGCCGAGCGCGGCGATCGATTGAGCCTAGGACTTCCAGACCGGCCTGGGCAACGTGGTGAAACACTGTCTTTTTTTTTTTTTTTTTTGAGTGGAGTTTCGCTCGTTTTGCAGGCTGGAGTGCAGTGGCGTGGTCTCGACTCACCGCGGCCTCCACCTCCCGGGTTTAGGTGGTTCTCCTGCCTCAGCCTCCTGAGTGTCTGGGATTGCAGGCATGAGCCACCATGCCAGCTAATTTTGGTTTTATTTTTTTGGTACAGACGGGGTTTCTCCGTGTTGGTCAGGCTGATCTCGAGCTCCTGACCTCGAGTGATACGCCCGCCTCCGCCTCCCTGGGTGCTGGGATTGCAGGCGTGAGCCACCGCGCCCCCGGTCCAATTTAGTAACCAGAAAGGAATAGATCTGCCTGGCGTGGTGCCTCCCCCTTGTGATCCCAGGACTTTGGAAGGCCGAGTGTGGCAGATCGCTTGAGCCTAGGAGTTCCAGACCGCCTGGGCAACATGGTGAAACCCGGTCTCTGTTTTGAGACGGAGTTTCACCCTTGTTGTCCAGGCTGGAGTGCAATGGTGTGATCTTTGCCCACCGCAACCTCGGCCTCCCGGATTTAGGTGATTCTCCTGCCTGGGCCTCCCTAGTAGCTGGGATTACAGGCATGAGCCACCATATCCGGCTAATTTTGTAGTTTTTTTCTTTTTTTTAGTAGAGACGGGATTTCTTCATGTTGGTCAGGCTGGTCTCCGACCTCGGGTGATCCGCCCACCTCTGCCTTCCAAAGTGCTGGGATTGCAGGCCTGAGCCACTGCGCCCGACGGAAACCCAGAACGGAAAACAAAAGAAAAACCACAAAGATTAGCCGGCTGTGGTGGGCCGCGCAGGTAGTCCCAGCTACTCTGAAGGCTGATGGAGGAGGATTGCTTCACCCCGGCTTCTAGGTGGCAGTGAGCTATGATGGCGCTGCTGCACTCCAGACTGGGCGACAGAGCGGGACTCTGTGGCAGGAAAAGGGAAAGGAAAAAAAAAAGAAAAAGAATGTAAATAAAATTGCTAACTCAAGGAACAGCTTGACAGTATATTATTGCGACAAATAGAGGCAAAGGTTAGCAGACACCAGTGTTCACTTAGTGGGACCTGCGGGTGTTCCCCCCATAGGAGGCTGCTACTTTCCCACAAGAAATCCATTACTGACTACCGATAAAAGAACACATCGTAGGTTTCTTACAATATACAAATAGCTAAACTTTATATAGCCACGACCATATTCTAGCACTGCTCTAAGCCATTTCCTACTCTGAAATAGCTACTATTGTTACCTCCATTGTAGAGAAAACAGGTGCCGGAGGCTGTTGTGGAAGGCCCAGGGAAACTGACTATGAAATTGACTTGTTGTAAGTTTCAGACTTAAAAGTTCTTCCTGCTCTGCGCCTTACATTGCTACATTTTAGTTAAGGTACCTCTTACAATACTGGTCCTTTCTGTATTTGGAGGGACTTCTCTTGCAAATTGAAGTTTTTTCTTGCGCTAAGCATTTGGTCATGAGATTATCTGCGTTTTACATCAGTTTAAATACCTCTTTAGACATTGTTCAGTTAGGAATGTAAATAGGAGCTAACATTGTGTGTAAAAGGAAAGAACATCTGATTACAACCACTTTTGTTTCATAATACAAATATAAATCAATATGTTATTGGAAATGCAGGCTGGGAGGGGAGGGAAAATATGCATAGAGAAAAGCCCCATCTCTGCTTGGAGTTCAGCACTGGGTCTCTTTTTCCTTTCCACCTTCCTTGTCAAGGCTGCCACAGTGACAAGCACACAGGGGTGCCTTTAGTGACACCTGCTGCGACAGACCTGGCAGAACGGATTGCAGATTTGCATGTTTCCTGGCTGCCTCTGCTAGCCTGAGTCAGCAGCCCACTCCAATTCATGCTGAGCTTAGACAGCTCAGGTTTGCAAAATTATCCCTTCCCTTGGAGCAACCGCTTTCCAGTCTCCTCATCATTCCTAAAGGAGAATGACACACATGCCAGCATGACAGAGGTCCAGAAATTTATAGAAGCTTCATTGTGAGCCTATATCCTTAACAGGGGTTCAAACTACCAACACCGAATGAAGAGAGAGGTTTTGCAGTAAAGCAGGAAGTCATTAAAATAATGAATCACCCAGCTAGGTTTTGAGCTCCTTTCCCACCAATTTAATGGAAAGTTTTATTGTCTTTACAATGTACACTTTCATAAATTTTGCATAAATTTATTATTCACATCTTAACATAGGTAACTCCTTAGTGTTTGATCACTGAGCAAATTATATACAGCAAAACAATCCGATATTTTGGTGAACTCATAGCTTAGAAAATACTAAAGACTCATTGTAAACTGAGGGCAGCATTAAGCAAATTATATTTACCTTTGTGACTGCAAAACTTAATGATTCAATGCTTTTCCCATGAAATTTATCTTCCAATACTGATAGTTTTTTAAACAAAAAATATGAATTAAATATCAATTAAAATTTTATCATTGTTTTCAGAAACTGTGACTTCACTAGTTATGAACAGACTTGAAATGTATAGTTTTTAAGTTTGGAAATTCTTTGTAGTCTCATTTACTTTTCCAGGAAGGAAGTGAGATATTTTTTGCCACTGTTGCCTGGTTTTTGTTTGTTTTTTGATCATAAACAAAACTTAATGGAGCCTCAAATCTACTAACTCGGTCCTCCTCTGGCAATATGCCTTTTTCTGATTTCTAGATATCACTTGATATTTTTTAACACACTAATTTTATTATTTAAAAATTTATAAAAGTACTCAGAAGTAAGAGGCAAATTAAATTTGAAACCTTAGTGGTAATACCATCATCCAAAGTCATCATCAATAATATTTTGGCATATTTTATTTTAAAATACATTTCAGCACAGTTTAGTTATATTTGTTATATCTGTATCAATAAACTGTTTTCATATGTCATTACTTTTATGGATATAATTTTTGACGTGCGACTAATACGAAATCTTATATACTTGCTATAATTGACCTTGTGAGACATTTAGATTTTCAACTGTTTAGTACTTTAATAACCAGTTTTTATTCTAATATCATTATTAGAATAATATTACTATAGTATTATTATTATTGTAGCAATAACTTGTTTTTAGAATAAATATCCTATTTCTCATTTAACTTGATTGGATCCGTGCATGGACAATTATGTTGGGAACATAGAATGTAACTGGCCCTGTTTCAACCCCTTAGATGTGGCCCTCAGTTCAGGGAAGGGAGGAGTTCTCTACTGGGCTGATAAAGCAGAATTCAGAAACATTGTTTTCTTCTCTACCTGGTGTCTTACAAAACCAGAAGATGTGAGTGTGACTCTTAAAGGCAAGAGCATGTATATTATGCAAAAGCAGCCTGAAATATTTTATTCACAGACAGACAGACAATGCTTGACTCCCTGCTAATCTGAAATACTTCGTGGGGAGGGCCAGGGAAATCAAAACAAAATTTCAGAAGTAGAATGAGCTATTTGGTGTATGTCTCCAAGGCCAATAAATAACAAGAAGGAAAAATAAATTTCTTTGCTAACAACAAGAAGGAGAAATAAACTTTTTTGCTCTAAAATATTTTCCAATTATCTCCACGACACTGGAGGGAAGGACTAACAAAAAAAAAAAAAAAAGAAAGAAAGAAAGAAAAAAAAAAAGAAAAGGAAAAAAAGGTGGGGCATGGTGGCTCATGCCTGTAATCCCAGCACTTTGGGAGGCCAAGGCGGGTGGATCACAAGGTCAGGAGATCGAGACCATCCTGGCCAACATGGTGAAACCTGGCTCTACTAAAAATACACAAAATTAGCCGCAGGCACCTGTACTCCCAGCTACTTGGGAGGCTGAGGCAGGAGAATGGCATGAACCCGGGAGGCAGAGCTTGCAGTGAGCCGAGATGGCGCCACTGCACTCCAGCCTGGGGGACAGAGCGAGACTCCATCTCAAAAAAAAAAAAAAAAAAAAAATTAACCATCACAGAGGAGCAGAGAAAAACCTTCTCAAAGACAGAAGTCATTGATTTATTTCCATCCCGGCACAAGCCCCTTAATTCTGTAACTTGTCCAGAATGGTTTCCTGTCACTGTAGATTCTGCATCAGAACATCCTCTTATGCAAAGCTAAAAAACTCCAAACCACCTCTGTTAACTGTGCAGTGCTCCATGGTTTCACACAGTCCAGAGCTGCTTGTGTTTATCAAAAATGAAGCAGAAAACAAAATTCTTCCTTCACACAACCACTACATTCCATTGCACATTTACCAAAGACATTTACCACGTTGGCATTATTTGTGCATCCATCAAGAAGTGCTGAAAAGCATTCCCCTCACACACTGCATGTGTCCTGTGAGTGGATCTTCCATTTTACTTGCCAGTTCTGGAAAACTTTGAATTTGTGTGTCGATGGAAAATTAAAGTTTAGTAGCATCTTTGCCCCACATTCACCCAACTTTTCTAGGAACTATTTCAATGCTACTTTTCACTAGTGTCACTTTTCAGTCTTAGCCTCCTGGAGTACAACTTTATTAGAAGCCCGCAAAGCACTAGTGTTAAAATGAGAAATAGTAAACATCTGATTCTGTTGTGTTTTAACTCCATGCTTTTCTCTAATGTTTCATTGTTTTGAATTTAATTCTTTGTGCTTCCCACGTGAATGCAACTTACAGTTTGAATGTCTTCTTTCTTCACTAGCCGATGCATCTGTGCCAGTAACACACGGTGATTCTGTCCTTTCACCTTCAGTTATGCCTGTAAAACCAAATTCAAGACAGATGATCCTCAACTCACAAAGGAGTTATAGCTCATCATCAGTTGAAAATATAAGCCGAAAATGCATTTAAGGCCGGGTGCAGTGGCTCAGCCTGTAATCCCAACTCTTTGGGAGGCTGAGGCGGGTGGATCACCTGAGGTCAGGAGTTAGAGACCAGCCTGGCCAACATGGTGAAACGCTGTCTCTACTAAAAATACAAAAATTAGCCAGGCATGTTGGTGCGCACCTGTAATCCCAGCTACTGCGAAGGCTGAGGCAAGAAAATCGCTTGAACCCAAGAGGCAGAGGTCGCAGTGAGCCGAGATCATGCCATTGCACTCCAGCCTGGGTGACAAGAACAAAACACACTGTCTCAAAACATAAAATTAAATTAAATTAAATTAAAATGCATTTAATACACCTAAGCTAACATCATAGCTTAGCCTAGCTTACCTTAAACATTCTCAGAAAATTTACATTCACCTTCCATTGGGCAAAAATTCTCTCTCACAAACCCACTTTAAAGTGTTGAATATCTCATGTAATTTATTGAATACTGAAGTATGGTTTCTGCTGAATGCGTATCACTTTCACACCATCATAAAGTCAAAAAATTATAAGTCAAACCATTGTATGTCAGGGATCATCTGTCCATTAGAAATAGTACTTCTGAGTAAAACGAGGACAAACTCCTTTGGTCTTCATGTCCTCAGAATCACTTTCATAATCATCTCTTGGTTTACAAGGTGCATCTTTTATTGGTTAAAAAAATTAATACAATTTATTTCACTCTCAAATTAGGTTTAATAATAAATAATACAACTTTCTTTTGTTTTCACTAATAATGCTAACATTGGCTTGATTTAAAATTAATATTGCAAAAATAAGACTTTATAGAATAGATGTTCCCATTTTTCAGATGTGTGAGATTATACTATAGTTGACAAACTAACCTTAAAGAACGCAGCTTGCAATGTGGTCCTTGTGTATGTGACTCGTTTGCAGCTCACAGCCTCTGCATCTTTCCATCGAGTCTGACAAAACCTGAGTTGGTCTGTAACTGCTCATTGAGACAAGTCCCCTGATGTCACATGCTGGGAGAATGTCAAGTTTCTATAGAAATTTCTAAACATTTACCCTGAATTTCTATGTTTCTATCATTACATAGAGATGACAGAGTGTTGACAGACTTTGAGTGGTCTTTAGTAACCAATTGTTGAAAGTCTGGTTTAGCTAAACTAGTTTGTAAGTACCTCGGCAGGTGCCTTTGCTGTAGGAATTCTCAGAGTCTCTATAAACTAATGAGCATTGGAAATCTGCAGGGGGGAAACAGAGTATGCAGTATCCCCCATGATGATTCAACCCCAGATTTTATTTTTCACTGAGCATCTCACACTTAGTAGTGTATCTTTTCTATGCATTGGGCACTGGGAGACGACGTGTTGTCATCTCAACAGAGACCTGGCCTTCAGACGCCACCACTCACTGCCGCTCTGTCCAGGCGAGCATCAACTTGCACTGTTTCAGAAGCAAAAGGAAAATGAACCGCAGCCACTGAAGTCCCTCAGAACTGAGGAAAAGTTACTGACTTTCCTGATTTGTGTTCAGTCTGGCTGGCCATGGGTACAGACACAGCTGGTTTCCCCATTTGTGAGCTGGACGGATTTAATTCCTGGCTGTTTGAATGATGTATCCCCTCATCAGTGAAACCAACAGAGTAGCTCAACTTAATTTTCTCTTTCTATGGCATGCCATTTATACCCATTCAATTATGCCTGTGTCAATTAAGTCAAACATTCTTACTGTCTCTATTTCTAATAAAAAGTGGTAAACACTCGAAAACCCCTTTCATAAATAGGCATGTATAAAAGCAATGTTCTTAATAAAAATGTTGGACTTAATAAAAGTATTTTAAAAAACAGTAGGAACCATAGTATAATAAAGGCCTTAGCCGGGCGTGGTGGCTCACACCTGTAATCCTAGGACTTTGGGAGGCTGAGGCGGGCAGATCACGAGATCAGGAGATCGAGACCATCCTGGCTAACACGGTGAAACCCCATCTCTACTAAAAACACAAAAAATTAGCTGGGCGTGGTGGCAGGTGCCTGTGGTCCCAGCTACTCGGGAGGCTGAGGCAGGAGAATGGTGTGAACCCAGGAGAGGGAGTTTGCAGTGAACAGAGATTGTACCACTGAACTTCAGCCTGGGTGACAGAGCGAGACTCCGTCTCAAAAAAAAAAAAAAAAAAAATATATATATATATATATATATAAAGGCCTCATTTTGCAGGTGAGGACACTGAAGATTATAGAAGAAAGAAGGGCTTCATGCAAAACCACGTTCCTGATTGTTGGCGGAACCAAGCCCACAACCTGGAACTCAAGTTTCTCTACTTATAGTAGACGCTCAAAGAATTATAATACTTTATAACAACGTCATAATCATTTGACATTTCTAAGCTGGTCATGTTTTCTTTCATGTGTACTTCTCCCCTCTCAACAATTACCGTGCCCTTGGCAATTTAATAAAGCAGGATAATATTCAACTCAGTGACCTACAGCTTGACAAGCATCTCCTGCTCCCAGAAAACAGAAGGTGTTGCTGTCAAACTAATACTAAATAATAATTTTCTGTAGTCCTAGAGCCTCTGGACTTCCCAATTACACGGCCAATAAACCCCCTCATTGTCTGAGCCAGTCTGAGCTGGGCAGCCTGACTGAAGTCTGGAACATCCTAACTGGCACAAAGGCCCTTAAGATGACCCCAAGCCACCTGTCTGGCTTTCTCTCTTGTCACTTCCTTCTACATCCTCTCTGCAACAACCAAATTAGATTACTCACCATTCCCCACACTGCCTTGTGATTTTCTTTCTTTCTTTTTTTTTTTTTTTGATGAAGTTTTATTCTTGTTGCCCAGGCTGGAGTGCAGTGGTGTGATCTCAGCTCACTGCAATCTCTGCCTCCTGGGTTCAAGTGATTCTCCTGCCTCAGCCTCCCGAGTAGCTGGAATTACAGGTGCCCAGCATCATGCCCAGCTAATTTCTGTATTTTTAGGAGAGACAGGGTTTCACCATGTGGGCCAGGCTAGTCTCCAACTCCTGACTTCCGGCGATCCACCTGCCTCGGCCTCCCAAAGTGGATTTTCTTTTTTTACCCATGCACTTGCCCAAGCTGACTTTCTGGCTCAAACCTTTCCCCTGGCCTTGCATCCTCTCTATCCATCTGCCCAAACCTCCCTCACTCTCCAAAGTCTCATTTCAAATGTTGCCTTTCCCTGAAGCTTCTCCCGGAATGACCCATCTCTCCCTCCTCATTCTGATCATTTCCTCTTTGAATTCCCGTAGTGTTAGGTATGCCCTCCTCTTCCAGCACTGAATCCAGCCTTGCCTCGCATTAGAGTCATTTGTACACCTGACCTTAATCCCCCTGAGGGCAGGGATAGTTTGTGTTTATCCCAAAGTCCTGAAACAACTAGTACAGAACCTGAGACACAGGAAGGCCCCAGAATTGCCTGCCGAATAGAACAGTGATAGTGCTGAATTTGGTTCCTCCTTTAACCTGTGTGACCCCAGACGTTTGTTTTCTATGAAGCCTCAAAACATGGTTATGTTTCCTAATTTACAACGAACACATGGAAACCCATGTTTTGAAAACGGGGGTGGGGAGGATGAACTGAAGGCAGCCTCTTCAGCCAAGTTCCAAAGGCCAGGTGGCCCACTGTGAACCTTGTTTAACCACACAGAACATATGAATAGCTACAACAAGGGATCTAACAGTTACCAGAATGTTTTCAGAAAGGTGACTTCAGAAGTGCCAAGCTTCAGGAAGACCTGGACTGAGAAGGGATCAGACAACTTTAGGAAAGCAGGTACCAAACAGCCCTTTTACAGTTTACACACAGGCCTTGGTGTCAGAAAAATACTGGTTTGAGTACTGGTTATGCATCAGAGATGCCACTCTGGACAAGCTCCTTATGCTCTCTGGGACTCTGCTTTCTCATCTAAAAAATGGGGATCACCTGAGGTCAGGAGTTTGAGACCAGCCTGGCCAACATGGCAAAACCCCATGCCTGCTAAAAATACAAAAATTAGATGGGTGTGGTGGCTCGCACCTGTACTTGCAGCTACTTGGGAAGCGGAGGCAGGAGAATTGCTTGAACCTGGGAGGCAGAGGTTGCAGTGAGCTGAGATCGCACCACTGCACTCCAGCCTGGGCAACAGAGTGAGACTCTGTCTCAAAAAACGGGGCGGGTGGTGGTGGATAATAATAGTGCCTACCTCAAGAGGTTGCTGTGAACACCAGAAGAAGCAATACACACCAAGTGCCTACAGATAGTAAGCACTTGGTAAAAATGTAACTGCCATTAACAATAAATATGATGCTCACAGGGTCAGTGGAAAAAGTAGTGGAAAGTAGGAGTGGTGGGAACAGAACAGGAAGGAACAAAGCACCTCTGAGTAGACCTTTCTGTATAGCTCCGACTCTCCGACTCTTATTATGTTTCACCCTAATAATTCATTAAAACTAGGATAGGAAGGCTGAGGGTGTTTTTGGAATACAAACACTAATGAACCAAACTGCATTATAAATAGTGGCCACACTGAAAGGGATGAAGAAGAAAGTAACTACTTTTTTTTTTTTTTTTTAGACAGAGTCTCCCTTTGTTGCCCAGGCTGGAGTGCAGCGGGGCTATCTCAGCTCACTGCAATCTCTGCCTCCTGGGTTCACGCCATTCTCCTGCCTCAGCCTCCCGCAGTAACTGGGACTACAGGCGCCCGCCACCACACCCAGCTAATTTTTTGTATTTTTAGTAGAGACGGGGTTTCACCATGTTAGCCAGGATGGTCTCGATTTCCTGACTTCGTGATCTGCCTGCTTCGGCCTCCCAAAGTGCTGGGATTACAGGCTTGAGCCACCGCGCCCGGCCCCCCCGCTCCATTTTTTTTTTTTTTTTTTTGAGACGGAGTCCCGCTCTGTTCCCCAGGCTGGAGTGCAGTGGCACAATCTCAGCTCACTGCAAGCTCCGCCTCCCTGGTTCAAGCCATTCTCCTGCCTCAGCCTCCCAAGTTGCTGGGACTACAGGCACCCGCCACCACGCCCTGCTAATATTTTTTGTATTTTTAGTAGAAACGGGGTTTCACCGTGTAAGCCAAGATGGTCTCGGTCTCCTGACCTTGTGATCCACCCACTTTGGCCTCCCAAAGTGCTGGGATTACAGGCGTGAGCCACCACGCCTGGCCTCCCCCTGCTTTACTTGTATTAACCAAATATTTATGAGTCTATCTATCAAGCGTTCAAATTATTTTACATGTAATCGCCAATCTCCAGAAAATAAATGGGACCACAACAAATTTACCCTAATTTCTGCAGCGAGCATAAATAATTGCTTTCAAGGGATGCTTGAATGAAATTACTATCCTGACTGTAGGGGCAGGGGCTTGGTGAAGATTTGTCCTTTGTGAGTAATGAGAAGAGTATACTTGGATATAAAAATAGTGAAGAGATAAGTAGTTTTAAAAAAAACGCTAAATTCCATGTTTAGCAAAGTTAATGAGCCCTAAATTCCTAAAGCTGAGTATTAGTGTGTAAATGAGTACTCCAAACCAACAGAGAATAACCTTGTAATTCATGGATATTTAGCTAAAACTTCATATGTTCTCATCATTCTGTGTCTCCTAGTTTTAGTTCAAACAGATGTTTTCACTCCTAAAAGACTCAAAATTTCTGACAATGCCCTTTATTAATGTTACTTTTTGAGAAATCACTTATTAAGTAAAAATTAAATTTACATTTTTCAAAATTGCATGTTGGGTTAATTTACCAAATCTTTTATCTGTTTTGTGTTTCCAGTTAGCCATTTTTGTTTCTGATTTGTAAATATTCAAAAATATTTGTTGAAATTACAAATTTTATTAATTGATTTTTGAGGGGAGTAGGGTGCGTTAGTTACTTTTCATTTAAATTCTGTGGTGTTTTTGCATATTCAAATTATTGTATTGTGAATAACCTGAAAGACAGTAGCTATATGATCGTTTGAGGTAATGGTAACAATACTCAAGGGTTGAAAAGATATGATTTTAAGTATGAGCTAAGGAGACTGCCCTTTATGTAACTACGGGATGATGTGAAAATCTGTTTTAACAGCATGATTAAATTTGGAATTCTTTTTTTTGAAGTTTTGTAAAAGGGAGGCAGAAGTTTAAGGGAAAAAGTTGGCCAGGTAAACTTGGATAGTTTTAGATCTATTAGTGACAGAATACTCAAGCTCTTGAAAATAGGAAAAGTTGTTCTTGCCATGTCAAAGGACAAGGGCTGCCATATGCTAATCACTGTATCTTTACTCAGATCCTATAAAATGATTTGTACAGAGAAGGGATTTAGTAAATCTTTACTAAATTAATGTTAGATGATGGAATGGATCATTGCGGCTGAAGGAGAGAGTAGTGAAAATGAGGATATTAGGAAAGGAAGTGGATGATTTGCTCAGATGTTGTTAAATTAGGTTTTGATAGAAAAAACCTGGAAAAAAAAAAAAAACGACAACAGCCTGCATGACTTCTTAAAGCCCCCACCTCTCAATACTGTTTCAATGGCAATTACATTTCACATGAGTTTGAAGGGGAACTTAAAACCATAGCAAAGAGCACATTATATTCGTTGTTTCTGTGTAGTGCTGCTCTTTACCAGGCTAATAAATCCTGGTAGACATGCAAGAGCTTGCTCTTAATCCAAAATAAACAAAATGTGTTTTACTGAGAAAATTGCAGACATATCAAAGGGTAGTTTGACAGCACGGGTACAGAATACTATCAAGACATTTTCTTCTGTTTTACATACATGGGTAATTCTTGCTTGAATGCAAGAGGGCTGAATACCAGCTTTATTTAATATATTTTGTGTCAACTTCTGTATACAGATTTTTTTTTCTTGAGGTGAGAGAAGAGGAAAGAGGAGAACGTTAATTCCAGATAGCTTTAAGCAAATGTTAGAAAGGCGAACATTTATAGGTTTCCAAATATCTTTTGGCTAGCTGACATTTACAAACACGGAGCTAGGTAAGCTTTTCCCCCTAGCAATATTAAGGCTCTGGCAGCAAGTAAAGGATATGTGAAGTGAAATATGCCATTCAAACATAGTAAAGAAGAAGACTGTTTGTAACCACCGTTGGTGAAAATCACGAGAACCAAGTCTTTCTTGTTATTTTAAACATCCTATAAAAGCATTGCAAAAGTTTATATTGCTGGTTAAAATATTTGGGACTATTTTGTCCATTTCCACACCTTACTTTAAGGTCCAGGCATTTGTTGAGAGGGAAATTGCCTATTTAACTGAAGGAACAATATGTTTTAAATTACTGAGAGTACTCTGTTGAAACTTAATGAGAACAGAAAGCAGCATTAATAAGAAAAATAGTATTTACAAAGATTGCTTAAGGATGCAAGCTGGGTACCAACTAATTGTAATTCTTTAATTTCGGTATGCGTGCAACATCCCATGTGTATGAAAACAAAATGTGTATTTCCAAGCAGTATGTTTTAGGATCAGAGAATTTCAACCAAATATTAAATTCTCAAATCGTATGCAAACAAGTGTCAATCATGGCTTTAACATGACAGCTGGAGGAAAAAATTCAAGCAACATGTGTAGATAATTGTGGTTAATGTTTATCTGTACATAGGAAGATACTTCAGATGTGTAAGTATGCAAATAACTCTCGGATTTCTAATTACTGTATTTATCAAGTTCTATATGCTGTCTAAATTCAGAAATGAAAGCAATTTTAAAATAGCATGCATATTATAATTACAATATTAAATTGAGCTCAACTTTCCTAGCTATTCTCTGCCTTTCTGTCTGCCTCTGCCTATGTCTCTATCTCACACATGTATGTGTGTATGTGTATATATACCCTCACTTGTGAACATATATTCATAACCACATGTATAAACACACAGTATAAAAGGATATTAGAAAAGGAAGTGGATGATTTGCTCAGATTTTGTTAAATTAGGTTTTGATAGAACAAACCTGAAAAAATACGTTAAAACATATGAGGACATATACCAAAATATTATCAGTAGTTAATTTTAAGACAAGCCTGATGGGTCATTTTAATTTTCTACTTTTTACCTGTCTGTTTTGATTGCAACTTTAAAAATAAGCCTGTGTTACTTTTTAAAGAGAAAGAGAGAGAGAGCAAGATTTGCCTGTTTTGGAAAATTGTTTTAAAGGAACACCACAGGAAATGAAGTCATTCTTAAGTGCCTGCCATTTATATCTAAAAATGGTTTTCAGTAATGGGATAGTTCTAGTATCAGTAGGGAGATCCATTATCACATGCAGATTTAACCTTGTTGTTGCAGGCCAGAAATATTTAAAACCATTTAACTGACTTGAAGAATTCTTCAATTTTTGAAAATATATTTCAAAAGAAAAACTTTCCAGTTAATTTATGAAGTTAACAAAATATTGATTCTAAATGGTATATTTATAAAATTTTATTCTGTAATTGGTTATTGGTAGTGTAAGGAAATAAAATAGACTTTTATGTGCTCATATTGTAACCAGTGATCCTGATAGCTATATTTAGTTATTCGTTCTAATATTTTATTTTAGATATTCTACATATACAATAATGTCCTTAGCAAATAATGACCTGTGTATTTCTTTCTTGCTAATTCTTACTTTTTTTTTCTTATTGAACTGAATAGGGAATTTTGTTTCTGATCCCATAAGGAAAGCTTTCCATATTTCCTTATTAATTATAATATTTTTGTAAGATTTTATGATTATCTTTCACCAGATTAAATACATTTCATTGTTGTTTGCATATTAAAAAATATATTCTGCATCTGTTGAGATGAGATTTTCTTCCATATTGTTAATATAGTGAATTACAATAATTGATTTTGTGATATTAAAATAATATTTTATTATTGAAACACAATTTGTTTTTAATTTACTGTACTTTTTAAAATTAAGATATAATTCATACACCATAATATTTGTCCTTAACAAGGATGCAACTCAGTGATTAGTATATTCAGAAGGTTATGGTATAATCACTGCAAATTCCAGAATAATTTCATCACTGAACAACAACAAAAAAATCCTGTGTCTCTTATTAGCCAGTCCTTGTTTGCTCTTCTCTCTAGCCCCTGGCAATCACTGATCTACCTTCTGTCTCTATAGATTTGCTTTTTCTGGGCATTTCATATAAGTAGAATTATAGAATATGTGACATTTTGTGTCTGGCATTTTTCACTTAATGTTTTCATGATTCATACATGTATCATGTATCAGTAGTTCATTCCTTTTATGGCTAAATTATATTCCATTGTATGGATATACCACTTTTTGATTATCCATTCATCAATTGATGGACATTTGCACTGTCTTTATGGCCATTACAAATAATGTTGCTATAAACATTTGTGTCCAGGTTCTTTGTAGACATGTTTTTCATTCTTTGGGAGATATTCCTAAGGAGTAGAATTGTCCAGTCATTTGATAACACTGTTTAACTTTTTTTTCTTTTCTTTCTTTCTTTTTCTTTTTTTTTCTGAGACAGAGTCTCACTCTGTCGCCCAGGCTGGAGTGCAGTGGCGTGGTCTCAGCTCACTGCAACCTCCGCCTCCTAGGTTCGAGCAATTCTCCTGCCTCAGCCTCATAAGTAGCTGGAATTACAGGTGCCTGCCACCACGCCCGGGTAATTTTTGTATTTTTAGTAGAGATGGGTTTTCACTGTGTTGGCCAGGCTGGACTCAAACTCCTGACCTCAGGTGATCCTCCCGCCTTGGCCTCCCAAAGTGCAACTGCAAAATTGTTCCTACCATGGCTGCATCGTTTTGCGTTCCCACCAGCGATTTATGTGGGATTGTTTCCACATTCTCAAACATACTTGTTATTTTCTTTTTGATCATAGTATGAAATGGTATCTCCTGGTGGTTTTGATTTGCATTTCTCAAATGACCAATAATGTTGAGTATCTTTTCATGTGCTTCTTGCCTATTGTGTATCTTTTTTGGAGAATTTTCTACTCAAATCATTTCTCCATTTTAAAAATAGGTTATATGTTTTTTTATTATTGAGTTGTAAGATACATATTCTGAATACAAGTCTTTTAGAAGATGTATGATTTGCAAAATTGTTCTCCCATTCTGTAGGTTGTCTTTTCCCTTCCTTGGCTTTTTCTTTTAAAGAAAAAATTTAGTTTTAATTAAGCATAATATAGCCCCCTTTTTTTTCTTTTGTTGCTTGTAATTTGGTGCTATATCTAAGAAACTATTGTTTAATCTAAGGTCATGAAGATTTTGCTTATGTTTTCTTCTATGAGTTTTTTACTTCTAGGTCTTACATTTAGGTTTTGATCAACTTTGTGTGTAAGGTAAGGTCAGAATCCAACTTCGTTTGTTTGCATGCATATGTACAGTTGTCCCAACACTATTTGTTGACAAGACTACTATTTCCCCTTTGAATTTTCTTGGCATCCTTTTAAAAATCAATTTCTCATAAATATAAGGTTTATTGATTAATGCTCAATATTATTTCATTAAATTTATATGTCTATCTTTATGCTAATGCAACACCGAATTAATATAGTTTGGTAGAAAATTTTCTGTTTCAAGACTGTTTAGACTGTTCTGGGTGCTTTGCTATAGTAGTTTCCTGTTCCTGATGTAACATCTTACTACAAAGTTATGCCTAAAAAATCACAGCTTTATCATCTTAATGTGTGCATGTGTGCGTGCGTGTGTGGATTCCTTAGGATTTCCTGTATGCATAAATATTTCTCCATATATATCTATATACAAATTCTTTATACCTCATGGCATCTCCATATAGAGATAGTTATATTTCTTTCTTTTTAATCTTCACCCCAGGCTACTATCCAATTGAATAAAAGGTGGTGCTACTATTGAACATGCGATAGAATATTAACTTTGTAAACTGACTTGAAGTCTCCCTGGGTGAATGCTAACCCTCTCATATATAATAATGGCTTCATTTACAAAATGTATAACATGATGACTACCAAATTATTTCTTCAGCCTTCACTTTTATCCAGAACTGCCAAATCTGAATCTAATTCCCATTTAGGATTGCCACAGGTATGTTCAAAATAGTACTTTCTTTTTCTCATAAGATTCTGCCTTATGTCTTGAATTTATACTCTAGGTAAATGTTGTAAGCAGAATAAAAACCCCCAAAGATGCTCACACTTTAATCCTTGAGACCTGAATATGCTGTATTACCTGACAAAAGAGACTTTGCAGTTAGAATTATGAATATTAAAATGAGGACCGTATATGAGTCCAATCTAATCACTATGAGCCCTTAAAAGCTGAGACCATGTGCAGTTGATTTCTGAGAGACGGGGCAGGAGGGAAAGGCAGAGATATTTGAAATGTTCGTGCTGCTGGAAAGGCCCATGAAAAAAGCATAAGGAACAGGGACAGTCTAGGAGGAAAGGCTGGTCCCAGCTGACGGCCAGCAAGGAAATGGGGACTGCAATAATACCTACTCAAGGAACTAAGTGTGGCTAACAATCTGAACAAACGTGGAAGCAGACCTTTCCTCAGAGCCTCCAATAAAAAATGCAAGAGTGTGGCTGGGCGCGGGGGCTCACACCTGTAATCCCAGCACTTTGGAAGGCCGAGGCGGGCAGATCACGAAGTCAGGAGATCAAGACCATCCTGGCTAACACGGTGAAACCCCGTCTCTACTAAGAAAAATACAAAAAAATTAGCCAGGCATGGTGGCGGGCGCCCGTAGTCCCAGCTACTCTGGAGGCTGAGGCAGGAGAATGGCGTGAACCCGGAAGGCGGAGCTTGCAGTGAGCCGAGATCGCGCCACTGCCCTCCAGCCTGGGCGACAGGGCGAGACTCCGCCTCAAAACAAACAAACAAAATGCAAGAGTGATGGAGTCAGTGCATTACTACCTGAATACAACACACTTTTCAAGCTACATAAACTTCATGCTTTCCTCGTTTTATAAAAGTCATCTCCTCTGCCTTGAAAACTCTCCCCATTGTTATTAATCTGCCTGAAAATTTATCTTCATCCTCAAGTGTCTACTCAAATGGTCTATTAAATGAGTTCTTCCCAGATGATCCCAGATAATGAGTACCACTTTTTAAAATTAGATTTCTAGATACTTTCATTATTGTAATCCACTTTTATAGGAAATTTTTGTTGTTGTGTATCTCCTTACTAAACGAACATTTTTTTGTTTTTGAATCTGCATCAATTGTTGAACACATATAGAATATATTAAATACATACAAGCTAATGAAGTAACACATGAATGCATCTCATACCACTTATCCTAAAACAACCATTTTTTTCTTTCATTCTGTCAAATACTTTTTCTCTAATATCCTATACTTTTGTTACTATTCATGGATTTTATCTATTTATAGTTATTTTCTTACTGATATGCAATTATTTTCTATGTATAGTGTATCACATATCTTGCAAAATTTTGTTTGGTTTGCATAATATCTTTTTATTTTATTGTGAATGATATTATAGAACTTTACAGATGAAATAAAATCTGTCGGCCGGCTGCGGTGGCTCGTGCCTGTAATCCCAGCACTTTGAGAGGCAGAGGCGGGCAGATGACGAAGTCAGATCAAGACCATCCTAGGCCAACATGGTGAAACCCTGTCTCTATTAAAAATACAAAAATTAGACGGGCGTAGTGGTGCGTGCCTGTAGTCCCAGCTACTTAGGAGGCTGAGGCAGGAGAATTGCTTGAACCCGGGAGGCGGAGGCTGCAGTGAGCCGAGATCGCGCCACTACACTCCAGCTTGGGCTACAGAGGCAGCCTCTGGAAAAAAAAAAAAAAATCTGGCTAGGCGCGGTGGCTCACGCCTGTAATCCCAGCAATTTTGGAGGCCGACGCGGGCGGATCACGAGGTCAGGAAATTGAGACCATCCTGGGTAACACTGTGAAATCCCATCTCTACTAAAAAAATACAAAAAATCAGCCGGTGGGCACCTGTAGTACCAGCCAGTCCGGAGGCTGAGGCAGAAGAATGAGGTGAACCCGGGAGGCGGAGCTTACAGTGAGCATAGATAGCACCTCTGCACCCCAGCCTGGGCGACAGAGCGAAGACTCCGTCTCAAAAAAAAAAAAAAAGGCATTTATATGTCCATTCTTCCACTTATGCAGCCCTACTTAATTATTGTCATTACAAAATGATGCTTATCCTTCTGCTAAATTTCTCTGAGTATTTCTAATATTTATGCTTACAGATAAAATTGAATTATTTTTAATCAAAGTCCAAAAATACATCATTAAATTTATTTTTTCAAAAGAAAAGACAAAAATTTTTTTAATTTATCCAATGCTCCTTTTAAATCCCTAATGGAAAAATACATTTTATTCATTCATTATATATAATGAATTCATTTTATTGAATTAATAAAATGATTTTATTAATGAATAAAATGTATATATAATGAATGAATAAAATGTATATATAAATATATTTATATTTATTTTTAATGAATTTTTGGCTAATTTTTTGCTAATTTTATTTTTATTATTATTATTTTTTTTGAGACGGGCTCTCTCTCTGTGCCCAGGCTAGAGTGCAGTGGTGCGATCTCGGCTCACTGCAACCTCCGTCTCCTGGGTTCGAGCGAGTCTTCTGCCTCAGTTTCCCAAGTAGCTGGGACTACAGGCATTTGCCACCATGCCCAGCTAATTTTTGTATTTTTAGTAGTGAGGGGGTTTCACCATATTGGCCAGGCTGGTCTTGAACTCCTGACCTTGTGATCCACCCATTTCAGCCTCCCAAAGTGCTGAGATTACAGGCGTGAGCCACCATGCCCGGCCACTAATTTTTTTTTTTTTTTTTGAGACAGAGTCTCCCCCTGTTGCCCAGACTGTGGTGATGTCATTGCAACCCCCACCTCCCACGCTCAAGTGATTCTTGTGCCTCAGCCTCCCGAGTAGTTGGGATTACAGGCATGTGCCACCACAGCCGACTAATTTTTTTTATTTTGCAGTAGACAGGGTTTCTCTATGTTGGCCAGGCTGGTCTTGAATTCCTGGCCTCAAGCGATCTGCCCACCTCGGCCTCCCAAAGTGCTGGGATTACAGGCATGAACCACCATGCCCAACCAAGAGTTAATGTTTCTTTTAAAATAAATCAAAAGAGCAAAACTTATCTGACAGCAATTGACAAAAGAAAACAGCAGTCTACTATTAAACATAATAAAATTTAAGGCAAAATTATTTTATTTGGGATTTTGGATTTCCTTGTGTTTTCTCATCTTACTTAAACCTGCTTCCTTTCTATGCCTGCACTTCTCACCATCACTTTTCCCACTACAAGCTTACTGCTCCAGTTTTTTAAAAAGTCATGGCTCTTCTGTCTTTTTTAGTGTAAAAAGGGGAAATTTTCTAATTTTCAGTTTCTTGTGTTACATTCTTTTCATAAGTACATTCTTTTTGAATCCTAAATATTTCGTTGTTAGATGATTGTTCAAAATCAGTTTGCTCATTCATGACTATAGAAAGATGTAGATTTAAGCCCTGGTTTTTGCAACAGAAAAGCCAGATGGCCCACAGCTTATCCCAGTTTCTACTTGAACACAATAAGCTTTCTTTTTCTCTCAACTTTATCCAGGAAGAACCATTTTATATACAGATTTCTGATCCAGTCTCCAGGGTTTCCAAGGCATTAATCAAGCATGGCTTTACTGGACAAATGTAGGGCCTTCTGTGTCTTTAATACTGGACTTTCTATGCCAGACAGTATCTTTGTTCTAGTTCTTCTTTGCACTGTTCATATCTCACTGGTTTAGATATAATTGCCTGCTGCAGCGTGATGACTTCCCTCCGTGAATCTTCCTCAGTTTCATTATTGATGGTATACCATGTACATGAGACAAAGATTTCTTTACTCTTCTTGAGGTCTCTCTATGCTGTTTGGTTCAGATAATATGGAGTTACCCATTGTAAACTCATTTACAGTGAAGTCAGTTGTAGCACTGATCTAGTTTGGCTGTGTCCCCACCCTAATCGCATCTTGAATTGTAGTTACCATAATCCCCATGTGTCGTGGGAGGGACCCAGTGGGAGGTAACTGAATCATGGGGGCTGTTACCCCCATGCTGCTGCTCTCGTGATAGTGAGTTCTCGTGAGATCTGATGGTTTTATATGGGTCTTTTCTCTCTTTGCTCTGTATTTCTCCTTCTGCCATCATGTGAAGAAGGATGTTGTTTGCTTCCCCTTCTGTTCCCCTTTTTTCCTTTATTTATTGATTCGAGTGTCATTCAGTTCAACATAAATTTTGTGAACAGCTGGTGTATGGTCAGCCCAAGGCTAAAACATTGTAAATGAATACATGGAGGACAGAAGTTTTGTGAACAGTGGGAGCAGAAGGCAAATCGCTGTAGACAGAGGAGAGAGCAAGAATGGACAACTTGCAAGAAGTTGAGCTATGTAGACAATGGGGTAAGAAAGCCAGGGGTGTTAGAGGAAGAGAAGTGCAAGTTGGATACCATAGCTTATAATGAGAATAGGAATTGGTAAAAATGTCAAGACAGGAGAAATCATATATGTTTAGAGGTTTAGTAGAGGAGCCATTTGACTTCTCTGTTCTTTTTGAGAAAGACGTGAATTGACAGAGATATAGGGAAAGTGTATTTGAAGTACAAGCAACAGCATGTATCTGGAAAACCAAAACACGGAGGGCATAAGTATGGGGGAACTGTGAATATTCCAACTTTGGCCACAACATTGGGTAGATACCATAGTTGCCCAGTAATGAAAACTTGTCTGAAAATGTATGTTTATGTCACACTGAGATAAAGAAGTATGTAATTAATTGGTTTATTTTAATCCCAATTATTGATTTTCCTGAATTATTGAGTATCATGAGACAATGGCCCATCTTAAGAAGTTCTAAGGAAGGTAGACTAATATGCAGGAAGGTATTTGTAACCCTCGAAACCCATTGGAGACACCTCACTAATGTATGGTAACCAGAATAATAGGAGGGTAGGAACTACGCCAATAATCAAAGTGATCCCTCCGCACGCCACTACCTAACTTCTTCAGCTTTGCTTAAACTTTGTCATCTGCTTGTGTGGCAGCAACTTCCTCCTAATAGTGTATGTTTACACTGAGTATTGGCACATAGTTTCTGCATCGTATAGAATTAAATTTCCTGTTTATTTTTAATTTTTGCTTTGTATTGTATTGTACTTTGGTTCACTTGTTTGTGTTTAGTCCAGATCATGATTCTAACCGGTTATAAAAATTTTGTGCATATGCTTCTTTTGAAATTTGTTTCTTGTTTGTATATCCACAGAATCCTTGAAAGATTCCTTTACCCAATGCCAAAAGAAATCCACTTAATACATTCCGCTGAGGCCTTTATATTAGTACACGTTAACTTTAAGTTGGAATATGCCACCGTGTGACATACTTTATGTGACAAGAAAAATGTTCTTAGAAAAGATTCTCATCTCAAGCAAGCTTTATACTGGAGACATTGTTTGCAATATCAGACTTCACTATTTTCAGCTCACAGTTTACTAAAGAGGATAATTGGAGAGGCATTCTAACATTAGTGGAGAAAAAGGCACTTGATGTTCATGACACTTGATAACAGAACCTCTGTATTTCTTAGTCTCTAGCACCATTTCATAGAATGAACTAAGTTATCAGAGGAGAGGAGATACACATTCGACCCAATTCTAAAAATTTAATATAATCAATATTTACTTATAAGGTACATTAATTATATTAATACATGGCAAGTCTCAAGATAAATTCTGAATAAAAATTTTTCAGTTAAATGTTGCAAATAATTTTTATCATTAAATTTTAAATACACAGATTATCTGTGTAACATATTAAAATGTATGTCATATAATGACAAAGGATTTCTCTATTGGAACATCTTTTATTTCACTGGCTTATTATTATTTCTGGTTGGTAAGTTTAAAAGACTACAATCTTTAATTTTATTTAGTTAAATGATTTGTTGTATTTTAAAATCAGTAGATAGTATATGTATCATCTTAGTCTTAATTTATAAATATATGACATTTCAATAAAATTCTTGAAGCCAATCAATAAAATTGATTAAGCTTTAAATTCTAGGCTGAGTCTAATTGATTATATTTCTTTATGATTCTTTAAGGGGAAAGCAGACACTTTCTTTTGTTTCAAGATGCCAATTTTCTTTTCCTCTTTTTTTTTTTTTTTTGAGACAGAATCTCGCTCTGTTGCCCAGGCTGAAGTGCAGTAGCACGATCTCCGCTCACTGCAAGCTCCGCCTCCTGGGTTCACGCCATTCTCCTGCCTCAGCCTCCCTAGTAGCTGGGACTACAGGCACCCACCGCCACGCCTGGCTCATTTTTTGTATTTTTAGTAGAGACGGGGTTTCAACGTGTTAGCCAGGAATGGTCTTGATCTCCTGATCTCGTGATCCGCCTGCCTCGGCCTCCCAGAGTGCTGGGATTACAGGCATGAGCCACTGTGCCCGGCCTCAAGATGCCAGTTTTCTAAAGTGAGAAAAATTAATTTTAAAAATTAAATTGTATGTTCAATATCTGTGTGAGATCAGGTAAACCATGTGTCTTAGAGAGGGAAAGGTTTGAAAGTATAACTTTTATAGTTTCTTATTTATCTATATTTTCCTATATGATTGTTGTTGAAATATCTTAAATTTATTTCACATTAAAATTGTCAAATATCTGAATTCATGAGCCACCTGTTGAAGACCACTGAAAGAATATAAATAAATAAAATTGGTAGCTCATTGTTTTTCAATAACTTGTGAAGACTAAGCTCTGATTTTTTTATTTTGCCCAAATTCTTATCTAAGGGGTCTGGGGAGTCATCCCCTACTAACCATAAATTCTCATCAGATGGATTTTATTTAACCCTATATATCATGGCTTACTTTGCAATCTGACTCTGGCATAACATTATGTGACAAAGAAGAAAGTAAAAAAAATTTTACCCCAAAAGCAAGTTTCTTTGTCATATTTTGAAATGGTCCTGCAAAGCTGCCCTTTGTTGGGGGACATATGCATCTGTAAAGAATCTCTATTGACATAACTAGATCTTTTTCTTCCAAGCCCTCCCAATCCTGAAGAAATTAGTAGAAGTCTAGCACCTTTTAAGGTCTGAATAGGAAATATTTGTCATCTATTATCTCTAAGGGCAGCCACTATAAGACTTCAGAAGAACCTTGGTATCCACAATCTTTTAGCTTAACCTGGACATATCCTTTCCTTTGATCCCAGGTTTTTAGACAAACTCAACCAATTATCAATTGGAAAATGTTTAAATTTACCTATAGCCTGAAAGCACCCCCCCACCCCTGCTTTGAATTGTCCCGCCTTTCTGAACCAAACCAATGTGTTTCTTAAATGTATTTGATTGATGTCTCATGTCTCCCTAAAATGTATAAAACTGACCTGCACCCTGACCACCTTGGGCACGTGTTCTCAGGATCTCCTTAGGGCTGTGTCATGTGCCATGGTCACTCATATTTGGCTCAGAATAAGTCTCTTAAAATATTTTACCGAGTTTGACTCTTCATCGACACTTGTTTTATTGAATGAACTGGATTTCCATTGTTAATATTACCCTAATGTAAAGAGCAGTGAAGTAACAGACTTTTTGTCAGCCTTTTACTTACAGAATAGATGACCCCATGATCTGAGCCCTAATTCCTAACAGGGGATGCTTTGGAATGAACAAATCAAGAGGTACCTTGAACTGGAGATTGGTCCTGCTTCATGGTAGCATTTTCCCAGAAAACATGTCTCCATAATAAAAAAGAGTGACTGAATAGCAGATGAAGATATCCAGTTATAAAGCCAAGAGATAAGCCACCCATTCCAGAATTGCTACTTCCTCCTTTATCTGCAATGATCAAGTGGCAACTGTGACAGTGTCAACAGGTTGTACAGTGCACAAAAGGGAGGTTCTGGCTGAGAACGGAAAGTCTGCAAATGATAAGAGAGCAAAAGGAAGAAGTCCTAAACTGAGGAGAAACTGTCCTTTAGGGACAGGAAAAGGAAAATGAGCAAGAAGAATAAAAGATTTTAAAAAGAAATGAAGCTGGAAATCTATCATCATAGCCTAATCCCTAAATACCCCGCAGATGTTAGAAGAATGCCAAGCATTCCTGAAGTTGATAGACACAGATATAGATAGGTAGGTAGATACATAGAGATAGATTAATAGATAGGCAGATACATACATACATACATGCATACATAGGTAGCTACATAGACACATAGATGTATTGAATTGTACACATACACATGTGTATATAACATATATACCTATGTATGAGAGAGACAAGTGAGATATTAAATTATAATTAGCTAAAGACCATTTACAATACCCTATACAAAGAGAAATATCTAAAGTGTTTTTGGATAATTAATTCCACATTCTTTAGCAACTCATCCAATTTCCCACTGGCAGAGATTCAGGGCAAAGACATTTCAAGCCATTTTACAATGAGTCTCAAAAAGCAGTAAAATACCTTTATTCTGAGCACCATTTTAAACTTTTTAGCAAGTTGATGCTACTGCGACTCTTATTCCTGTCACCAGAGAAGCAATTCAGAAGAATTGTTAATATTTCAGAAGTTGCTTAAACTTCCTGTAAAGTGATAGGCCTGACCTCCTGGGGTTAATGTGAGCATCATAACAGTTAATACACGTAAATGCTTGACATACGATAAATGCTATGTAAGTGTTAGCCATGATTAGTATTTTCATCACTCAAAAATGCCTCTTTTCTGTCTCACACCATATTTCCCTAAAGTGCTCTGCCATTTCTTTATCTTTAACCATACTTCCCACTCTTGCTCCAATATTTCTCTCTTTTATATTTTTATTCCTTCATATACTGCTTCCAATACCTTCCTACTCAAACAGAAAGCTGCCTCTGTCCTTTAAGAATACCTACTAGTAGTACCTGGAAAGATTATTTTTCAGACACTTACCGTAAGGTGGGGTGGGGTTAGCATTCACCTTTTTTCATGCTGCCATTTTTAAAACTACACTATCTCAGTCTCCTTATGTTCAGGATAACACCATTCATAATCTACCCCTTCTTCACTGGGCCTCATGCCATCATGTCCACATTTTTGAAATACACAAACACCTGTCATTTTCCTTGAGACCTCAGAGCCCTGTGCAGGTGTCATCCAGTTACCCAGCCTCACTCTTTCGTAACTGGTGCGTCAATGACTACCATCATCATTTATGTATTTCTCACCTTAATTAATGGGGAGGGGCCGGGTGCGGTGACTCATGCCTGTAATCCCAGCACTCTGGGAGGCCAAGGCGGGCGGATCACGAGGTCAGGAGATCGAGACCATCCTGGCTTACACGGTGAAACCCTGTCTCTACTAAAAATACAAAAAATTAGCCGGGCGTGGTGGCAGGAGCCTGTAGTCCCAGCTACTCAGGAGACTGAGGCAGGACAAAGGCGTGAACCCAGGTGGTGGAGCTTGCAGTGAGCCAGGGTGGTGCCACTGCACTCCAGCCTGGGCAACAGAGCAAGACTCTGTCTCAAAAAAAAAAAAAAAAAATTAAGGGGGAGCTTGCCTGAAGGAAATCATTTCCTAGTACTGAATTATGACATAAGTGCCTTTGCTGAGACATTTTATATATATGGGCCATTGAATTATGATACTCTTCAACAATATTTTTGTATTAGGCAACAAAATGGATTTCATATGACTATTTGTTGTATTGTTCTTTTATTAAAAGGAGTAGGTCATGGCCCCAAAACTTAATTCAAGGAAAGAAACTCTGTTGGAAACTAAGGCAATATAGTTCAACTTTGTAGCCTCCTGGTGATCTGATTTGACCGAGGCTAAAATTTATAATACCCAGAGGAGTGACAGCCTTCAAATGATTTTCTGTAAGTATTAAAGTTGAGGTGTTTATTAAATGTCCACTTCTGTTTGGTAACACTTTAAGATTTTCTAGTTATTTTGAAGACTCATAAAATTCTAAAAAAAAAAAAATCCTTAGTAAAAAATAGTTTCCTCAAAATAAATACATTGCTCACAATTTTAATGACTCAGCATTAAAGCTAACAAGGAAAGGGGTATTATCTGTCTTAAACTATTTGTAACTGATAAATAAGAGGTTAAATTTTTCCCTACAGAGTTTTACTATTGAGCCATTATTCAATTATGAGAAAGAGTAAACTGAAATATTTGCCAAGTACTTATGATATGACAGATATAGTGCCAGGTTGTTTTACATATTGTATATCACTAAATGTCAGAATTAAACTTCTGAAAATCAAAGCTGGCTAAAAGTGGGTATTTAACTTCTGTGGACTTGTTGAAACCCAATACAGAGATGTGTCTACTTGGGATCATGAAATCAAATATTCAGAAGAAATGTATTTTTCATGCATATTCTGAAATCAGTGGCTGAAACCACAAGAAATAAGTGAACAGAGCTTATAAATATTGATTTATTGAGTTTATTCCCTTAGGTTCATATCATGGAGATGCTTAAAATACTTAAGCTAGAGTTATATTTAAAGTACTGCTATGTACGGATGTAATACAACTTATTTTACAGAGCTTCCCTTTGGGGGGCAAGAATTATTAACGTATGTGGTTATCCTGAGCTCCCTCTTTCTGTTTGCTAATGGGGATTCTGGCTTTGTCTGCTCAATTTCTTCCCCATTGCTCTTCTCTGAAAAGGCACTGCTGGTGGCTGACAGTGATATTCTCTTTCGTTATCTCCACATCAGTACAATGATAAGAGGAAACTGGAACAAAAAGGCAGGAGGGGTGGTAGGTAAAGATTGAGAACATGCATTTGAGTAAGGCCTAGGTGAGCTTTCTTCCAGAAAAGAAAAAATAAATACATAGTCAGGAGGCAATGACAAATTTTAACCAGAAGGATTTAAAGAAAGAGAGATATGGATAAAACGATATAAAGATGTGTGCGTTATATTTTATGTCTTATTCAGATATTACCAAAATACAAATACACTCGAGGTATTTTTACATTATGTTTCATTATAATAGAATGATTTATATTCCTATGAGTATATACCCAGGAATGAGATTGCTGGGTGAAATGGCAATTCTGGTTCTAGGTCTTTTAGGAATTGCCACACTGTCTTCCACAATGGTTGAACTAATTTACATTCCCACCAACAGTGTAAAAGCATTCCTATCGCGTCTGTTTTTTGCTTCACTATTCACAATAGCACAGACAGGGAATCAACCCAAATGCCCATCAATGATAGACTAGAAAAAGAAAATGTGGTACCTATACACCATGGAATACTATGCGGTCATAGAAAGGAACAAGATCATGTCCTTTGCAGGGACATAGATGGAGCTGGAAGCCACTGTCCTTAGCAAACTAACACAGGAACAGAAAACCAAACACCGCATGTTCTCACTTCTAAGTGGAAGCTGAATAATGAGAACACAAGCACACAGGGAGGGGAACAAAACACACTGGGACCTACTGGGGGGTTGGGGGGAAGGAGAGCATCAGGATAAATAGCTAGTGCATGGGGGCCTTAAAACCTAGGTGATAGGTTGATAGGGGTAGCAAACCACCATGACACACGTTTACCTATGTAACAAACCTGCACGTCCTGCACATGTATCCCAGAACTTAAAATTTAAAAAAAAAAAAATTACATTTCACCTTTTTTAAAACAGAGTGTTGTCATGCTATATCATGTGGATCCCATCATTATAGGCATTATGTACTCTAATAAGATGGCAAGAGAAAAAATGTTTAAGCTGTTCAGGCTGGAGGTAAAATGGAAGAGTTGAGGCTGGCCTTGGCTGACAGTCAGTTGAGTCTGGACTCTGGCCCTACCTGGCCATGTCTATGGATAAGTTTCTGAACTTCTTTTCTTCAAAATATAACCAGGCTAAGAGCAGCCTGATGGGAGTCCGACTGAGCAGGGTTTGAATCCCAGCTTTGCCATTTAGCATGATGAGATGTGAGTTAAGTTACTTAATTCAAGCCCCACGTCCTCATCTTTAAATGCAGACAACAGTATCTACCTTCAGGTTGTTGTCAGGATTAATATAATTTATGTAAAGTATTTTACCCAACATTTGGCATATATTTGTATACAGTAATTGGCGTATCTTTGGTATAAAATAAATGTTACAAAACATGAGTATTTTCCTTGTTATTGGTGTGGTACCTTGCATTTTCAAGTTGTCTTAGTCCATTCACATTACTATAAAAAAACACCTTAGACAGGATAATTTAGACAACTATAAAACAGAAATTTATTGCTCATAGTTCTGGAGGGTGGGAGTTTAAGACTGAAGTGTCAGCAGATTTGGTGTCTGGCGAGAGCTTGCTCTCTACTTCATAGATGGTGACTTCTGTGCTTCCTTACTTGGTGGAAGGGGCTAGGGAGATTTTGGAGGCCTCTTTTATAAAGGCACCAATCCCATTCATGAGGGCTCTGCCAGTCACATTCTAAAGCCTTCATCTCTTAATACTATTGCATTGGAGATTAAGTTTCAACACATGAATTTTAGAGACACAAACATTTAGACCATAGCACAAGTCGACATGTTTCTCTTTTGTTTAGATTTGCTGAGAGAGAGAAATGGAGAGACAGATTGAGATTCAGTAAAGGGTAAAGTTACTGAAGTTGTAAAAGTATATTCAAGAGCATTATATGGGAAATGTATAGGGCATTGCAGCAAATAAAATATAATATGGATACTGTGAATGATTTCTAAAAATTCAAGTTTACAAAATACATATTTTGAAGACTTGAACTGTTTGAAACATTTAATCCTTGTAGATCATGAGTGGAAGAACAGATTCTCTAAGTAGTGAAGAGAAATAGAGCAGTGGTCCCCAACCTTTTTGGCATCAAGGACTGGTTTTGTGGAAGACAATTTTTTTCACAGACATGGTGGTGGTGGGGATGGTTTCAGAATGATTCAAGCCCATTACATTTATTGTGCACTTTATTTCTATTATTATTACTTTGTAACATATAATGAAATAGTTATACGACTGACCATAATGTAGAATCCCTGGGAGCCCTGAGCTTGTTTTCCTGCAACTAGATGTTCCCACCTGGGGGCAATGGGAGACAGTGACAGATCATCGGTCATTAGATTCTCATAAGGAGCACACAACCTAGATCCCTTGCATGCTTAGTTCACAATAGGGTTCATGCTCCTATGAGAATCTAATGCTGCTGCTGATCTGACAGGAGGAGGAGCTCAGGGGGTAACACGAGCCATGAGGAGCAGCTGTAAATACAGATGAAGCTTCGCTCACTCAGCCGCCACTCACCTCCTGCTGTGGAGCCCAGTTCCTAACAGCTATGGACTAGTATGGGTTTGGAGAGCCCTGAAATAGAGGATATCCAGCAAGCCTTTTAAAAGAGTGAATTATTCCATTCCAACCTCTGGAATATAAAAGATAAATAGTCTCTCAGGAATTCACACTGTGTGGCCTTTTGCATTAAAGCAATCACCTAAGTTATCTGGAGCTTCATGTACATGGGTCAGATGTTGCTGGCATTGTCCTAACTCTGCATGGCTGCTCTCAAATCAGTCCTTCATCACCTCCATGAGATTCATGCCGTGAGACCCTAATTTCCTTCATTTTTTCAAAGATGTCTATCTTCCAGGAGGACACATCTGCATTTTTAAGGAAAACTCTGGCTACAGGCCATCAGATGATTTTCCCCTTGCCAACACTCTGGGTAACGTTAGCGCATTTGTGCAAAATACATTCAACACCCTGGCCTTACACCTTTTGATCTCCTTATCTTCAATAACATGTATTTCTACTCTAATTTAGGCACCCACATTCATTGCCTCATCAGGAATGATGATATCTTCTGTAGTTATTCACATTGTATTTTTGAATTCCAGTGGCCCTCTCACCTTTGACTTCAATACCTGATTCTTTTAGTTCTTTAAAATTTTTATTTTCTCTTCACACATTATTTGATCTCCTGCAGAACACTATTTTCTTCCACCTTTGCCTCAGTTATTTACCAAATATCTCTCCTTCTTTTTTTATTTTTTTCTTTTGAGATAGAGTCTTGTTCTGTTCCCTAGGCTGGAATGCAGTGGTGCAATCTTGGCTCACTGCAACCTCTGCCTCCCAGGTTCAAGCAATTATCCCGCCTCAGCCTCCCGAGTAGCTGGGATTACAGGCACCTGCCAACACGCCCAGCTAAGTTGTGTATTTTTAGTAGAGACGGGGTTTCACCATGTTGGCCAGGCTGGTCTCGAACTCCTGACCTCAGGTGATCCAACCACCTTGGCCTTCTAAAGTGCTGGTATTACAGGTGTGAGCCACTGCACCCCGCCAACCAAATATCTCTTAAGCACCTCAAGTGCTTTACAACATGGAATGCCAGAATACACCAATTCCAAGCCAAATCTACACAGGAGTGAAAAATTCTGTTTAGATAAATGCAACTATTCAAACACATGCTTTCAAATAACACTTCCTCCTTAGTGCTGAGGGCCATCTTGATACTTTGTTAAAATGATTCAATCAAGAGACAGAATAGAGAGATTGAGGGAGAGTGTGATGCTTTCTTTAATGCCCTGATCCTGAGTTAGATGTATCAGCAGTGTGTCCTGGAGCTTTTTCTAAACCTCCTGTTTCCACATCTACCACCTTCTATCACACTGGATTCTTTACATAGTTTCCACCACGACACTGTAAATGTTAAGGATGTCAAATCAAGATTGAATCTTGGTTTTTCCATTGCCTTTATATTATAGCAAAGTACCTGGTACATAGTTTATAGTTAATAACTATCATCTAAGTGGATTAGTTACCCTACATTATCTTCCCAAATAAATGCCAATTTCAAATAAATACCAAATTTTGCCAACTCTCTATTCAAACCCACATCTTTCATTTTCAGGAAATGACATATTCTCTTTAATGAAAATAAGGACATAAAGTATCACCTACCATTATGTAGCCAGTCCCACCCTCCTATAAACTTACCTATAATTGGGTGATGAGTGATCCTTCCTCTTAATTAATGTAATTTTTCACTTGTAGAATTGATCTAGCTCATGCCTTCCATTATATCTTGTATCTTTCCCCATTTGTTATTGTGTCTCATATCTCTGCCTTCAGCCCTTCCCACTTCTCTATCTCTTATTTTGCCTGTAAACATGATTGAGGCAAAATGATTGAGGTAGAATGACATAACCAAAAAGAGGGTAATTTCAGAATTTCATTCCAATGTGAGAGAGCTCCAGTGGGCCCTTTTATCTTCTAAAATCACCCTCTTTTTTGTTATGCTATTCTCTAGCTTCCAACTACATTTTTTTTTTAAAGAGGTGGGGTCTCGCTACATTGACCAGGCTGGTCTTGAAATCCTGACCTCAAGTGATCCTCCCATCTTAGCCTCCCCAAGTGCTGGGATTACAGGCGTGATCCATCACAGCCAGGCCCCAACTACTATCTTGCTGACCCTTTTCTAATTCTCTTCTTTTGAAAGGAGTTTTCAATTTGCTACTTTACTTCCTAATATCCCATTCATGCATCAACCCAATGTAGAGTAGCTTCTATTCTAATTACTCTACCAAAGCTGTTCTTCCATACCGTTCACTCCTTTCACTCAAAGTACCCCATATTTTTGAAGAATGGTATCATTCATGATACAATGTTCTCTAGTAAGCAGATTTGGACATGGAGATATATACTAGGGAGTGCCCTTGGATTACTACCTGTGAAAAGGAGAAGAAGGAAGCTGGATTGAGGGAAAGGGAAAAAGCTGGGCTGAAAAGAAGTCCTGGACCACAGCTTTGGCTCATCTCACAGGGGACTTTGAAGTTAAAATGGCCCACTGGCATCCTTTCACATTGCAATGACATGACTGAGTCTTTATAGGCCCCAAGTCCCCTCCCCACCTCTTTCACCTGCCTCCTTGCCTCACCTCAATCAGTCGTTGCATATGCGCCACAACTGGGAACCTCAGGACCTTAGGCAGGGGGAAGCTCTGCAGCTGAGGTGACGTCTGAAGGGGCTCACAGCTGAGTCCTGTCTACTGACACAGCTCTCAGGGAGGACCTAGGTGATGCATCTCTGTGTGTATCATATATATGAGTAATGATATTAGAGGTTTTATAATTTAACCTTTTTTCTCCTTTTTATCTTTAATCTTCACTGTATTTCAGTCATGGTCTTCAGGTTTCAAAGTGACCTTTAAGATTCAGCAAAGAATATACAGCTTTTTAAACATGGGGAATAAAACAAGAACAATGTGATAGCATAGTGTAATGGTGCCATAGAAATAAACAATAAAAAAGAATTTAAAGAGAGAACCAGGAGTCAATTTCATAAATGCCACCATTACATTACTTAGGTTAAGCTTTTGAATTTATCTAGAGAAATGTCATTGGCCAAAACATTAACATTTATAGAGGAATGCAAAAGTGCAAAATTAAAGTTCCTAAGAATCAAGTCCAGAAAAATAGAAAATGTGTAAAGGCTATTGTTCTCAGTTTGGCAAATAAAATTAAAAAAATAAGCAAATCCAGAACTGGCTAATTTCAAATAACGTTTCTAGTATTTCCCACACATTTTTTTTACATATTTTAAAATCACTAATACAGCATTACATTTTTAAAAGGCATATTTCAATACCTTACCTTGAAATCATAAGATGCATTTGTTCAATGAAATCTTACAGTAAAGCAGCATAAAAAATATAAATTGTACAGTGTGATATAAATGCAAACTATTTGATGTTCAATTTAATCATTTTTTTCAGGAACCTAAATGTTAGTTATTTATTATTACTTTAACGACTTAATATTAATTACAATGAAAAGAATATTGCCTTTGAGATCTTCCATTAATGATTCAGTTCCCAGGCCCTGATTTCTTTATAAACTTCTAAATTCTTAAGAGAGAAATGTACTTGGCTCAAATTTAATCATGTTAGAATACAGGTTCTGTATCAACTTAGTTTTTGTAGACACTATATGATATAAGAAGACAATGTTTAATTTTATGTCAATTTCTTGCATAAACTTGTTCAATTAATTCATTCAATAAATAGTCATTGAGTTCATATCATGTCCCAGGTACTTTTTTTTTTTTTTTTTTTGAGATGGAGTCTCACTCTGTCGCCCTGGCTGGAGTGCAGTGGCACGATGTCCGCTCACTGCAAGCTCCGCCTCCCGGGTTCACGCCTTTCTCCGGCCTCAGCCTCCAGAGTAGCTGGGACTACAGGCGCCCGCCACAACGCCCGGCTAATTTTTTTGTTATTTTTAGTAGAGACGGAGTTTCACCGTATTAGCCAGGATGTTTTCGATCTCCTGACCTCAGGATCCTCCCTCCTCGGCCTTCCAAAGTGCTAGGATTACGGCGTAAGCCACTGCACCCAGCCATCCCAGGTACTATTAAAAGCACTGTTATTATATGGTGAAAAAGACGGACGGGGTCCCAGTACATACTTTATATGGAACATACTGATGTCTTTTCTAAAACCTCTAGTCTCTGATTTGCCTATATAAAGAGTGACAAGTTTTATTTTTACTTTCTGCAAAAATTCAGTTTCTTGTTGTTTTATCATCATACATACAACTTTTATTCAAATATTCATCTAAGGGCCAGGTGCGGTGATCTCTACTAAAAATACAAAAAATTTTAGCCGGGCGTAGTGGCGGGCGCCAGTAGTCCCAGCTACCCGGGAGGCTGAGGCAGGAGAATGGCGTGAACCCGGGAGGCAGAGCTTGCAGTGAGCGGACATCGTACCACTGCACTCCAGCCTGGGCGAGAAAGCGAGACTCTGTCTCAAAACAAAACAAAACAAAAATTAAAAAGAAAACTCGATATTAGGGATTTCACAGTGCTGTAGACTGAATGATAGTGCCCCCCAAAATTCAGCTGTTGAAATGTAACACCCATATGATGATATTTGCAGGTGGGACCTTAGAGGGAGGGGATTAGATCATGACGGTAGAGCCCTCATGAATGGGATTAGTGCACTTATAAAAGAGTCCCCGGAGAGACTCTTGCCCCTTTCACCAAGTGAGGATGCAGGGAAGAGATGGCAATTCATGAATCAAGAAGCAGGTCCTCACCAACTCTTACGGCACTTTGATCTAGGACTTCCTGCCCTCTAGAACTGTGAACAACAAATTTCTATTGCCTATAATCCACCAATTTATGGTATTTTGTTATAGCTGTTTAAATAGATTAAGACACCTAGGATGGGAAACCCATTAATACTGTAATAGAGAGATGAGCTTTCTCTTCCTCTAACTACTTTTAAAGTCTAAGATAATTAGGAAATGATGTTTTGT
Organism: Homo sapiens; assembly: GCF_000001405.40. NCBI lineage: Eukaryota > Metazoa > Chordata > Mammalia > Primates > Hominidae > Homo > Homo sapiens. The sequence goes on along the minus strand of NC_000015.10, from coordinate 32,546,582 downwards.
GTAGCTATATTTTGATTTAAAATTATCTGCCTCAATTAGTGATGAACTAACTTGATTTTGTGCCTGAGTTTTAATAACTGTGATATTTTGAATCAATGTGAGTTATTTGATCAGTTCAAAATATCCAAAAAAAATTTGTCTGGTTAAGATCATGTGCATCTCCATGATGGGATTAGTGTTCTTATAGGAAGAGAAAGTGAGACCATAGCTCTCTGTCTTTCTCTATTTTGTGCCATGTGAAGACATTGTCAGAAGGCAGGAGCCTGTAGTCTAGGAAGGGGGCTTTCACCAGGGACTGAATCTGCCCGAACCTTGTGGAGGATTTCCCAGCCTCCAAAACTGTGAGAAACAAATGTGTGTTGAAGACACCAGTCTCTGGTATTCTGTTATGGCAGCTTGAGCTGCCTAAGATACAATGATAATATAAAAATATTAACAAGATTAGCCTGGGCACCATAAGAAGACCCCAGCTTTAAAAGTAATACAAATAATAATAATAACAACAAACTAAAACATTTTGAAATTTTAAGTGATAATTTTTCATTAGATACAGAATCACCTACTTAGAAAAATACAGATCCCAGGGCAGGGCGCAGTGGCTCAGCCTGTAATCCCAGCACTCTGGGAGGCCGAGGCGGGCGGAACACGAGGTCAGGAGATCAAGACCATCCTGGCTAACACGGTGAAACCCCGTGTCTACTAAAAATACGAAAAATCAGCAGGGCGTGGTGGCGGGCGCCTGTAGTCCCAGCTACCCGGGAGGCTGAGGCAGGAGAATGGCATGAACCTGAGAGGCGAAGCGTGCAGTTGAGCTGACATCGTGCCACTGCACTCCAGCCTGGGCGACAGAGCGAGACTCCGTCTCAAAAAAAAAGAAAAAGAAAGAAAGAAAGATACAGATCCCAAACTCTATTATACTTAATATTTCTTCTAAAATGTTCATCATTTTGAGGATTAAGATTTCTTAATGCATCTGTACAAACACACATGCATATATTCACACAAATAACTATAGTCATTTTATCAACGTTTTGTTTTGACTTATTTATTTAAAAATATTAAATGTATTTTATAAATGAAGAATGCGTGTATTTATTTATTTATTTATTTATTTTTATTTTTATTTTGAGACGGAGTCTTGCTCTTTCGCCCAGGATGGAGTGCAGTGGCGTGATCTCCGCTCACTGCAGGCTCCGCTTCCGGGGTTCATGCCATTATCTGGCCTCCAAAAGTGCTGGGATTACAGGCGTGAGCCACTGCTCTGGGCCTCATTCAAGTATATTTATATAGGAATGTCTGAAATACTGCCACCTAATGTTTAGCAATTATTTTCATTTCTGAGCAGTAGAATTTGAGTGATTTTTATTACTTTTGATTCTGCAATGTGATGTATTCTTTTTTTCATAATGTCTTTCGTATTTATTAAAAGGTTAATTAAATCATCCTAAGAATATTTTATGCATATTTTTGTTAAAATAGGATGTTTAACAGTCAAAATTCTCCATTTACTAAATCTTTCTCAGTCAATGCTTCAGACTTACCTTTTCTACATTTACTAATAAAAAATTTAATTTCAATGTTATATAATAGAAGAACACAGAGTATCTATTTTAAATTTTACCTCCACAAACATCTTTAACCAGAAAATGAAATAAGCACTTAAAATATCAAATAAAATACTAGTTTTCAGGTCTGTTGCTTTGAAAATATGCTTCCTCGTTGAGCAATATCTGAATTTTTATTACTATACCAGGGTATAGATGAAATATCTAACTAGTATACTTTTAAATTAAAACTGCAAAAAATATAGAGAGAATTCAGTAGTGCTTATTCAGCATGTAAAACATTTTGCCTATTACATTCTTCATGTTGATGGTAGCTATGGCTAAAGTTTGTAGATACTTGGTTTCGTTAGCTTTTAGAGTTGCTTAGGTTAAATATGCTATAATATACCAGTCCCTGCTGGCTTTGAACTACTTCGAATTCTTAGAAGTGAAGTAACATAGTACAAACCTATAGAAAATATGATAAATGTACCACGAATGACACAAAATATTTTCTGCAGGTCACATAAGGAGTCATTCTCTATTTTGTCAATTTCCTTAGTTAATTCAAAAGCTCCCGGCCAGGCGCAGTGGCTCAGGCGGGTGCACACCTGCAATCCCAGCACTTTGGAAGGCCAAGGCAGGTGAATCACAGGGTCAGGAGGTCGAGACCATCCTGCCCATCCTGGCTAACACAGTGAAACCCCGTCTCTACTAAAAATACAAAAAATTTGCCAGGCGTGGTGGTGCCCGCCTGTAGTCCCAGCTACTTGGGAGGCTGAGGCAGGAGGATGGTGTGAACCCAGAAGGTGGAGTTTGCAGTGAGCCGAGATCCTGACACTGCACTCCAGCCTGGGCTACAGAGCGAGACTCCGTCTCAAAAAAAAAAAAAAAAAGTTCCCAATGCATGAATCAATCAAGAATTTCACCCCCAACAGTGAAAAAAAAATGTGAAAGCAGTCAGGTTTTAGTCACTGTAAATCACAATTTCAATTCCACCCCATCCAAAGAAAGCTATGTATGTCCTTCTCATTCCAAATACATACAGGCCATGAGTTAATAATCTTTCATTCTTCTAAAATACCAACAGATTTGCTTTTTTACTTTCATTTGTAGTTTATAGTACTCACAATTAAATTGACCCAAATGTTTTTGAGGTATGTATCTAAATATATATATATACATGGATCAAAGGTCAATGCTATTGTCTATGCATTAGCCACTCCCATTTATGAGAATTTTCTAAACTTGTTGCTTTATATCTCTTAAATGGTGTCAGTTGGCCACATTTATTTCCTGAGAAACAACTGAGCAGCTGACAATGAAAATGAAGCTCTCTGCATTCCTCTTAGGCATACTGCATACATCTTAGGCTCTCTGCATTCCTCTTAGGCATACTGCATACATCTTAGGCTCTCTGGATGCCTCTTAGGCACTTAACGCTTACATGTATTTGTATCTCATTACATAGTGATACAGTCCTAAAATAAAGTAAATAATGAGTTATTTTCTAGACTAATTTGATGAGGCTTTTATTTGATAACAAATTAAAATTATGCCACCAGATGCCTATACTTTGACTTATAAAATGTGTTGTGTTCTGCATGGGCAAACAGAAAGTGCAGAAATTGAACGGCTGCCTGGTAAAATTACCTAAATCCACAATGCCACTGGACAACATTGAACTAGATATTTAAATAAGTGAAAGTAATCAAGTAGTTGAGTTCACTGATAAAATTATACTTGGAATCTTACATCATTCCCAGATTAATATATACAATGTATATCAAATGTCATTGCTATGGGAATGGAAACTGTTACACATGAGGCTAAATTTTTATAAAGAATTTTTTTTTCCTCTAGAACTGACCTTGAGAAACTTGATATCCTCTGTTTATGGCAAGTCTTAAGAAAATGTCAACCCAATGTCAAAGGATAATTAATTTTTTTAAAGAAAAGAAAATTAATGGTTCTCATACAAATGTAAAATGAATATATGTTCATGATTTTATTTAACTGATTAATAAATAAGAGTACCACAGGATGTTCTGACTGGTTCAAAGGAGAATACAAAGAGCAGAGAATATACAGGCAGACATTCATGCTGAAATGAATTTGCTTAATAAAGGCAAAATTAGCCAATATCTATAGGGTGACAGTGAAATATATCTACACTGGATAATTTGTATTTTCATGGACAGGAATTATTTGCAATTTACACAGTTGTGAAATAGGTAAAACAAACAAAAAGTGAAAGGTTCAGAAACCCCATACAATCAGTTAAACTAACATTTAGTTTTCCACTGAAAATAGTAATTTTTTGAGACCATTTCAAAGTTTTTCTTAATTTTTCTCTGCTCTAAAAAAGTCTATAAATTATTTCCAATGAACATTAGAGCTTTTTCTTTGTTGAATTAGTATTTTTAAAAATTTATGGAAGGAGACAGAGCATAAAAGCAGTCGCCAAGTTTATCAATTAAGTCGGTACGATTACAAATCCCAATTGAGAAATATTTTTAAGTATATTTTTCTTTCCAAGACAAATAGACATTAAACAGTCCTAATGTTAATATCCTTTATGTTACATATATATGTATAGATGTATAAGTATATGTATATCCTCATGTATATAAAAAGTTACAAACACATAGTTATTTCAGAGAATTATTTATGCAAATGTGTTGGGTTTTCTTTTTGTGAAGCTATGTTATCAAGAAGTTATTCTTAGTTTTACAGAAAATAAAACAGCTCTAGCTCTTTGTATCATAAGATAAATATCTGTTTATAAATATCAGTATTTTCTAATACTTCTAATGTACTCTTTTGGAGGTAATGGTATATGAAACCCTATAAGAGCAATTCTACTTCATTAATTAATTCGGAAGAAACACAAGTTTTTAAGGCCCAGTGTATACCAACAATTGACAAAGTCATTAAGGTAGACAAAGATGGGCAGAGCCTGGGCTTTGGCTATGAATGTTAGAAAATGAATCACTGAAAGTAAAACATGTTTAAAAGATTAAAATAACAGAAAATGGTTTGAAATTAAATTCAGTTATTGGCCATCAATTGGTCAGAAAGAGTAATTAAGAATTAGTCAAAGCTTTTTTCTCTTCATTTAGGTCAAATATGTCATAAAAATAGTCAATTTTAGCTTATTATAAGTCGATTATGTCAAAATGGTTGAACGACATGTCATTGAAATTAATCTTTAGCTTGTAATGCTATCATTTCAGTTTTAATTAATATTGGGGCCAAAATGTTCATTAGATACTGTTTTTAATGATCAGTTTTTATGCAAATGATTTATATAAGTCAGAACTTCAATTCAATGTTTGGTAGCTGTTTGATTTTTAGGACATTATATATTGAAATGTACACTGATTATCCTAAAGTTGTAAATATTTAAGAAACTTTTCAGCAAAAAGTCTAAAATAAAGATATATTTATATTATTTCCAAAACAGAAAATTTAAATTGATTCCCTAGTCAAAGAAACTGTTTGTAAATAAAATGTAACAAGCTATATATTGCTTGGCCCCCAGACATTTTAAAGTCACTTTTCCTTTTTATATACATGTTCTAATATTATAAACAGTGAGCTCAGAAATATCCTAGTTTGTCTTTTGTGTATTTTCAGCAGATTGTGCTGTTTCAAATTCTATTATTTTACTCCAATTCTTTTGTTCACATATTGCTGTTTTGCTAGCGTTTTTCATATTTTAAAATACATTACTATATTGTATATAGTAATATTGTGTTTCTATTTCTCTTTCTTCATGTTTTATTTTGTTCCATAACCTTTGGCTTGTCCTTTTTATTCCATATTCCCATTTGTAGGTGTAGTTTTCAAAGGTGCTTTTCTTATTTACACAAACATAAGACTTTTGTGCCGGGCGTGGTGGCTCACGCCTGTAATCCCAGCACTGTGGGAGGCCGAGACGGGCGGATCACGAGATCAGGAGATTGAGACCATCCTAGCTAACACGGTGAAACCCCGTCTCTACTAAAAATACAAAAAAAAAAAAATTAGCCAGGCGTGGTGGCAGGGGCCTGTAGTCCCAGCTACTAGGGAGGCTGATGCAGGAGAATGGCGTGAACCCGGGAGGCGGAGCTTGCAGTGAGCCGAGATCGCGCCATTGCACTCCAACCTGGGCGACAAAGCGAGACTCCGTCTCAAAAAAAACAAAAAAAACAAAAAACTTTTGAACCAGAATATTCTGAATGAGATCAAAGTCAAAGCTCAAACATTTCTTAAAAATGAGGTTTTTCTGAGTTGGGAACCAGAGTCATCTTCTATTGCCTGATGCAATAGGCATTGAGAATAGAACTTGTGACAACTCTCTATGCATTAACAATAGAAAAAATGGGATAAGATAGAGGCAAGGAACATACATTCAGGGAGCAAGAAGAAACACTGAGGAACTAATAGAAATTGTGCTTATCAAAATAAACTTACCAAGGTATGGTACCAATTCTCCTTTTTTTGTTCAGTCCATAATAGAGTTCTTAATGCTTTCAATTTTTTTCTTATTAATAATTTTCCTAAATATATTTTATTTGTTTGTTTGTTTGTTTTTTACATGGTGTCTCGCTTCATCACCGAGGCTGGAGTGCAGTGGCGCGATCTCGGCTTACTGCACCCTCCGCCTTGTGGGTTCAAGCAATTCTCCTGTCTCACCCACCTGAGTAGCTGGGACTACAGGTGCCCGCCACCACACCTGGCTCATTTTCGTATTTTTAGTAGAGACAGTATTTCACCTTGTTGGTCAGGCTGGTCTGAACTCCTGACCTCAGGTGATCCACCCGCTTCGGCCTCCTAAAGTGATGGTATTACTTCTGTGAGCTACTGCGCCTGGCCCTAAATCTATTATTTAAAAATCCACCTGTACAATTGGTATTCACAGAAATCTCCCATATATGTTATTATTTTATTCTCATAACTCTCTATGCCAAGTATAGATACATTATTGATGTGGAAAATTAGATCACAGAGATAAAGTGACTTTCCCAAGGTCAGTGCAGAAAGGGAAAAGTGAAAATTTGAAATTGTACCTGAAGAGTAAGAGCAAAGGGGTTAAGGAGTTATTCATAGATCTTTGTGCCTCAGAGGTCCTTACTGAGAGTTTTAATCCAAATGGTTTGGTAAATTTGGGGCGACAGGTATAACATGGCTTATGTGATGCTTAGAGTGTTTTGGAACCATCAAGATCTTTGCAATGGCATCACAGATAACAACCCCATCATCTTGTAAAACATGGACATGTTGGGAAACAATGTTTTAGTTCAGTCATTGAACTGACCCAAACTTCTGTGTTCATATTGTTATAGACCTCATAATTGTTAAGGTATAAAGAAGCATCAGAAGTTTTGTTTTTGTTTTTAATTACAAAGGAGTTAGGATATTCCTAACATCCAAAGTGAATTAAAATAATTCACTTTGATGTGAGAAAGAGCTTCTTGTCTTAGGGACACTGGTGAGGTGAATTCACAACTATGGGTTGTTTTAATTGAATTACATCCTCAGAGCTTTAGTTTTGAGCTCTGAATCTACAATCTGCATTTTGCAAGTAATCAATGGTATTTATTTAAGTGCTCTTGGTAAAGATAATGTGAATAGAGAAATCTGCTTATTTCTAGCATAAAATTGCTTATTAAGCAAAATAATAGAGCACTGCAAATTAACTAGTAAAAAATTGAAATCTTTAACTTTCACACCTTCATTTGATATTTACTGAATACTTTGGGGACTAGATTATATGTAATTTAGTTCAACTTTTGTTTAAAATAGGAAAATGAACTTTGAAAATAAGTACTTTTAAAAATATTTTAGAATGCAAGATAGTTTTCATGGAAACTTTCATGGAATCATATTCTTTATATTTTAGAATCAAGGTATGTTCCTACTTGGTACTTGATCAAGGAAATACCTAAATCAAGAACCATTCCAAATGGCTGTTTATTAAGTGTGATGGTTTACTAATGTCAACAAAAGTGAAAAAAATTATATTGAAGTATAAACTATAAATAATCTTGTTTAACATATTTATAAATACATTTTTGCCCATATTTGTATTTTGTACCTATTTATATAAAAAAACAAATATTATCTTTTGTACAAATATTTTAAGATCTGGCACTTTTTTAGCACCCCAGAAAAATATTTTTCAGGCTCTTAGCTGATGCTGAGAAAAGTCAGTCAGTCTCACATGTTACCATAGATTAATATTGCCTATCTTTGTCTTCATATAAATGGAAGCATACGGTATTTATTTTTTTCTGGCTTATTTCACTCAAAATTGCATTTGTGAAATCTATTTATGTTATGGACCAGTGTTTCATTCCTTTTTGTTTTGTGTAGCACCCTGTTGAATGAATATGGAGCTTTCCAATCCATTCTATCCTGATGAACATCCAGGTGTCTCTGTTGAAACTGCTGGTCATAAATTATGTGTTTAAATTTAGTAGATAATGATAATTATTTTTCCAAAATAGTTGTATCAACTTAATAACTCATTCAAATATGTGAAGACCTCCTAACAATCTAAAAAGATGGACTTCCAATTTCAAATAATAAATACAAAGATTAAGTACTTGAACAGGCAGTATATGCACATTTTTAAACATAAAAGATTGAGTTAAATTTTGAAAAATGTAGGCCGGGCGTGGTGGCTCACGCCTGTAATCCTGGCACTTTGGGAGGCCCAGACGAGCGGATCACGAGGTCAGGAGATAGAGACCATCCTGGCTAACACTGTGAAACCCCGTCTCTACTAAAAATACAAAAAATTAGCCGGGCGTGGTGGCGGGCACCTGTAATCCCAGCTACTTGGGAGGCTGAGGCAGGAGAATGGCATGAACCCGGGAGGCAGAGCTTGCAGTAAGCCGAGATTGCGCCACTGCACTCCAGCCTAGGCAACAGAGCGAGACTACGTCTCAAAAAAAAAAAAAAGAAAAGAAAAGAAAAGAAAAAAAAGAAACATGTAACTAAGAATCTCATTTGAGCTACATGTGTGAAAATATTTCTTTTACATTATCATATAACACAGATTTTGGATATGACGAGTGCTGAACTGAGGCTTTTCACTTGATATGCATTACAAATTAGAATTTTTCACTCACAAAACATGCTTATGACAGTTTTATATATGAATAGAATTGTAAAAATTGCCTTAAGAGTTATTGAATAAAATGTTTAAAGTACCTCATAGGATGAGGAAAAAATGGAAGAGTTAACAAGGATACAGAGCATAAAAGAGAAGAATAAGAGTTCAAATAAAATCGAATGAAAAGACACCATCTTGTGTAACTCTGTAGTTAATTGTGCATGTGTGCTATTTTTCATGACTTGGAGCACGTTATTTTTGGCCAAGAGTTTCCATTCTATCTATGGATATGCCAGAAATTTCCTATTTTAGATCTTCTAGTCTCCAACTCTCAAGATAAAAAACAAAAATCATTAAAACCTCTGACTCTGATATTGAATGCCTGCATAAAAATCTCCTCCCATCACCTTGCAACAGATGACTTGCTCATACACCTTTTTGACTACCACTCCCCATCAAGGGTTCTCTCCTTCGAGACTACAGTAATTCTCTTTGTATTTCATATTATGTGCAAACTTTACTTTCAAAGAGTTGTTACCTATATTAATGTACTTACATCATTCACCGAATATATTTTCTCTATCAGCAAAATTGGTTTAGATATCTTGGATTAGGATAGAACACGTCACAACTTCTCCCCCCTTTATGATCAGTTTTTTTTTTTTTTTTAGTCGGACCGTTTTTCAGTTGGTGACTGTCAGAAATGAATTAAAGTTTTAAGAGAAGAATAGGTAAGGGTAAAGAGAAGGGTGTCCTTATGTATCAACTTTGCTTATTTAGTTTTTTCAAGTTCAACAAGACCCTCCTCTCCCTTCAAGGAAGATGATTCCTAGGCACGTTTGTTACTTCTATCAAAACAGCTGAGTTTTTTTTTTTTTTTTCATTCATGTTGTTAAAATACCAATAGTGGAGCGAAAAATGCTTCACCTGGGACTGTCCCCTGACAGGCAGTGCGACGAGGTCAGGCCCGCGCCCGCCGAGTCCTAGGGCCGCTGCCGCCGACGGCCATGGAGGACGAGCAGCTCGACAGCCTGGAGGGCTGGGCGCCGGTCCGGCAAGGCCTCTTCGCCGATGCCGAGAGGCACCGGCTGCGCTTCCTGGTGGCGTGGAATGGCGCGGAGGGCAAGTTAGCTGTGACTTGTCACGACCTCACCGCGCAGCAGCCGCAGCGGCGCGAGGGGGCCCGGCTGGGGCTGGAGCCCAAACCCAAGGCCGCTGTGTCCCCGCCCAGCTGCCGTGTCCCCGCCCAGCTGCCGTGTTCCCGCCCAACTGGGCCGGCCGGTTCTCGGCCGCGGGGTTCCGCGGCGCGCGCTGGCAGCTAGCGGCGCTGTGGCCGCCTCTGGAACGCTGCTCCCCGCAGCTGGACGTGGGCGGCGGCGGGGCCTGGAGTCTGGGGCTCGGGCTGTGGGCGCTGCTCTGGCAGGCGCGCGCGGGCCCCGGCGAGGTGGCGCTGCAGGAGCTATGCGGGCAGCTGGAGCGCTACCTGGGCGCGGCGGCCCACGGCTGCGGCGGCGCCACCGTGCGCCACGCTGTTTTCGCGGCTAAAGGCCGCGCGGCTGACTGCGAGAGCCCGCGCGAGTTTCGAGAGCGGGCCCTGCGCGCCTGATGGGTCGAGGCGGACGCGCGGCTGCGTCAGGTAAGCGAGGCCGGGCCGCCGGCGTTTGACCGCGCTTGGGTGGCCTGGGACCCTGTGGGAGGCTTCCCCGGCGCCGAGAGCCCTGGCTGACGGCTGATGGGGAGGAGCCGGCGGGCGGAGAAGGCCACGGGCTCCCCAGTACCCTCACCTGCGCGGGATCGCTGCGGGAAACCAGGGGGAGCTTCGGCAGGGCCTGCAGAGAGGACAAGCGAAGTTAAGAGCCTAGTGTACTTGCCGCTGGGAGCTGGGCTAGGCCCCCAACCTTTGCCCTGAAGATGCTGGCAGAGCAGGATGTTGTAACGGGAAATGTCAGAAATACTGCAAGCAAACTGAAAACAACCCATCCATGTAGGAAAGAATAACACGGACTACACGTAAGCAATTCCAAGTCTGTGTCTGCGGGGACGTCGCAAGTGGGATAAAATGGTTTAAAGGAAGAAATGGCTTTTAGGAGTTAGGGTGTTTTGTTTTAAGTAATACAGACTTGGTCAAATGGAAAGCCGGTAGAAAGTGAGCTTTATTCATCAGTTTAACCGCATTAGTGCTCTTTTAAGCTTGAAAGAGGTAGTTTGAGAGAGTAATTGAGTGGTAAACTTACTGAACTTAGGGGACGGGGAAGTACATGTTCATAGAAGGGTTTAGGAGAAAGTATGCCTTCTAAATCCACACCCACGGTTTACTAAGCAGAGCCAGGCTGGAGTCTCAGCTCACTGCTCTTATTAACCTGAATGATTTTTTTCTGTGCATTCTTTTGAGGAAGGGGAGGTGAAAAGAAGAATTCAGCCTAAGCTAAATATAGAATAAGCTTTCTAAATTAAAATGGTTTTATAAAAGGAGCTTGTTAGTGGGGTCATTTTTGTACTGTGAGCTTTATGTGTAAATGTCTACACACCCACTTAACATGTGTTGATTTCACTTTAGACTATGAGGAAACCACAGGGGAGTTTCAGGCCAGTCAGCTTTTGATCTTCAACTTTATAACTTTCACCTTAGGATATGACGAGCCCACCGGAGTTTCAAAAATGGTATCATTTTGTATCAGACTTGTTTTTTACACTCTTGGTTTCTCACAGAGATAGGTGGTTTCTCCTTAAAATCGAACATTTATATGATGCATTTTACTGTAGTTACTATCAGAAAAGTTAGTTTTCCCAAATTTAAGTTCACTCTGGGGTACTATAGCGTGAATGTAGTTCATTCTGTTGAGCTAGTTGTTCATGTTAGTGTAGTTCACATATTTATCTGGAACTCAAAAATGAGGGGTTGAGAGGGGAAGCTAAAATTCAAAACATGTCCAAATATATAATTTTAATATTTTACTTTATATTTAAAATAGAAAAGCAATTGATTCTAGAATTAGACTAATTGCTAGCATTGCTAGCATATATAAAATGAAGCTGAATGTTTTAACTCTGGAATTTTTCTGAATAGTCTAAGAAATAAGGCTGAAGTGTATCACTTGCCTTAAGTTTACTTTTGCGTGTGTGTTTTAATTTTGTTCAGTGGGGCTTTCACTTAAAAAAAAAACCATAATATTATTACCTGGATAAAAAATACAGCTGAAAGTAGATCACTTTATCTTTAAGCAGAAGGATGGAAATAGAAGAATTTTAAGAATGTATTGGTTGAAAAACATCTATATTATTTTATTTTTATTTCTCTTCTTGTGGGAGTAAAATAATTTCCAACCAAATCAGTCCACCTAGATTATACACTGTTCAGTTTGTTTTCTGCCCTGCAGCACAAGCAATAACCAGCAGAGACTGGAACCACAGCTGAGGCTCTGTAAATGAGTTGACTGCTAAGGACTTCATGGGGATATTAACCTGGGGCATTAAGAGAATCAACATGCTAAAGTACTTGGAGACAGCTCTGTAATGTTTTATGAGGTTTTTTGTTTTTTTTTTTTTGAGACAGAGTCTTGCACTGTCGCCCAGGCTGGAGTGCAGTGGCGCCATCTCGGCTCACTGCAAGCTCTGCCCCTCAGGTTCACCCCATTTTCCTGCCTCAGCCTCCCCAGTAGCTGGGACTGCAGGTGCCCTCCACCACGCCCAGCAAATTTTTTGTATTGTTAGTATACACAGGGTTTCACCGTGTTAGCCAGGATGGTCTCAATCTCCTGACCTCGTGATCTGCCTGCCGTGGCCTCCCAAAGTGCTGGGGTTACAGGTGTGAGCCACCATGCCTGGCCCTTAGGAGCTTTTAAAAAGGAATACAGCCTCACAAAACCTTCACAGTCAGAAAAGTCAAATGAAAAAATATCCACACCTCAAACCTTCTTTTGGGTCCTTTTCGCTGCATACTTAGTGCATAGTTGAGATTAAATTTTGTACTCTGCCTCTCCATTTAATTATAAAAGTCTCCTTTTTTTTTTTTTTGAAACAGAGTTTCGTTCTTGTTGCCCAGGCTGGAATGCAATGGCACTGTCTCGGCTCACCGCAACCTCCGCCTCCCGGGTTCAAGCTATTCTCCTGCCTCAGCCTCCCCAGTAGCTGGGATTACAGGCATGCGCCACCACGCCCAACAAATTTTGTATTTTTAGTACAGACAGGGTTTCTCCATGTTGGTCAGGCTGGTGTCGAAGTCCTGACCTCAAGTGATCCACCCGCCTCGGCCTCCCAAAGTGCTGGAATTACAGGCGTGAGCCACGGTGCCTGGCCAAAAGTCTCCATATTATTAAACAATCTTCAGAAGCACAGTGCTGAATGACTACAGTAATAATATTCTGCCATGGATATATCATAATTTACTTAACAATTCTTGTTTTATTGGGCATTTTTGATGGAGGATGATGACATTTTCATATTTAATCAATATTTTAAATTGATGTATTGAAAGTTGAGAACATGAAGGTTTCTTTTGTTTAGTTTTGTTTGTTGGGTATGTATTACACTGTCTGACTTGAGCTTTATTCACATTTGCTCTCTAGGTTATCCAAGGACATGGAAAAGCCAACACCATGGTAGCATTAATGAAAGTTTACCAAGAGGAAGATGAAGCCTACCAGGAATTAGTTACCATGGCAACCATGTTTTTCCAGTACTTACTGCAGCCATTTAGGGCTATGCGAGAAGTTGCAACTTTATGTAAGCTTGATATTTTGGTATTTTTTTTAATTTTTATTTTATCACATTTACTATTTGTCATATATTATTTCTTTATTTACACTTAATGTTCAATCTCTGCACTTTGTTTGGGTTTACTTTTATGTTTCTTTACTTATTTATTGATAGAGATGAGGTTTTGCCATGTTGCTCAAGCTGGTTTCTAACTCCTGAGCTCAAGCAGTCTGCCCACCTCGGCCTCCCAAAGCGTAGCATTACAGGCGTCAGCCACTATGCCTAGTTCACCCTCATGTTTAAATATTGAATTTATATTTAAAATTGATAGAAAATGAAGACATTTATGTTGGTCATCTTACTAGCTTAAGATTCCTGCAGATTTTAAAGAGTTAAGAGTTTTTTTGTATCGATGCCTTTTTTTTTTTTTTTTTTTTTTGAGATAGGGTCTCTCTTTGTCAGCCAGGCTAGAGTGCAGTGGCACAATCTTGACTCACTGCAACCTCCTCCAGGTTCAAGTGACTCTTCTGCCTCAGCCTCCTGAGTAGCTGGGATTACAGGTGTGCACTACCATGCCCAGCTAACTTTTTTTGTATTTTTAGTAGAGACGGGGTTTCACCATGTTGGCCAGGCTGGTCTCAAAACTCCTGACCTCAAGTGAGCCACGCGTCTCAGCCTCCCAAAGTGCTGGGATTACAAGCGTGAGCCACTGCGCCCAGCCTGATGAATTGTTTTTGATGTGATATTTATTTGCTTCAGTTTGTTTTCCTCTAAGGACTCATCCAAATTTCTTAAAATAGGATGAAAATTTAAATAGCAGGACCCTAGATTGTAATTCAGTAACTTAAATTTTAGTAAATGCTGTTATCGCTCTTGTTTCATTGAGCCATCAAACAACCGTGTGACCCCATTCAGAAAAGGCATTCTTATTCCAGTGTTACAAATGAATCTGGAGTCCAGAGTTGTTAAATATCTTACCTTGGGTCTCAACAACGGGAATCAGAAGACACCTAAGAGATCTCTTGATTTCTGCCCCCTGCACTGGGCCATCTTTCCACATATAATCTCATGCCCCCTGCCAGATGATTGTACTATAAAAATAGTATCACATTTAGATGAAACTCATGCCACTCTAACCTGTGGATAAAGTTGTTCTGTTCATTATTTTGAAAGTCTATTATTTGGAGAGTCTACTTCTTGCATATATTTTGCTTTCTTCTTCTGTTTTTTTTTTTTTTTTGAGATGGAGTTTCGCTCTTGTTGCCCAGGCTGGAGTGCAATGGCGTGATCTCAGCTCACTGCAACCTCCACCTCCTGGATTCAAGCGATTCTCCTGCCTCAGCCTTCCGAGTAGCTGGGATTACAGGCATGTGCCACCATGCCCGGCCTGGCTAATTTTGTATTTTTTTAGTAGAGATGGGGTTTCTTCACGTTGGTCAGGCTGGTCTTGAACTCCTGACCTCAGGTGATCTGCCCACCTCAGGCTCCGAAAGTGCTGGGATTACAGGCATGAGCCACCGCACCCGGTCTATATTTTTCCTTTCTTTAAGTAACAGCTGTTTTAAGATACCATTCACAGATTATATATATATATATATATGTATATATATATGAATATATGTATGTATATATATGTGTATATATGTGTATATATGTGTGTATATGTGTATATATGTGTATATGTATGTGTATGTGTATGTGTATGTGTATGTATATGTATGTGTATATATGTATATATAAAAGATGTACAATTCAGTGATTTTTAGTATATTGAAAGTTGCACAATGGTCATTACTATGTAATTTCAGGACATTTTCACCTCCAAAAGAAACCCTGTACCCATTAGTCACTCCCAACCCTGGGCAACCACCAATCTACTTTCTGTCTCTGTGGATTTCCCTACTCTGGACATAGCAACAGCATTATTGAATATGTGGTCCTTTCACTCAGCACAGTGTTTGCAAGACTAATCCATGTTGTAGCAAATACCAGGATTTCATTTCTTTTTATTGCTCAGTAATATTCATTGTATGGATATATTGCATTTTATTCATCAGTTGATGGACATTTGGGTTGTTTCCACTTTTTGGCTATCATGAATAATTCTGCTATGAATGTTTGTGTGTGAGTTTCTGTGTAGACATATCTTTTCATTGCTCTTGTGTACGTACTGAGGAGTAGGATTGCTGGGTCCTGTGATTACTCAGTGTTTAACCTTTTGAAAGACGCCAGATGGTTTTCCAAAGTGGGTGCCTCATTTATATTCCCAAAAGCAGTAAATGAGGGTTCCAATTTGTCCACATTATCACCAACACTTGTAATTGTGTGTCTCTTTGGTTACAGCCATCCTAGTGGGTGTGAAGTGGTATCTCGTTATGGTTTTGATTTGTAATTCCTTGTCGGCTAACTTGTACATATTTCTTATGCTTTGTAGAAGAAAAATTGCATATTGGATGACATAGCTGTACATGTCTTAGTTCAGGCTGTTATAACAAAGTACCGTAGATTAGTGGCTTATAAACAACAAAACTTTTTTTCTCACAGTTCTGGAGGCTGGGTAGTCTAAGATCAAGGTGCTGGCAGATCCAGTGTCTTGTGAGGGCCAGTTTCTTAATTTGTAGATGACTGTCTTGCTGTGTCTTCACATGGTGAAGAGCAGAGAGAGAGATCCTGTGTCTCCTCTTCTTTTTATAAGGGCATTAATCCCATTCTTGAGGGCTGCACCCTCATGACCTAATTACCTCCCAAAGGCCCCATCTTCAAATACCATCACACTGGGGATTTAGGCTTCAACATATGCATTTTGGGGGGACCCAAACATTCAGTCCAATACCAGTGCATGTTATAAGCATGAATATACAGATACTGTCTTTTAGGTGATTATATTACATATCCCTAAAAGAAACGATAACAACAGCTAACACTTAAGTGCTGTGTTCCAGGCCCTATGCTGAGTGCTTGACAACACAGATCACTCATTTAAACAATTGTGTATTATTATTAATAGAGAGAAGCATAAGTTGACAACATTCCTCTCTAGAAAAAGTTATTCTAGGCATGTGAAGTGAAAGTAGGTTTTTTTTTTCCCCTTTATGCCCCAGAGTGTCCTTTTGTCTTCCAGGTGGTGCTCAGCTTAGAGCCTTATTCATATGCAGTAAGGGACTGCTGAATGAATGAAAATTTAACTGACTGAGTAGTACTGTAGTTAAATTAATCCATGTGACCAATTTCCTTTCAATTTCCTAATGGGTCAACATAACTATTAGCTCTTAGTAAGATAATTTTCTCTTCTGTCTGTAGAATTCCTTGGATGAGGATGACGTAGGTCCTACGTCTCCAGGATAGTTGCCCTGGAGAAAGAAGCTGAAGAATGGACCAGACGGGCTGAAGAAGCTGTTGTCTCTATTCAAGATATCACAGTGAATTATTTTAATTAGACAGTAAAAGCATTAGCAGGTGATAATCTAAAAAATGCTTTACGCAGATACGTGTAATTGATTGTCATTTTATTCATATACCATTTGAGTCCCTCTTACGCACTAGGCACTGTGTTTTCTGGGTGGCAAGAATTCAGTGTCAAGCATCAAGAGACATTGTACAGTCTGGTGAAGGGAGAGAAATCTTAATTATCTATTCACTGAAGCACATGGAAAATGGCAGTGACAATAAATGGCACAAAGAAGAGAGACATCGGGCTCTCAGGGTCTGTGAGAGAGAAATTGGGCTTGATCAGGGTGGTCGCTGAAGGCCTCTGAGAAGTGGTGCTTGCCCCAATAGCTGAAGGGTAAACGGAAGTTGAGAGAATAGAAAAAGTGAGGAGTGTTCCGGGCAGAAGGAATAGCACTGGTAAAGGTCCCCTGGCTTGAGGGAAGTTGGCAAATAGGAGCTTACAGAAAACCTGCAGGGCTGGATCACACAGAATGCAGGACAGTGTGGCACGAGGGAGAATGCTGGCAAGACAGGCAGGGATCAGACCGTGCAGGGGCTTGCGGGCTGGGTGAAGGACTTTTTTTCAGTCTTAAATAATTGTTAATAAAAACACCAAATAGGAAACAACTTAATGTCTGTCAGTTTGTTAAGTTATGGTACATTCATAAAAGAGAAAACTACATAGCTATTAAGCATGATTCTTGATTTTTTTTATAAATGGCAAGAGTGTCTGATATATTGTGCAGAATCAACAAGATATAAAGCAGAATGGTAATCCTGGTTTTTTGGTCAAACTATCCATATGAGCCTGTCTGTCTAGCTAGACATAGAAACAATATGGAAGCAAGTGTGCCAAAATATAAGAAGCAGTTGCCTCAACTAGGTGAGATCATGACTTATTATTGTCCTTTTAAAAATTGAATACCTAAAATTGTATATTAATGACCATGTATTATTTTTATAATAATAAAAAAGTTAATAAAACAAAATTTCTTTTAAAAAAGATGTTCTGCAGGTAGTATGGAAGCAATAAAAAAAGAATTAGCTCATGATCAATGTTTCCCTTTTTAATGAGGTGTAATTATATTTTATTTTCATAATCCAACAGGAATGCAAAAAGAAATGGAACAGGATGTGAAGAGATTTGGCCAGGCTGCCTGGGCCACAGCAATTCCCAGGTTGGAAAAACTTAAGCTAATGCTAGCTCAAGAGACTCTGCAACTCATGAGAGCGAAAGAATTGTATTTAAATCGCAAAAGAGCTGAAATTCAGGGAAAGGTAAGACAAAGATAAACGTAACTTTGTTTTAAAACTACACTTTTATTTTATTTTATTTATTTTTTTATTTTTTTTGAGACGGAGTCTCGCTCCTTTGCCCAGGCTGTACCGCAGTGGTGCAGTCTCGGCTCACTGCAAGCTCCACCTCCCGGGTTCACACCATTCTCCTGCCTCAGCCTCCTGAATAGCTGGGACTACAGGCGCCCACCACCACGCCCAGCTAATTTTTTGTATTTTTAGTAGAGACGGGGTTACACTGTGTTAGCCAGGCTGGTCTCGATCTCCTGACCTCGTGATCCGCCCGCCTCGGCCTCCCAAAGTGCTGGGATTACAGGCGTGAGCCACCATGCCTGGCCCCACTTTTATTTTTTAAAAAGTTTGTGTAAATAAGGGATACAAGTACTGTTTTGTTCCATGGATATATTGTGTAGTGGTGAAGTTTGGGCTTTTAGTGTAATCTTCACCTGTATAATGTAATTGTACCCATTAAATATTTCTCATCCTCCCTCCCACCCTCTTACTCTTCTGAGTCTCCAGTGTCTATTATTCCACACTGTGTGTGTATACACACTACTTAGCTCCCACTTATAAGTGAGACCATGTGGTAAAGCACACTTTTATTTTTAGATAGCACTTTTCTTTCCAGGCATCGTTAAAGAGCTTCTTTTCTTCACTTATTCTAACACTATCTTCTATGGAAGGTTAGACATAAAGTTTTCCTTTAGTTAAGATGTTTCAAAATACCATATTATAGGATTTACTTTATAGTAACACCAAGCCCAGTATTGAAGTGGGTACTGTACTTGAATATCAATCCAGCAATGTTTTCAGTACAGCTTTAAAATAATCAAAGAGATACTTCACTGAAGGATCATAGACACTTAAGTTTTTTCCTATAATCTTATGACCTTAAAGCAGAAAACACTGTAACCACCTGTCTTAGTTGGCTAAGGCTGCTATAACAAGATTAAATATCACAGATTGGGTGGCTTCAACAACGGACATGTATTTCTCACAGTTCTGGAGGCTGGGAAGTCCAAGATGCCTGCAGATTCACTGTCCGGTGAGGATCCTCTTCCTGTCTGGTAGACAGCTGCCTTCTTAACTGAGTGCTCATATAGCCTTTCTTCTGTGTGTAAGTTTAGAGAGAAAGAAAGTGATCCCTGTCTTTCTCTTCTAATGGCACTAATCCCATGATGGGGGTGCTATCCTTTTGACATAATCTGAACCTAATTACTTCCAAAGGACCCACCTCCAAATAACATCACATTGGGAGTTAGAGTGTCAACATATGAATTTTGTGGGGACACCAATATGCAATACATAATAATACCTCATTGCCATTTATGTTTCTCAAAACCTAAATGTTTTTCTGTTTCAAGGATGAGATAAAATATTAGCATCACTAGATGAAATGAAAAAGTGTTTCTTTCCTATTTGCTTTTTTATATTTAGTATTGAACAAGGAATAGAAAATAGCTAGAATGCTTCTGAAGTTTGTTTTTAATATACTATTTATTTTAACTTATTTTTCTTTTTTCTATGAAAATAAGATGGAAGATCTTCCAGAACAAGAAAAAAATATAAATGTTGTAGATGAATTAGAAATGCAATTTTATGAAATTCAGTTAGAACTATATGAAGTTAAATTTGAGATATTAAAAAACGAAGAAATACTGCTTACTACACAGTTGGACTCTCTTAAAAGACTTATAAAAGGTAAAGTTTATATTTAAGTATATAGATAACAATGTTTATAAATTTAAGGAAATACAGACCATATTATCAATTACTTTTTGTAAACTGTAACATCTGAAAATTTCCTAAAGTTTTCCTTCAGTAGTTTATTATTCAAATAATATATTCATTGTTAGCACATAGCAAAACAAAGAAAGAAAAATGATTATTACTTCAATCCCATCATCTAGAGATGCTTAGTGTTTGGCTGGGCACAGTGGCTCACGCCTATAATCCCAGCACTTTGGGAGGCTGAGGCGGGCGGATCACTTGAGGTCAGGAGTTCCAGACCAGTCTGACCAACATGGTGAAACCCCATCTCTACTAAAAATACAAAAATACTAAACCCTGTCTCTACTAAAAATACAAAGTCCGATGTGGTGGCACGTGCCTGTAATCCCAGCTACTTGGGAGGCTGAGGCAGGAGAATGGCTTGAACCCGTGAGGTGGAAGTTTCAGTGAGCCAAGATCGTGCCACTGCACTCCAGCCTGGAAGACAGAGCGAGACTCCGTCTAAAAAAGAAAAAAAAAAAAAGAGATACTTAGTGGTAACAATTTGCTGTATAACTTTGTAGATTTTAAAATATGCTGATATATAAAAATATAAATTTTTAACCAAAACTACATAACCAGTTCAGTAACATCTTTTTAAAAATTTTTTAATTTTTATGGGTGCATAGTAGATATATATATTTATGGGTTACATAAGATATTTTGACACAGGCATACAATGCATAATAGTCTCTTTTTCATTTAATACATACTAATTGTCTATTTCAGAAATAATAAAAGTATCAAAATTTTAATGGCTGCATAGTATTCCATTATATGGATATACCGTGATTTCCAAATTTCCGCTGTTTTGAACAGTAGTGTAGTGAACTTTCCTTTACACATGTCTTTTTGAGTATAGGACAGATTATCTCCTTAGAATAAATATCTAAGGATGGAATTATTGGGTCAAGGACAATGTATATTTTACATTTTGCTACGTAATAATACAACAATCATCTGAGATACATTTTTCCTCACCTCCGTATTATTTTCTGATTTCTAAATTTCATACTATGTAGTGGCCCTCTAGATAGGTTGTACATTTAAAATGACGCTCCCAGGCTGGGCGTGGTGGCTCAACGCCTGTAATCTCAGCACTTTGGGAGGCTGAGGGGAGCAGATTACTTGAGGTCAGGAGTTCAAGACCAGCTTGGCCAACGTGGTGAAACTCTGTCTCTACTAAAAATACAAAAATTAGCTGGGCGTGGTGGTGGGTGCCTGTAATCCCAGCTACCTGGGAGGCTGAGGCAGGAGAATCGCTTGAACCTGGGAGGTCGAGATTGCAGTGAGCTGAGATGGCGCCACTGCACTCCAGCCTGGGCGACAGAGTAAGACTCTGTCTCAAAAAAAAAAAAAAAAAAAGACGCTCCCATCAGCAGAATATGAGTGTGTATGTTTCCCAGACTCATGCCATTTTTTTGCATTTTTGCTTGCTTGACAGAGAAAATGGCAGTCTTCCAATTTTCATTTATTTAATTATGAATGAATATTGAACAAAATTTTGTATGTTTACAAGCCATTTGTACTTATTTTATGAAATGCCTAGTCATAGTCTTTGTCCATTTTTCTTTGGAATATTTCCTTTCGACATTAAGAATAATATTCTCTATTGTCTGTCATATGTTGCAAATAATCTCTCCTTGTCATTTGCGTTTTCTTGCCTTTCAGAAATATTTAATTTTTATGAAGTCGTGTTTATTGATTTTTTCCCCTATGGCTTCTGCTTTTAGTATTATGTCTGGCAATAGGCTCCTATCCCAAAATTATGTCAATATATACTTATGTTTTCTTTCAGTATGTTTATGATGTTACTTTTTAAAACATTTAATTCTTTAGTCCAGGTGGAATTTATTTTGAATGTGGTAGGAATTGAACCTTTCCCTCAAATTGTTAAGCAGTCCCAATCACTGATTTTAAAAACATTTTCCCTAAATGTTTAACATTTCTCCAGTTAAGCATTAGATTGACTTTGGTCTGTTTCTGAGTTGTTCTCCTCCATTGGTTCGTGAGTGGCTTCTGCTGCTGGCTCCATACTGTTCCCACGACTGTCTTGGAGGCACATTTTAGGGTCTGGTAAGGCAAGTACCCCCCACATTACTTCACAAGTTTTCTGACTATTTTCACTCCTTTATTCTTCCAGATGAAATTTAGAATCAAGTTCAAAACAAAAAACTCTTTGGAATTTTGATTGTGATTTTGCTTAAAATTAGAGATTACTTTGGGGAGAATAGTGGTCTTTGCAATTTTGAATCTTCCTACCCAAGAACATGGTATGTCTCTCTCCATTTATTTAAATCTTTTTTCCTAAAGTTCCTCCAAGTTTAATAAATTTCTTCACATAGATCCTGAACTTTTAGTTTAATCCTGAGTATTCAGAATTTTTTTCAGTAGTTTCAGGTTATAAGCAGTTTACATATTTAGGAAAAAAATTACATTAAAAAAAGAAGTTAATCTGGAAGGATGCATGCCAAATTGTTCATAATGTTTTTCCTCTGAGAATGACTCAGAAGGTTTGGGGAATGAGCAATAGAATTTCACTGTTTATTTGATGTACTTCTGGAGGGTTTGAATTTGTTACAGTAAGCATGACTTTTAAAAAATCAATATGTAATCAAGATTAAATATCACTAAGGCATCTTAATAATATATTGCTGGTAGAATATAAGTTGCCTTTCTGGAGGGCAGTGTGGCAATGGGTATCAAGATCCTTAAACACTTATCTGCTAAGGAAGTGATAAAAAGTGTACACAAAGATTTATACAGAGATGTTTATCACAGTGAAATGAATAATAATGGAACATTGGAACAGCCTAACAACATGGATTGCTTAAATTAGAGAATACTATGCTGCCATTAAAATTTATCTTTTTAAATTTTTTTTTATTTTTGGAGATGGAGTCTTGCTCTGTTGCCCAGGCTGGAGTGCAGTGGCACGATCTCGGCTCACTGCAACTTCTGCCTCCCAGGTTCATGCTGTTCTCCTGCCTCAGCCTCCTGAGTAGCTGGGATTACAGGCACACGCCACTGTGCCCAACTAGTTTTGTATTTTTAGTAGAGATGGGGTTTTGCCATGTTGGCCAGGCTGGTCTTGAACTCCTGACCTCAGGTGTGCCGCCTGTCTTGGCCTCCCAAAGTGCTGGGATTACAGGCGTGAGCCACCGCACCTGGCCTAAAAATTTATTTCCATCCCATGGAAAATGTTCTTTTAGAACTCCATTGATAAGTGTAGCTATGTAAGTAGTATGTGTATGTGCGTGTGTATATATACGTATGTCTGTACAGGTATATATACGTGCATATACTACTTACATGTATATACACACATGCTACTTAATACATGTGTATAGTCATGTATATATACATGTGTATATGTATATTACATTTATACACATACATTTTTTATATGTTAATAGTGATTCTCAGTGGTGGGATTACAAGTGATCTTTATTTTCCTTACATTTAAAAAAATTGAGTGCATTTTTACAAATAATAAAATATGTTTTAAACAATCATTAATACCTTTTTAGAAAAACAGGATGAAGTTGTCTATTACGATCCATGTGAAAGTCCAGAGGAACTTAGTCATTGACTGTGGTGGGGCTGCAGGACGATAAGAATTCGGAAGTGAAAGAACTCAGAAGGCAGTGCCAGCAGCTGGAGTCTGTTAAACGGGGCAGTCTGTGTCAAAAGAGCTTCTCTCCAGAGTAGAAAGGTAGGTACGCTCAGAGCGGCTTTCTTTTCTTTTCTCTTCCAGAGATTTATTCTTGTATGAAGGATAAAGAGGTATTGAAATAAGGTTTTTACCAACACAGTGATTAATTTTTTGTGTGCTTATGTACTTATCCATGGCTATAGTTAAAATGATTTTTAATATTTTTCTTAAAAATATTATTTTTTTCTTTTGGGTTTTAAGCATTTAGCAAATCTCAAGGTTTTAATTTATTCATTTAACAACTATTTGTTGAATGCCCACTGCATACACAGGCACTTTTATTTTTATTTTTTTGAGACAGAGTCTTGCTCTGTCACCCAGGCTGGAGTGTGGAGGCAAGATCTTGGCTCACTACAACTTCCGCCTCCTAGGTTGAAGCAATTCTAGTGCCTTAGCCTGCCAAGTAGCTCGGTTTACAGGTACGCGCCACCACGCCCAGCTAATTTTTGTATATTTTGTAGAGACGGGGTTTCGCCATGTTGGCTAGGCTGGTCTTGAACTCCCGACCTCAAGTGATCCGCCCACCTTGGCCTCCCAAAGTCCTGGGATTACAGGTGTGAGCCACTGCCCCTGGACCACAGGTACTTTAAAAACCACAATAGGTAGAAACTCTATTTCTAATAACCAACTATAACAATTCTAAATATATTTTACTGTAAATTATTGAGTACACAAAACAATAACAGGTAACTATTCAGCTCACCTCAGATTTAATACTTAAACATTAAAGAATATCAACCTACTTGCAAGAAACTTAACAAAACCTAAGGAACATAATACAAATAAAACTTTACCTATGCAGATTATAAGCTGGATATTATAATATCCAGGAAAATATCCAGGATGTTAGAATGGCTTGAAACAGAATTG
Source organism: Homo sapiens (assembly GCF_000001405.40). Taxonomy (NCBI): domain Eukaryota; kingdom Metazoa; phylum Chordata; class Mammalia; order Primates; family Hominidae; genus Homo; species Homo sapiens. The sequence continues at coordinate 32,522,158 of NC_000015.10, read as the reverse complement.
AAAATTTTTGAGCTATAAGACACATAGGAGAAATTTTAAGTTCATTTTTTTTGGGTGAGACATTTATTAGTCTCAACAAGACTGAATGATTTTCTTTTAAGGTCACACATTTAAATAGTTAACAGGAGAAATACCAACCAGAATCATAGTCAAATACCCACCTACTCCCTTTCCAAGACAACTAAGGTCTCAAATTGCGCCCATTTTTCTCAAATTATTTCTAGAATATTTAGCAAAAGAGGCTTTTAATTTGGCATGTCTTTGTCTACAATTTTGTAGTTTATGTAAAGAAAGGTAGACTAAGGGAATTTCATTTTAAAGGTGAGAATCAGAATGACATTTGTGAAGCTATGATGCCTGTGCCATCTGGCATACACGAGGGTGTTGTACTAAATGGGATCAGAATGAGCTCCTTTTGGAAGGAAACCTTTAATAGACTGGGAAACATTAAGGGAATCTTCCCTTTTTTATTTATTTTATTTTATTTTATTTTTTTTTAGATGGAGTCTCACTCTGTCGCCCAGGCTGGAGTGCAGTGGCGCAGTCTCGGCTCACTGCAAGCTCCGCCTCCTGGGTTCACGCCATTCTCCTGCCTCAGCCTCCTGAGTAGCTGGGACTACAGGTGCCCGCCACCACACCCGGCTAATTTTTTGTATTTTTAGTAGAGACGGGGTTTCACCGTGTTAGCCAGGATGGTCTCCATCTCCTGACCTTGTGATCCACCCGCCTCAGCCTCCCAAAGTGCTGGGATTACAGGCGTGAGCCACCGTGCCCAGCCTCTTATTTTTAATAGAGCATTGGAAAATGAATTCTGTATACCTGGCTAATGAAGGAAATCCAGATTCGTTGCCAAAACCAAGTTTTAAAGGAATTTGCAATCCTTCACAGTTCATTCAAGGAGGCAATGGAAATTTTGATGAAGAAATTTTTTAAAATCTTTCTTAAAAGGAGTCCTTACATTGGCATTGTATCATGACTAAAGTCTTCCTCCCTCTCTCCCTTCTATGCTTTTTGTTTCTGTTTTCTATCTTTCAATGACATCAGTTTCATGGATATAAATGGTTAAAAGACAATGATTACAACACACAGTTGAGTGACACAAATCTTGTTGTAGTGTTAGAAATACATCAATACATTGGGATCATAAAGAGAAATGGCAAGAAAAAAAATCTTAAGTTAATAACAGAAAATGCTGATTCCCACAGTCCGTGTAGAAAATAACACGTTTTTTTTTCTGTCAGTGGAGATAACTGAGACTAGTTAATATTGTCAATTCTGTTCCTTCTGACTGAGCCAGGTGAGGCAAAATTTAGCATATGAGTTGAGGGACAAAACTATTACCTTGGCAACATAAAAATTAATACTGTCTACATTGTTTACTAGGAAATGCATGCAAAATTAATACACTCTTGGTAGTACAGGTTCGTTTCACTTCTATAGTGTGTGGTTAATAGAAAGCTGATTCAACAGACGATAGATTCAACAGACGATGTAGAATTGTCTAAAATCCAGCCAGGCGCGGTGGTTCACGCCTGTACTCCCAGCACTTTGGGAGGCTGAGGCGGCAGATCACAATGTCAGGAGATCGAGACCATCCTGGCTAACATTGTGAAACCTCGTCTCTACTAAAAATACAAAAAAATTAGCCGGGAGTGGTGGTGGGCGCCTGTAGTCCCAGCTACTCGGGAGGCTGAGGCAGGAGAATAGCGTGAACCCAGGAGGCGGAGCTTGCAGTGAGCCGACATCGCGCCACTGCATTCCAGCCTGGGCGACAGAGCGAGACTCCATCTCAAAAAAAAAAAAAGAATTGTCTAAAATTCATCGTCGGTGAGTCCATGGCATGTTTTGGAATTTATTCACTTGTTTGCCTCAGGAACAGTAGCTGTTCAGATTTGTTCTGTCTTTGATTTTGGAAATGAGGTTACCGTGCTCTGTAGTGTGAGGAAGATGACATGGCATAATTAGGCAAACGGCTAGGCATTTTCTCAGCAGTAAATTACCAGTGCCCTTACTTGCCATGATACCCACAACAGGCAGAGGCAGTTTCCTGAGGCAATCCAGGCCACAAAGAACTGTACATTTGGGGAAAACATATCTTCAAATATATATGTTAAACTCTAAAAAATTGGTTAGTATGTATTACTTTTGTGGATACTTAAACATTCCCTATGCATAAAGACCTAGTTAAAGAGATGCAGGCTTTTGGCATGTTAAATAACTCCTTGATGAGAAATCACACTATGAATAATAAATATGACTTAATAAAAATGAAAAATAATGAGATTAGTTACTATTGAACTATTCTTGCTTAGAATGCCCCTGAATTTCAGTCATTGAAATTCACTTGTACCTGGGTAAGTTACAAGTTCTTATTTGTGCTGGTTTCTGTTCCATTGGCAATTAAAATTTTGGTAAGTTGAATAAAAGATCTTTCTAAAAAGGGAGTTTTTTTTTTTTTTTTCTTTTTTGAGGGGGACGGAGTCTCGCTCTGTCGCCCAGGCTGGAGTGCAGTGGCACGATCTCGGCTCACCGCAAGCTCCACCTCCGGGGTCCATGCCATTCTCCTGCCTCAGCCTCCTGAGTAGCTGGGACTACGGGCGCCCGCCACCACGCCCGGCTAATTTTTTTTGTGTTTTTAGTAGAGACGGGGTTTCACCGTGTTAGCCAGGATGGTCTCCATCTCCTGACCTCGTGATCCGCCCTCCTCAGCCTCCCAACGTGCTGGGATTACAGGTGTGAGCCATCGCGCCTGGCCAAAAGGGAGTTCTTATATTGGCAGTGTATCATGATTAAAGTTATCCTCCCTCTTTCTCTCCCTCCCACATATATATTTTCGTGTCAGTATATGTATATGTGATTTGTGCTATTTGTGTGTGTGTAGGTAAATGAAAGTGGCATCAAGAGAATCTCACATTAAAAAAAATTTGAGATAGTACAATTCTTATGCATCATATGTTGCATAACGTTTGACTATTAAGAAATTTGCATCACACGTCTACTTATTTCATTAAACATGTTACAGTCAATTAATTCACTTACACCCTCCATTTCCTTCTTCCCCCTCTCTCGTTCTCCTGCTGCAGGGTCATTATACGTTCCTACTCACAAAATGTCCTTGTTTTTTCCCTTACTCCTGTCATTGATCTTCTGAATCTTTCCGGCGAACTTAACATGGATGTTTTGATAGAAAGCTCTGGCATTAACTCTGGAGTTGTTTTGCAAGGAAGGTTGTTCGCTTTTTCACCATTTTTTTTTTTTCAGGTCCTTGAAGTGTTTTCACATAGATATTTCACAAGAGCCATTTCAGAATTGAGAACATTTGGCGTGCACTCTTCCTCTTTTGGTCCCACAGTTTTTATGTGTCCTACTTGAAATTATGTTTGCTCCCGTTTCAATTGTAATATTGCACTTACTCATTAGTTTTTAGTTTGAACTCTCCTGCGAGGTCTAATGTAGAGTTTGGACAAGAACACAGATTCATAATAAACCTACCCAGTCAATTTGGTATAAAGGCTTAGAAGGTGGAACTGGCCACATTTTGAATTGGAGGTAAGGATCAGGAATGCTAATGGAGAGACATAGGATTTTCTTATGGAAACAAGAAACAAATAACCTCTGGGCAGTATTAGAGCCCAGAGAGTGATAAGCCTCTTCTAACTTCAATATTCTATGTACAAATTCACAAGACTTTTTTTTTCTTTCTTTTTTTTGAGACGGAGTCTCACTCTGTAGCCCAGGCTGGAGTGCAATGGCGCGATCTTGGCTCACCGCAAGCTCCCCCTCCCGGGTTCACGCCATTCTCCTGCCTCTGCCTCGCGAGTAGCTGGAACTACTGGCGCCCACCACCACATCCAGCTAATTTTTTTGTATTTTTAGTGCAGACTGGGTTTCACCGTGTTAGCCAGGATGGTCTGGATCTCCTGACCTTGGGATCCGCCCGCCTCGGCCTCCGAAAGTGCTGGGATTACAGGCGTGAGCCACCGTGCCCGGCCGAGACTTTTAATTATGCAATGCCAGACTGCATTGCATAAACCAAAGGCCAACAGAGAGGTGACCTTTCAAATTACTGGCACAAGAAGAGCCGAGATCAGAAAGCTCCAACTTAATGCAAACATCGACAAGAAATCCGACAGAAATGACTTCTGTGTCTGGTCAACTTAACATAACATGACATATTGTCAAGCACATTTGGCTTTTTAGGTAGAATTGTCTATAAAGGTTTAACTGCTTTAGAAAATATAAATGTGAAGATTTGTGGTATTTGGGTTTATATATAAGATATTTCTACATTGAAAAGAGACAGTGGAAAAGCTTGGTATAAGATTTGTAAAATATGTTTGTAATAATGCTAATGGAAGAGGTGAGATTTGGGTGGGGTGGGGTGTAGATGGGAACATGGTTTGGGGATTGGGGAAAGGGAAGTCATGCTGTTAATAAAATAGTGAGGCATGTTGTATAAAGTGTGTTTTATGTCTCAATTGAAATGTTATAGAGATAAATTTAAAATAGATCATGATGGGTTTTGAATCTGATTTCTAATTTTAAAATGTTATGAGCTTTTGTTGCTTTCCTATTTCATACACATTTCTTTATGGGTTTCACTTAGACTGCATGAAATTGCAGATGCCAATTACCTTTTAACAAAATTAAATTCACATATATGTATAATTTACATGTATATATTCATGGAATTTTTTATTCTACACGATATATTATTTTAAAATGGTTTTTCAATGACAAAATAAAAAGTATTTTTCTATACTTTCAGTTTTCTGGTTTGAATTTTTTCTGGCAACACTAATTTTCACCTACCTATACTCATTGATAGTATAAAATTGTACAAGTGCATATTTTACCATGTTTACATTTGAATGGATGACTGGAGGTACATCTATGATGACTAATACTTTCTAAACACATATTTACCTCTCATATATCTGTGTAAATGATTGTAAGAGGAAGGGGAAAATAGAGATGTATCATTAGGTATACTGTCTTAAAGCACATTCAGCTGCTCTCATGTTTGGAGAATTTTGAATGTGATGAATGTTTCTCTTTCACCGCTAACAGGTTGTATGTGTGAGCCACATTTTATTGCAAGTGTTTGAAAGGCCATTGCAAATATGGGATATTGCCAGACAGTAAAAAGCAAATTGAGTCTATTGAGAAATTAATTCACCAGCTGAAGGAAGTACATTTGCCTTAGAGTCATCAGATATTCTACCCACCAGACTCATCTCCGAGATAGCATCCTAATGAGCTTCCTAAACCAACTAAACATGAGCAGGAAGCATCAGTCGTCAAAACTGACTCTTTTCAGCCAATCAGCTGACTGCACAAACTGTATGGCATTGAGGAAAGGAAGAACATTCTGAAAGTTTTTTTCTTTTTTCATTCTGTCCTCATTCTGTTGGTTTCTCAGTTTTACGGATGCAGGATCATGCACAGAACCCTGTAAATGAGCATAGTTCGTTTAAGTATATAAAGTGCTTTCGGTGGATAAAATGAATTTTAACAGGCTTAAGTGATGTGCCTAAATGCACACAATTAATGCATGGCTGGAATTCAAAATCATGTCTTTTCCTCTGTTCTGATTGTTTTATAAATATGGGTTGTTTTAATGTGTGGCTGGAATTCAAAATTGTGTCTTTTCCTCTGTTCTGATTGTTTTATAAATACAGGTGTAGTGATTGATTTTCTACCCACCATGACAGGGAATAGGTTCAAAACTTAAAACCCTGTTTGTTTTATAATTAGGTAGACTCAAATGACAGGTCAAGGCAGGGAGGGGAGCCAGTCATTTTTACTCCCATATGGGTTTGCTCCTTCAAAGACAGGATTGGGGTAGCAGTGTCAGTTCCTACAGGTTATAACGATCTTAATGATAAACTTAAATAACCGTAACTGAATACTTATAATGTGCTAGCACTTTTCATAATGTATCCCAATAATACTCACAAAACTTTCCAAATATTACCTTTTTGTTGTCTTTGTTTTATTTTGTTTTGTTTTGAGACAGGGTCTCACTCTGCTGCCCAGGCTTTAGTGCAGTGATGCAATCATGGTTCACTGCAGCGTCAAACTCCTGGGCTTAAGCAATCCTCCCACCTCAGCCTCCCAAGAAGCTGAGACTACAGGCATGCACCACCACTCCCAGCTCCAAATAAATATTCTTATCCCATTTTACTGATGCAGAAAAATGTATGGCCCAGAGAAGTAATGTTAAGTTTATTGGGGGATTTAAGTTGTAAAAAATTATTTTATCGAACCCTAATGTAAACTGTGGACTCTGGGTGATAGTGATGTGTCAGTGTAGGTTCATCGATTATAGCAAATGCATCATTCTGGTGCAGGATGTTGACAGTGGGGGAAGCTGTGTGTGTATGGGAGTAGGGAGTCTATGGGAACTCTTCTACTTTCCACTCAATTTTGCTGTGAGCCTAAAACTACTCTAAAAAATGAAGTTTATTAATCAAGAAAAAAATTCTTATGTTTTATGAATATATGGGACAGCTATTCATGTATGTGGTAAAAATGAAGAGATTTGTTACAGTACTCGGCAGGAGTGTGTCTAATCGACTGATATTCATGTGTCACTTATAAAAACTGGCTTCATTATCAATCTATAGATTCATTTCATTTGTGTATGTTCGCTTAAGGGCACACACATGGAAACCCTTTGGTGTTATTAGAGGTCTGTTGGGAGGGCTCCTCTTTGGTGGAAGCTATGTCTGTTTCTCAGAAGTGATTTAAGAGTAAGATGTGAAATAGCACTTGTCCCCGAGGATGGAGCCAACAGAGCACAGAGCATAGGGGAGTTATGTGATGCTGTCTCTGAGGGACTGGAGAGAGGAATATAAAGAGCTTATCCCTTAAGAAAGAATAGGGGAGGACTTCCTTGCCTGATATCTCAGATCATGAAGCTACAGTTCTCTCCCTGCTTTAGAGAAAAAAAAAAACAGACTTTTTGCAAAAATCAATTATTGAACATATTCCTATATTCTAGATTTATAATGAAGCATTTTTGTACATATTCATTAAAAAGAGCAATTAGAACATTTTTCTCTGGTTTATAGTAACTAGGATGGCAACACATATATATCTTGGAAGTATTTTGTGGTATGATTCTTCAACATAAAATTATTTTTCAAAACTTCTTAGAAGTCTCCAGGTACTCAGGAATAAGGTCATTTTAAATTATTCCTTATTGACTATAAGAAAAATAATTAGGCAAGATCACAAAATAAATGTTTAGACTGTTTCTCCTGTTTCCTGATTTTCAGGTTATTTTTTATCCCAATTTTATTTTGCTGTATAGTCATAAATTTCATCTTTGAAATAAAGCATATAATCACTTTTTTTGTTTGTTTTTTTGAGATGGAGTCTCGCTCTGTAGCCCAGGCTGGAGTGCAGTGGCGCAATCTCGGCTCACTGCAAGCTCTGCCTCCCGCGTTCACGCCATTCTCCTGCCTCAGCCTCCTGAGTAGCTGGGACTACAGGTGCCTGCCACCACGATCGGCTAATTTTTTTGTATTTTTTGTAGAAACGAGGTTTCACCATGTTAGCCAGGATGGTCTGGATCTCCTGACCTTGTGATCTGCCCACCTCGGCCTCCCAAAGTGCTGGGATTACAGGCGTGAGCCACAGCGCCTGGCCATGCTTTCTATTTTATATGCTGTTTTTGTTTCTTTTTCATCCCTGATCTTCAGTTAGCTGCTGGCATTTTACTTGTTCCCAACTAATTTTTCTTCTAATGACTTGAAAAGTATATGTTTAGTTCCTATATCTTTATATTTTTATACACATAGCTACACATATGATTGACATCCAGAGCTAATCGTATAGATAAAATGAGACTCCTAGCATGCTTTTACTTCTCTCTCCTTCCTCCTTTCCAGACTTCATAACTTTCCATCCCGAGTTATTTCAGATTTTAGTTTTTTATTATAGGTTTATTTTTATAATTTAGACTTAAAAGTAAACTTCACTGATTATCTTGCTCACCTGTGCTTCTTATATCCCTTTTTTTCTTCCCAGATTTATTTTCTTTTTGAATATATTTTCTACACCATGGTTTCTCAACCAGAGGTGATACAGCACTGTCTCCAAATGTGGGGCTGTTGTGTATTGTCACGGGGAGGAGAAATGCTACTGGCATTTAGTGGATGATGGTCAAGGACACTAAGCAACCTGCAATGTGTGGATCAATCTTACACAACGAAGGACTGTTCCACCCCAAATGCCAATGGTACCCTGTTGAGAAAGGTTAGTCTATGTGGACAGTGAATTATAAACTTTTTGAATCTGTTTTTGTGTCTTAAAATGTCTTTATGATGCCCTCACATTCACTTGCACTTTGGCTGGTTAAACAATATTAAAAGAAAACTTCAAATTAAATGGAATTTAATTGAGCAAGAAAAAAAAAACAATTCACAAGTTGGGCAGCCTCCAGAACCACAGCAGATTCAGAGAGACTTCAGGGATGCCTCATGGTCAGAACAAATGTATAGACAAGAAAAGGAAAGTGACACACAGAAATTGAAAGTGAGGTAAAGAAACAGCTGGATTGGTTACAGGTTGGCATTTGCCTTATTTGAACACAGTTTGAACCCTCAGCAGTGTATGAGTGATTGAAGTATAGTTGCTGGGATTGGCCAAGACTCAGCTGCTGTTACAGATGCATACTCCTAAGCTAGGTTTTCAATCTTGTCTATTAAGTTAGGTTATGGTTAGTCCACAAGGACTCAAATACAGAAGTACAGAGTCCTCAGGCCATATTTAGTTCGCTTTAACAAGAATCATAAGTTCACAAGTATTTTCACCAGAAAACTGTAAAGACATTATTCTGTTTTCTTACTTACCATGTTGCCAATGTGAAGTCTGGTATCGATCTTATTCCATCCCACACAATTGTTTTCACGCTGAAAACATTCAGTTTCCTCCTTATCCTTAGTATCCTGAAATTTTATCATGATTTACTTACATGTCAGTCTTTTTACATTCTTCCTGTAAATATTCACTGGTTCCTCTCAATATGAGTATTTCCAATTTCTAAGAAATTGTCTTAAATTTTTGCCTTGTTTTAGGCACTCTCCTTCCTTAATTTTCTTCTCTCCTGTAATTCATATTAAGCAGATAGTGGAACTTTTACAGCTGTCATTCATGTCTCATAACATTTTGTTCATTCTTTCCATCTATTGTTTTGCACTGCATTCTGGGAGAATTACTTAGCATGATATTCTGGTTCACTGATTTACTCTTCAATCCATTTTGCTATTCAACCCATCTATTGAGATTTTTATTTCAAGAATAAAATTTTTTAATTTCTAAAACCTTGATGCATTTTTAATTTTTTTTAAAAATGAAAGCAGTAAGCTCTGCCATTTGTCCAAGGTATATAATGATACTTATTCCATAGTCTGTTTCTTTTTTTTTTTTTTTTTTGCTCTGTCGCCCAGGCTGGAGTGCAGTGGTGCGATCTCGGCTCACTGCAAGCTCCACCTCCCGGGTTCACGCCATTCTCCTGCCTCAGCCTCCCAAGTAGCTGAGACTACAGGCGCCTGCCACCACACCTGGCTAATTTTGTTGTAGTTTTAGTAGAGACGGGTATTCACCATGTTAGCCAGGATGGTCTCAATCTCTTTACCTTGTGATCCACCCGCCTCGGCCTCCCAAAGTGCTGGGATTACAGGCGTGAGCCACCGTGCGCGGCCGCAAACTCGTTTCTTAACTGTACGTGGATTCTCCTTCATCATACAACATCTAGATCTGTGGAACTGAACCAAACCTAGAAAATGGGCAATAGGCTACCACTGTCAGATACGTATTTGCCAGATTCAGAGATTCTGTTTTTACTTCTAAAAATTTAAATAGACAAGACTTTGAGAGTTGACAGAATCACCTTGACTTGTCATTCTCTGCCCCTCCCTACTAAGTACAATTATAAACACTGAGAATAGTAAAAGGAACAGCTACAGGAGAATTCTGAAAGGTGGTAAGAGGAAGGTGAATTGGTCGGGGCCTCGATTCTGGAGGCACAAAATACAACCCCCATCCAACAAGAGAGGTGATCCAGGCTTGACAATTCCCACCTCCCAATGTAGTAACAGAAGGTAGCTCAAGTAGGCTCATTCTTCTGCAACAAATGAGAGTTCTGCCAGAAATAGCAGGCAAGCAGAGGAGAACCAACAATGGAGACGGGTTGATTAGAAGCCCTGTTAACGGTAAGCTGCCAGAAAACTCTACTTTTTCACCAAGTGTGAGACACCATTTTCTCTATGTCTCTACTCCTCTCCTTCCACCCCTGTTCCCAAGCCCTTGGTTGAGGGCACTAGCAACTGGAATTGCCAAAATCCAACTTTCCAATTCTTTCCCACAAAGGACGCAACTCACCTCCTTCACCAGAGACACTGCACAACCAAGGGCACAGGGAAGGGAATTCACACTGCAATGTGCACTTGGCCAGGGAAGCACTCTGCCCCTGTAGGACGGAGTCTCCATTCATTCACTTAGAGATACAGACAACTGATCCTGGGGAAGCTCCATCAGAAACCAGTAGGAGCCCCAGTGGAATGATATTTTTTTAAAAAGCAAACTAAAATAGCTCTGCAAAGACTGAAAATTAAATTGTCGTAGGAGTCAAATCCTTCAAATTAGGTCCAGACCGGCATGCTGAATCCAAAAAGGTGAATGCTTACTAAAATTAAACAAAATGTAAATAGAACCCAGATTTCCTAACATAATATAAAAAATGCGCAAGGCACAGGGAAATGGGAATTGAAATGACAAAAGGCAATCAATTGATGTTAACAGTGAAATAAACCACATGTTGGAATTATCTGACAACAATTTCAAAGCAACCAGCATAAAAATGGTTCAAGTAATAAAAAAATTATCTTAAATGAAAAAATGGAATATTCTAGCAAAGAAATAGGAGTTATAAAAAAGAAACAAGACATTCATGAAACAGATAAATGCAGTAACAGAAATTAAAAGCTTTCTAGGTGGGCTCAATAGTAGAGGGTGGAGGGCAGGAGATATGATCAGTGAACTTGAAAATGTGTAGAATTTCCCTAATCTGAACAATAGAGGAAATAGACTGAAAATAATGAACAGAACTTCACAGACCAATAACAAAAGATCCAACATTAATATTATCGGAGTTGGGGAAGAAGAGGAGAAAGTCAGTGGGGCTGAAAGAGTATTTGAAGACATAATGGGTAAACATTTCCCAAATTTGTTAAACGAAATACACTCAGATTCAAGAAGTTTAATATATCCCAAATAGTATGAACCCAAAGAAATATATACCAGGACACATCATACTAAACTTCTGAAAAGACAGAAAATATTGAAAGCAGGCACAGAAACATGACTTGTTATCCTTAGGGGCACATGAATTGGAATGACAGTGAATTTCTTATCTAAAGCCATGGGGGCAAGTAGGAAGTGGCACAATATTTTTCAAGTGCCAAAAGAAAAGAACTGTAACTGTTGATCTACACAAATGTTGATGAATTTAAAAGATGTTATGCTAGATTAAAGGATGTAATGTTTAAAGTTAAACATTAAGTTGACTTGGTAGATAGCTGGTAAAACATTTCTAAGTGTGTGAGGGTGTTTTTGGAAAATAGTATTTGTTTATATTTTTTGTTTTTGGAAGTGTGCAATTACTTTAGTTTTTTTCAGCTTTATTGAGGTATAGACAAAAGATTAGTATTTGATTCAATAGACAAACAAGATCTGCCCTCACAAATGTGGGCAGGCATCACCTAGTTCATTGAAGGCCTAGATAGAACAAGAAGGGCAGAGGAAGTGCAAATTATCTTTCTCCTTGAGCTGGGACATACTTTTCCTGCCCTTAGACATCATATCTCCTGGTACTCAGGTCTTTGGACTCAGACTGGTAGTTTCACCATTCACTCTGTTGGTTCTCAGGCCTTTGGACTCAGACTGAATTGTGCCACCAGTTTTCATAGGTCTGCAGGTTATAGGTGGCATATTGTGGGATTTCTTGGCCTTCATAATTATGTAAGCCAATTCTGATTATAGATCTCCTCTTATCTCTGCACCTATCCACAGAGATAGAGAATCTATTATCTATCTACAGGGATAAGAGTGATATGCACAGGCGACAGGGAAATACTGGGTAGAAGAGGCGGTTCCCTGTCAAAGGCCCCACCCTGAAGCCAGGAAACCTGCAGCCCTAAATGGGAACAGTCATTCCTGTTTTTGCACCCAGCTGTTGCCTTTTGGCCCACCATGCCCCCCTCTCCTGAACCCTTATAAACCCCAAGTCCCAGGCTTCACAAGCAGAAGAGCAGAGGGTTGGAAGAGCAGGGTGGCAGAGAAGGAGAGAAGAGAAGGAACGTCTGAACATCGAGAGGTGGTTGGCTGGGGATGGTTGGAGAACAGATTGGCCACGGGATGGCCAAACTCCAGAGGAAGATCATCTTCCTACTGCAACTCCTCTCCAGCTCCCCATCCACCCCGCTGAGAGCCACTTCCGTCTGGCAATAAAATCCCCCACATTTGTCATCCTTCAATTTTTCCATGTCACCTGATTCTTCCTGGATGCCAGGCAAGGACCTTGGTACCAAGAGGGCACTGAGCTGGTTAACACTTAAGTGGTCTGCAGATGGCAGAGCTAAAGAGTACTGTAATATGCCCACTGGAGCTTTGGGAGTTGCAGGCACCCACCCATATATGGTAACGTGGGGCCAGAGTCCAAAAGTGCTTGCCCCAGCTCCTACACCTCCCTGTCTGCGTGCTTCCCCTCCCATGAGGGGTTTGAGCAGGAGGCAGCAGAACAGATGAGCCACACCCACCAATCATCCTGTGTAGGGGATCAGGGAACTCTCCTGTTTCAAGAGGAGATATGAGATACAGATAGGTAGCTAGCTAGCTGTGTACCTATCTACCTATCTACCTATCTATATCAGATTGGTTCTATTTTTCTGGAGAAACCTGAATAATACAGATTTTTGCCCCAAGAGTGGATCTAGAGGAACAGAATTTTAAGGATAAATTCTGTGAATTGGTTTTGAGGTTTCTGGAATTGTTTCTCTAATATGATTAAACTTGAAAATACTAATGACTTTACTTTCAGTGGTAAGATATTACTGATAGTCCATGACGTGAATTTTTTATTGAGATACCCAAAATATCTGCATTGGATAGTCCTAGTCAACTAAAGTAATGCGATATATAATACTTTCAAAAGATTTTGGAAAACTAAGGAAAATAATGACAATAATTCCCAGCTCAAGCACCACACAAATGACCTAAGACCTTCTAGGTGCACCCTGAGGGAGAGTGTTAGGTCTTGTAGCTTCAGGGCTGAAATTGCTGAAAATCAAATGCAAGACTTTATCCTGTGATTGGCTGAATTACAAGGCAAATATAACTCCCAGCCTCACAGGGTGCCCACTGATAAAGTGAGGGCATTGACTGGGAAAAAAATGGGATCCTGTAAATTGGGATGGAAAGCCTTGGTAAAGCTGGGAACATTGAGCCCCTCTGATGAGCCTTTGTTGCCCATGTCAACTTAAGGAAAGAAAATGAGGCAAAATTAATATAAGTAGAGAGTTTATATGGGCCAAGATTAAGGACTGCAGCCTAGGAGTAATAGATTCAAGTTGCCCTACATATATACCCAGATTAGCAGCAGTTACAAGTGGGTGTTTAAGAGAAAAAATAAGCTGGGGGCAGTTTCTAAGTTGCTTATCAATAATCTACATAGGTTCATTAAAATAACACAACACAAACTATTTGTTGGCTATGCATTGTTTTTGTATCACAGATTCCAGGAACATGAAGATATTGGGTGAGGGCCACATTGTGCAACTTATGGTAATGTTTTAGGAAATTTATCCGCTAGTCTGGAAACTGCAGGAAAGGAAAGAAAGCCAAAGTGCCTTTAAACAATTATGCCCAGGCACGGGTGCCGGGACATGAGTGAAGCCTCGTGCTCATCTCTCAGGGCCCGATAAATTTTGCAGACCTCACATTTCTAAGACGACTCGGAGCCACTTTTCTTTCTCACCAGTGGAACAGGTCTCCCTACCACCAGCAGAAGTAGCCACCCCACCCCTGGCAAAAGTGAATTCCCCAACCCCAGAGGAAGTGCCTCCCCATCCCCAGTGGCATCAACCTTTCCACCTCTGTCTGAGGGGATAACCCTGCACTGCCTGAGGAAATGGGAATGGCCTCCCGTAAGGCAGCTGTGGAGCAAGACAATGCTGATTCTCCTTAGGAGCCACCCCACCACCCCTCTTTGCTTTTAGGCCAAGTTCATCCAACCTGTGGCCTGCAGGCCACATGTGGCCCAAGACAGCTTTGAATGCAGTCCCATACAAATTCGTTAACTTTCTTAAAACTATGAAATTTTTTGGCCAGGCGCGGTGGCTCACGCCTGTAATCCCAGCACTTTAGGAGGCCAAGGCAGGCAGATCACGAGGTCAGGAGATCGAGACCATCCTGGCTAACATGGTAAAACCCCATCTCTACTAAAAACACAAAAAATTAGCCGAGTGTGGTCTCCGGAGCCTGTAGTCCCAGCTACTTGGGAGGCTGAGGCAGGAGAATGGCGTGAGCCCAGGGGGAAGAGCTTGCAGTGAGCCGAGATTGCGCCACTGCACTCCAGCCTGGGCGACAGCGAGACTCTGTCTCAAAAAAAAAAAAATTATGAAATTTTTTTGCTATTTTCTTTTTTTAGCCCATCAGCTATCATTAGTGTTACTGTAGTTTATGTGTGGCCCAAGACAATTCTTCTTCTAATGTGGCCCAGGGAAGCCAAAAGATTGGACACCCATATTCTAGACCTATAAGTAGACTCCAGTCCCGCAATCCCCTAAGGTGAGTTACAGAGTATGATCTCTGAGGAGGCTGACTACATCCAGGAACAGGTAGGAAACTGGGGAACATGTGTGGGAATGGATATTAGGGGTGTGAAAGGAAAATAAATATTGGGATGCCAAACTCATTAAGCCGAAGGGAAAAGTTAAGCTGGTAACTGGGTCATGCAAACCTGCCTCCCCTTTTGCTTCCTAACTAAGATGGCTACAAGATGAAAATCTTCATGCCTCCCCCACATTTTGTCCATGAGGAAATTCCTAGTGAGCTCCAAGATCTTTACCCTAAGGTGTGTCTGTTAAAATTTCACCATGATAATGTCAATTGTCTTTACAGTGCAGTCACCCCCCTGCCCTCCAGACACAAATGCATATCTGATCGGTCCCCTGCCCCATTTTGTCTGTTATCTTATGTAAAAATGCAGATTCCAGCATTTTTCCTCTGCCCCATTTGTCTATGTCATCTTATGTAAAACAATGCAAATTCACTGAGCCAGACACATAAATGAATATTTTTCCCTACCCCACTCTCACATGAAAATTGTGTACCTCTCAATATCCTGCCCTTTCCTCTTTAAATTTGGAGCCCTCAAAATCATCTTTGAAGAAAGGCATAGACCTGTCTCCTGGGCATGCATCCTTAACTTTGGCAAATAAACCTCCTAAAATGATTGAGATTTGTCTCATCATTTTTCTCGATTGACAGGGGTATGAGACAATGGTGGAAGGAACATAAAGTTCCCCGTTTGTTGATACGGTCCCACAGAGCAGAGATTCTGCATTTAATGTTGTAGTTCAGGGAGTTACAAAAGGCTCTACCAGTTTGGTTTGTTGGCTGCAATCTGGATCAAAAGATGTCCCACTGTGAGTGAATTGGAAATGCCAGATATCCCTTGATTTAATGTAGAGGAAGGGATTCAAAGACTAAGGAAAATTAGAATGATGGAGTTAACTTATCATTTAGGAATTACTCATTCACACAGGGAAAGCCCAGAATACATACCTTTCGCCAATACTTAATGAAATGAATTTGTGACAAGAGACCTAGCTATTTTATGCTATGTTATGTTATGTTATGTTATGTTATGTTATGTTATGTTATGTTATGTTATGATGTAGCAGGATGAGCCGCAGACAAAACCTCTCAGACACCGAGTTGTAGAAGGAAGGGCTTTATTCAACTGGGAGCATCAGCAAGCTACTGCCTTAAAATCCGAGCTTCTTCGAGTGCACAATTTCCATCCCTTTTAAGGGCTCACAACACTAAAGATTTCATGTGAAAGGGTCGTGATTGATTGAGCAATCGAGGGGATACATGACAGGGGTTTCATGCACTGGTGGTCAGAGTGAAACAGAACAGAGCAGGGAGTTTCATAATATTCTTTTATACAATGCCTGAAATCTATGGGTAACATCGGGTTCTAAGTCATGAGTTGATTTTTAACTACTAGGTTTAGGCCGGGCAGGCCCAGGCCTGGTTTTGGGCCTGGTGCCAGGCTGCCTGTCTTTGATTTCACTTCCTTGTTTTTTTTCTTTTTTCTTTAAACAGGTACTGAGTATGAAACAATATAAAACAATATGAGAGGGTCTTTGTCTTCCCTCAATGAGATGGAGTCTCACTCTGTTGCCCAGGCTGGAGTGCAATGGCACAATCTCAGCTCACTGCAACCTCCACCTCTTGGGTTCAAGCGATTCTCTCACCTCAGCCTCCGGAGTAGCTGGGATTACAGATGCGTGCCAACATGCCCAGCTAATTTTTGTATTTTCTGTAGAAATGGGGTTTCACCCTGTTGGCCAGGCTGTTCTCAAACTCCTGACCTCAAGTGATCCACCCGCCTCGGCCTCCCAAAGTGCTGGGATTACAGGTGTGAGCTACCGCCCCCGGCCAAGCCTCTTTAATAATATATAATCCTTCTTTTCTTGGGAAGCCTGCGTACTACATAATGAAGTAGAAAGAAGTTGGGAGAATAGTAAGGAGGCATTTGTAAGAGTCCATGTGAGAAATCACAATAATTTGAATTACATAGAATAAGAAGAACTTTGGAAAGATGCTCTGAAAACAAGCAATAAGAAGATATTTCTGTAGAGAGGACCTGTGTGGCTTGAAGTCAATTGTGAGAGACAAGATGTTCACTGTACATAAGACGAACAGAGCGGTAAAGAGAGAGACTGGGCCCCTTCCAGCCTATGACTTAAGAGAGCTTCCATAAAGGTCTGCATGGTCTATGCTCATGACTTAAAACTAAGGGCCAGGAAAAGAGAGGAGAGGTAAAGACTCAAACTGAAGCAAAGGGCTCCTTGTTACAGTTTTGTGGGTGCAGTGACTCCCGAGGCAAAGTCCATATATAAGGATACAATGTGTTTGGGGGCATAGCCATTGGACCCTTTAAGTCATATTCTAGGCTACATAGCTTTTATGTCCAAAATGATCTGAGCTCCAGGACAGCTCTCTTATAGGAAACAATGCCAGATGAGGTCACTAGTGAAGGACTTGCTTTACCACAGGGAAATGGTACCATTTCTCTCAGGTCAATTAGGAGCTTTCAAAGAGAAATATAGATAGAGCTCCAATGTTTCAGGGCAGACAAAGTACAGTCAGGTGACATCTGCCATGCTGTGATGTAATACTGGCACTGTTGGTAAGATTATAATATTGACATCGAGAGCCAAATGTATTGTGAAATTCAGTTAAAAGTTTTCTGGCTCCCCCAGATATTAGTCATATAACAAGAATCGCAGTCAAAGAACAAGGGGTGGCTTGTTGCATAGTAATTAATTTGGCTGATCTTTTTCTCTGGGTCCTGAGAGGAGCCCTCTAAACCCTTGAAGTTTCCTATGATACAATTATATTTTGTTACTGATGGCGGGCCTGACAATATCTGAGCTTATGCTGTGGAGATGACACAGGATGGGGCCCATCACACCAGAAAGAACAACTGTGTGATTCAAGGGTTGGGCTTCGAAGCATGTGCTATCAGCCCAGCCTTCTGGGAGGAGAGAGAGGCTAGAGGCTGAGCTCAATAATGTGGCCAAAGATTCAATCCGTCATGTGTCCATAATGAAACCCTGATAAAAACTTTGGCCACGGAAGCTCAGGTGTGCTTTCCTGGGTAGTGATACACATCGATGCGCCAGGAGGGTGACTTGTCCTGAGGAAGCGGAAGTCATGTGTCTCAGGTCCTCCTAAACCTTACCCTAACGGTTTCTTTCTTTGGCTGGTCCTGATTTACATCCTTTATTATATAACTGTAATTATAACTACAGCTTTTTCCTGAGTAATGTGTTATTCTAGCAAAGTTGTGTATCCAATTTGAGTGGGTAGTGGGAATCTCCAGCTTTGTAGCCAGTTGGTCAGAAGTGTGTGTGTCCTGGAAGCCCCCTCCCCTGCTTGTAGCTGATGTCTGAAATGAGGGAGGCCCTTTTAAGGCCCTGTGCCCTTGACCTGTGAGGTTTGACCTAATTCTGTGTAGATAGCATGACAATTGCACTGCACAGGACAGATAACCACCCCAAAATCTAAAAAGAGAGGTACAAACAGACACTGCAACTGATAAAGCCTAGAGATGTGCTTCAGACAGCAGGAGCCTCTAGAGCTATTGGTCCAAACAATGAAATGACAATTTTAACAAACTGCTGGAGGAAGAGTTTCTTAGGAGGCTCCCTCCAGTAACCTCGCCATATTTTTATGGTAAGAATCCCCAAAAGATCCCTTCATGCCTTTGCAGAAGAAGGAAAGAGTGACCATTGTGAAATGTAACCAGAGCCTTCTCCAGGGGAAGGACTTTACCAGAGCTCCATTCTGATACTGTATCCAAGCTTGGGGAAAGGAATCCCCCCTCACTTCAGCTCTCTTTAGCCTTCTTTCATCACGTAGTGGCAGAAATAATCATCAACGGATAGAGTGCTTCATGGAGATATACTGGGAGCTCGGCAGCCAGGGAAAGGAGCTAGAAGGTGAACATGCTACTGGAGGAAAGGCAGACACAGCTGGGATAGCCACAGCCATGAGCTACTGGCTTAGGAAATGACCCACACTTCATTAGAAGGTTGGAGAATGCTTACTGTCTTCTATATCCTATCATCACTGTTATAAAGCTTGAGTTTAAAAGCAGTGACTACAGCTGTTTTCAGTGGAATGAACTGAAAGACACAGACTCACTATGAGGAGCAGTGCAGAGACAAGCTGTGAAGCCAGGCGAAGAGCCAAAACAAAGACACTAAAGGAATTTGGAACTTCTGATACTTATGGCTGCAACAAACATTAAACATAGCTTAACTCTTAACCAAATTAACATACATTCTCACATAAAGGCCTATGTACCTCAGTTGTTATTACCTAATGCAATATCTGTCTTTTAACAAAAAAATTACACAAGACACGTCAAAGGCAGGAAAAAACAGTCTGAAGAGAAAGCAATCATCAGAATCAAACTCAGATACGACACAGATGTTGGAGTACCAGAGACGGAATGTAAAAATAACTGTGATAAATATGTTAAGGGCTCTCATGAAAAAAGTAGACAATGTGCAAGAACAAATGGATAATATCAGCACTAAGATGGTAGCTTCTAAAAGCCCATGAGCCAAAGAAGAAATCTCAAAAAGTGTTTCAGAATAAATGAAAAGGAAAATATAACTCATCAAAACTTATGGGTTGTAGCTAAAGCAGTGCTTAGAAAATAATTTATAGCACTCAGTTTCTGTATGCATATATTACAAAGTAAGAATTAATAATATAAATAAATTACGCTTGCACCTTAGGAGCTTGAGAAAGAACAGCAATTTAAACCTGAAGAGAACACAGAAAAGAAATCCATGCAAATTAGAATATACATCAATAAAATTTTAAACAGGAAAACAATAGAAAAATTCAACAAAACCAAAAGCTAGGCTTTCACAAACGTAAATAAAATTGATAAACCTCTTCCCAGGCATGAGCGTACAAGATGAGAGAAAGAGAGAATACAAATTACCAATATCAGCAATGAAAGAAGAATCATTACTACTGATTATTGATACCGTGCACTTTTAAAAGATTCTAAGATTCTACAAGCAACTTTATCCTTGTAAATTTGATACCTTAAATAAAGTGGACCAATTCCTTAAAAGACACAAACTAATAAATTCATGCAAGGAAAAACAGACTAGCCCTATACATATTTTCTTTTTTTTTTTTTTTCTGAGATGGAGTCTTGCTCTTTCGCCCAGGCCAGAGTGCAGTGGCGCTACCTCGGCTCACTGCAAGCGTCACCTCCTGGGGTTCACGCCATTCTCCTGCCTCAGCCTCCCAAGTAGCTGGGACTACAGGCGCCTGCCACCGCGCCCGGCTAATTTTTTATATTTTTAGTAGAGACGGGGTTTCACCGTGTTAACCAGGATTGTCTTGATCTCCTGACCTTGTGATCCACCCACCTCGGCCTCCCAAAGTGCTGGGATTACAGGCATGAGCCACCGCGCCCGGCCGCCCTATACATATTTTCTAAAAATTAAATTAATAATAAAAACCTTCCAAAAAAGCAACAGGCTCAAGCTCAGATGATTACACTGGTGAATTATACCAGTGAAAAAATTATTCTCCATATTTTTTTTCCAGAAAAGAGAAGCAGAGGAAAAACCTCCCAACTCATTTTATGATATCATCATTACTCTAATCCCAAAACCAGATAAAGACATTACAACATTGAAAAGAAACTATAGATCAGTATCTCTTATGAACCTAGACACAAAAGCTTCCACCAAACATTAGCAAGTCAAATCCAGTAATGTAGAAAAAGGATAATACATCACAACAAAATGGAGTCCGTTTCTGAATATAAGGATTCAATATTTTAAAATACATCATTGTACTTTATCATATTAATATTAATAGACTAAGAAAAACAACACAATTGTATCAGTAGAAGCAGAAGAAGCATTAAACAGAATTCAAGACCTGTTCATGATAGAAACTCCACAAAGTAATGTGAACTATGGATTTTGAGTGATAATAATGTGTCAGTGTATGTTTATAGTTTATAACAAATGTACCACTCTGGTGTGGGGGGTTGACAGTGGACGGGACTGTGTGTGAGTAGGGTGTATAGGGGGACTTTGTGTGGGTAGGGTGTATATGGGGACTGTGTGTGGGTAGGGTGTATATGGGAACTGCGTGTACTTTCTGCTCAATTTTGCTGTGAACCTAAAACTGCTTTAAAAAAAAAAATAAAGCCAGCCAGCTGCGATGGCTTATGCCTGTAATCTCAGCACTTTGGGAGGCCGAGGTGAGCAGATCGTGAGGTTGGGAGATCGAGACCATCCTGGTTAACATGGTGAAACCCCATCTCTACTAAAAATACAAAAAATTAGCCAGGCGTGGTGGCACTCACCTGTAGTCCCAGCTACTTGGGAGGCTGAGGCAGGAAAATCATTTGAACCGGGGAGGCAGAGGTTGCAGTGAGCTCAGATCACGCCACTGCACTCCAGCCTGGGTGACAGAGCGAGACTCTATCTCAAAATAAATAAATAAACAAATAAATAAATAAAGCCTATTTTATAAAAAAGAAAAATTCAGCCGGGCACGGTGGCTCACGCCTGTAATCCCAGCACTTTTTTGGGAGGCCGAGGTGGGTGGATCATGAGGTCAGGAGATCCAGACCATCCTGACTAACATGAGTGAAAGAATGGAGTGGTATATAATGTAGCAGAGTTGATAATTTAAGGCTAATTCACTATATATCTCCAAGCAAATAGATTTGTAATGCTTTTCCTGCCTAAAATCTGTACAGCTGATTCACAAATACTTGGTTGACAGGTTTTATATATCAGTGTGGCTCATCAGCTTGTATGTTGTTGGGGCCAGAATCTATACTTACACTTCATTCAAATTTGATTTTACAGAAGAGTTGTGGTTTTTATTTTTCTTTTAATTAAGAGGGCTGTGAAATTATCAACTATAACTCTAAATCTCATTTAATTCCTCCCATTAGGATTCAAGATGGATTGGCATCAAAGTTCACTTCTTTAACAAAAGTGCTTTATGACCTTAATAAAATATTAGAGAATGGTAGGATCCATGGAAGCCCTTTACAAAAACTTGTGATAGAAAGTTTTGATGATAAGCAGACTTTGCAACAACTGGAATTGCAAAATGACCCAATTTTACAAAGCTTCCAGAATGCAGTTAGTGAAACAAAGATGAAGATATCAGTATCCCAGAGAGTGAAGAACAGGAGCATGAAGAGGATGGTTCAGAGACAGAGGCTGATGGCCAGGAGGACCTAGAAGATTTAGAGGAGGAGGAGGAAGTGTCAGATATGGGTGGTGACAATCCTGAAGTGAGTGAGAGAGCAAACTCAAGCAAATTCGATCCGACGAAAAGCCCAGTTCTCAGTGATGAGGATTCTGACCTTGACTTTCATATCAACAAATTGGAACAGCAGAGCAAGGTGCGAAACAAAGGACACGGGAAACCAAGAGAAAAGTCCATAGCAGACGAGAAATTCTTCCAACTCTCTGAAATGGAGGCCTATTTAGAAAACAGAAAAAGAAGAGGAACGAAAAGATGGTAATGATGATGACGTAGAAGATACTGATTTTTTTAAGATATTGATTCTGATGAAGATGAAGGGGCACTGTTTAGAAGTAAAAAAACTTAAGGTAAAATTTTGAGAGAGGAGAGAGCACTTTCCTCCTCCTCAAATTACCTTTTGTTCTGTTTTTCTAGGACAGATGTAATTGTAGTTAGAAGATTTGGATCTAAGAAATATTGTGCTCTATCTTATCAGTTATAAATGAATCTGTACTTCCATTCAGTTTCTGTTCCAGTTGTTCTTATAATAGTTTTATGGTAATGTTTTTAGTTGCTGATTTCACCTAATAACTATTTTTGGCTTGTAGTGTTATTAAGTTAGAAAGTAACGTAGACATACAGTATACACACAAATATATATGTGTGTGCTAACGATGTATTTTTCTCTTCCTAATTAATAGTTTTAAAAATCTTTTTATTTTAGTCAGGTAAAAGTTCCAGAAATGTGAAGGACAAAGACTTTTTTTGATCCAGTTGAAAGTGATGAAGACATAGCAAGTGATGATGATGATGATCTGGGTTCAAACAAGCTGATGAAATTGCTGAAGAAGCAGCAGAAGAACTAAGCATTTCTGAAATGTAAGTATTTGAACCATCCTTTATATTGTGAGCTGGAACTGTCCAATCATGTATTGGTACTTGTGGTTTTCACATATGTTTGTTTTAAGAAGTTAGATTCTCTCCTATCAGATATTCTCAAGATAGCCACAGGAAAGTCTGTGTATTTAAAGGGACATTAGAGATCATTTAATGAAGAAAAATATTACTGGCAATGGCAATCAAACCTTTCTGACCAGGAACTTTGATTTGGTTTTGTGCCCCAAAAATCCTGTTATTTCTGTGAGATTGAACAATTTATTTTCTATATATTGGACACTTTTTGTTCTGTTTCTTACATAGCATTTCACTTAAATGATACCTTCTGTTCCTTAATACCTGAATGATTTTGGAACTTCTGAGTATTTGGTTGCATTAGGCATATAAAAGAAGAACTTTATTAAGGGAAATATGTTTCCTTTTGTTTTTCTAATGGAAAGCAGTATATTTCTTTTTATAAGAATTTTGTAGTGTAGGGATGAAGATGATGACCTGGAAGAAAGTGAAGACAGTAAACAATGTAAAGAAAGCTTGAAAAGAGTGACCTTCACTTTGCCAGATGATGAGGCAATTGAAGATGCAGGTGTTTCACATGTAAAGAAAAATTCTGATGAAGTTAAATCCTCTTTTAAAAAAAGACAGGAAAAGGTAATTAGGAATTTAAGGAATTTTTAATATGCTTGACATGATTGTGGAACTCACAGACTACTAACAAATCTTCCCTATTTTTCTTTTTTTTTTCTTGAGATAGAGTCTTGCTCTGTCACCCAGGCTGGAGTGCAATGGCATGATCTCAGCTCACTGCAGCCTCCACCTCCCGGGTTCAAGTGATTCTGCCTCAGCCTCCTGAGTAGCTGAGATTAGAGGTGCATGACACCATGCCTGGCTAATTTTTGTATTTTTAGAAGACATGGGGTTTCACCGTGTTGGGCAGGCTGGTCTCGAACTCCTGACCTCAGGTGATCCTCCTGCCTCAGCCTCCCAAAGTGCTGAGGTTACAGGCATGAGCCACTGTGCCCCAGCCTTCCTATTTTTCTTGTTGTAACTATTAACCATCCTTTGCAAACAAATATCTTGGCCAGGTGCAGTGGCTTATGCCTGTAATCCTAAAACTTTGGTTGTCTGATGCAGGAGGATCGCTTGAGCTCAGGAGTTCAAGATCAGCCTGGGTGACATAGTGAGATCTTGTCTCTTCAAAAAATACAAAAATTAGTGGGGGCATAGTGGTGTATGCCTGTAGTCCAGCTACTCAGGTGGCTGAGGCAGGAGGATCACTTGAGCCCAGGAGGTTGATGTTGCAGTGAGCTATGATCACATCACTGCTCTCCAGCTTGGGCGGTGGAGCAAGATCCTGTCTTCAAACAAACAAACAAAACCAAAAATCTTGCTGCCACTCTCTAAAGCAAAAGCACACTATATGGAGATGCCATATGGAAAACATCTGATTTGCAAAAATCAGTGCCTGCATTACCCAGCCTATAGCTTTCAATTTGGGGCCTGTGTGTAAAATGGTTGTTTCTTTTCTGTCTCCCTTATGTCTTTATATGCATAGCATGTCTCTTCTGACAAAGCTGTCCCGACAGCCTCTTCTTGTAACTGTTTTGACTGCTCCGGAGGATGCCGCCTATGTCTTTAAGGTGCTCCACAGATTTTGGTGAGTGCCAAATAGCCGTAATTTTAATTAATACCATGACAAAGATATCTTCCAAAGTATGTCATGATTTCAGACAAGTGAAATTTCATTTAATTTTTGTAGATGTAGTCTGGCTCCAATAATTGGGCTATATTATTTATCCAATCTTAAAATTTTATTATAAAAATGAGAATAGTGCCAGGTACAGTAGCTCACACTTGTAATCCCAGCACTTTGGGAGGCTCAGAAGGGAGGATTGCTTGAGCCCAGGAGTTCGAGACCAGCCTGGGCAACATGTTGAAACCCCATCTCCACTAAAAATATAAAAAATTAGCTGGGTGTGGTAGCGTGAGCCTATAGTCTCTGCTACTCAAGAGGCTGATCGGGTATGATCGCTTGAGTCCAGGAGTTCAAGGCTGCAGTGAGCTATGATTGGACTATGGCACTCCAGCCTGGGCAACAGAGCTGCAGAATAGGTAAATAAATGATACCAAGAATATCAAAAGAATTATTTTTAAAATCTGTGAATCTAAATTAAATTCATCATTGTCAGATTGTCCCCAGAAGATAAATTCTAAAGGGAAAAAACAAAACATAAAATATCAACGAGTTAATGTCCTCCTGTCCCGCTCCTCCCACCCTCCCCCAACAAGAAAGAAAAAAAGGTTTGGTTTTGCTTTGAAATTATATCAGACCTTCAAGTAAAATTTTCAATAAATCACAAATAATTTATTGAAATTTCCACATATAAAGAATAAAGTAGAACTTTCAAACTTTTTTCTTTTGAAACTGTTCGAACATGAAAACCCAAACCTGACAAAGGTACCTGACAAAGGTAACATTAAAACACACACACTCTCTCATTCATGGCTAGTGATGCAAACATAGCACAGTGGGAAAATTATGCCGCACAATCACATGAAGCTCATTCCCTTGAATCACTACTAGAAGATCTGGTATGATTCCTGGTTGCAAGACATTAAGAAGAAAATACATGGTTCCCTCCATATATGTTAGAAAGACATTTGATAAAATTCAATATTTATTTCTAATTTTTTTTACTCCTAGTGGATTATAAATACATCTAGCCAAAAGCTGCCATCATGCATGATGAGTGAAACTGTAGAAACATCCCTTTAAGATCAGGAATAAGACAAAATGTCCAGTATTGCAGTTATCCCTGTTAATTAACACTAACAGTTAATAACCACATAAGCCAGTGCAACTACAAAAGATAAAGAGAAGGGATTAGGAAAACTGCCAGGAGCAGTGGTTCTCACCTGCAATCCCAGCACTTTGGGAGCTCAGGAGCTCTCAGCACTTGAGCTCAGGAGTTTGAGACCAGCCTGGGCAACGTAGTGAGACCTCATCTCTGCAAAAAATACAAAATTAGCTGGGTGTGGTTACATGCACCTGTGGTCCCAGCTACTTGGGAGACTGAGGTAAAAGGACTGCTTGAGCCTGGGAGTCGGAGGTTGCAATGAGCTGAGATCATGCAACTGTACTCCAGAGCAAGACTCTGTCTCAAAAGAAAAAAAAAAAAAAAAAAAGATTAGGGATACTAAAACGAAAACATTAGTGTTTGGAGAGAAAACCGAATGGATAAATGGAATCGATATTAGGAAAATAAGAGAATTCTGTAAGGTAGCTGAAAAAGCTGACATTTTATACATTGAAGTCATAATTGTTCATAACTTTTAGAAGTTAGAGATAATAAGAATTTGAGTTTAGAGTCAAAAGGGTCAGGCTCCATCAAATACTAATATCCTAATCAAAGAATTACTTGGCCAGGTGCGGCGGCTCATGCCTGTAATCCCAGCACTTTGGGAGGCCGAGGTGGACACATGACGAGGTCAGGAGATCGAGACCATCCTGGCTAACACAGTGAAACCCCGTCTCTTCTGAAAATAGAAAAAATTAGCCGGGCGAGGTGGCGGGTGCCTGTAGTCCCAGCTACTCGGGAGGCTGAGGCAGGAGAATGGTGTGAACCCAGGAGGTGGAGCTTTCAGTGAGCCGAAATCACGCCACTGCACTCCAGCCTGGGCAACAGAGCGAGAGACTTTGTCTCGAAAAGAAAAAAAAGAATTATTTAACTTAACTTTAGGGTGCTCTAATAATCAAAATTGATAGTGGCTTGTGAACAGATAGATCACTTGAATAGAATAGAGCCCAGAAATAAACCCAAATGCTTCTGGGGGAGTTTAGTATATTATAAACATGGCATTTCAAATCAATGAGGAAAAGAAATCATTTGCAGCTCACCCCACCATAGGCAGCAGGAATAGGAAGTCATTGGCAGAATAAAAAGATGGTAAGGACAGAATTGTAGAACAGTACATTTCTTGCTTCCCCACTTTTCAAAGTATTTTTTGCTTTTACACAAGTATAAGTGTAATTTTATTTTCTCAATGTATACTAATTCTTTTGTCTCTTTCTTAGATGAATGAAAAAAATTACACCTTTAGAAAAAGAGTTGTTATAAAAAAGCCTTGGTTGCGTCTGGGGGAAGTGACAGCACAGAAGAGACCAGAGAATAGCCTGCTGGAGGAGACCCTGCACTTTGACCATGCTGTCCGGATGGGTACGGTGCCCTCTTCTGCAAAGTTTTTCTATGGTTCCATTTTGTAGGAAGATTTGGGGTGATGTTTCTTTTCCCTCAACTTTTTATTTTAAAAACTTGCAAACACAGAAAAGTTGATAAAATAATACAGTGAACATCAGTATGCTATTCAACTGGATTCACCAATTAACATTTTATCATATTTGTTTTGTCTCCCCTGCATATGGAAGATTGTATATGTGCCCTTTTCCCCCCTGAATCATTTCAAAGTAAGTTGCCAGTATCAGCATTTCAGTGTTAAGTACTTTCGCAGATATCTTCTAGGAACCAGGACGTTCTCCTATATAATCACAATACCATTAATCCCACCCCAAAAATTTAACATCAATACACTAATGATACCTACTGTATAGATTATAATCAGCTTTCTTGCAGTAATCTGTTTAGAAGGCTTGCACCCTGTCACCATCCACTGATTAAATTTTGAACTCTAACTTGAAACCCTGCTCATCTCATTGCCTTCTTTCTTATACCCATTAAGTCAAAAAGAGCTCTCATTTTATTTCAACGGAAAAGAGAATGGAAAAGAGGGGAAGGTACCTGGGATAAAGTATGAGCACTTACTGCCATATGTATTCTAGTTCTGTAGTTTTCAAACTTCAGGGAGCATCTCAAGGCTTATTAAAGGACAGACAGCTGTCCCTCTTCCCCACTTTCTGATTCAGGAGGTGTGGGGCTGGCCCAGGAATTTGCATGTCTAACAAGTTCCCACGTGTTGCTGATGCTGAGGGTCTAAGGACTACAATGGGAGAATCCGTGGTTTAGTGGATATCCACCTAAAGAATACTTGTTGTATTTCCTTTAGTGCCTGTGATTACAGAGGAAATACCTTTCAACTGGAAGATATCATTAAACACAGGAAAAGAGATCAGGTCAGTAAGAATTAAATTTAACTTAATTGAAATGTCACTGAAATTTTTAGAAATAATATGACAGGCCAGGCACAGTGGCTCATGCCTGTAATCCCAGCACTTTGGGAGGCCAAGGCGGACAGATCTCTTGAGGTCAAGAGTTTGAGACCAGGCTGTCCAAGATGGTAAACCCCGCTCTCTACTAAAAATACAAAAATTAGCTGGGCATGGTAGTGCATGCCTGTAGTCCCAGCTACTTGGGAGGCTGAGGCAGGGGAATTGCTTGAACTCGGGAGATGGAGGTTGCAGTGAGCTGAGATGCGCCACTGCACTCTGAGACTCTATCTCAAAATAAATAAATAAATAAATAAATAAATAAATAAATAAATAAATAAATAAAAATAAAAAATAAAGGGAAGATGGGGCAGCTTTGTGTAGTGCACTTCCCGAAAATGGGCTGATTTCCCTCAAGAGGCAGGGATTGAAGCTCTCTAGCCTACATGGGATACATACAGGAGAAAAAAGAAGAAAAAGAAAAGAAATGTAAACATAAATAAATGAAAATAACACTTCTCCCTGATTATAAAGGAAATCACATTCTTTTTGTAATAATTTGGATGACAAAATATAAAGAAAAATCTTTAATTTTGCCACTCAAAACATTCTGGTTTGTTGCTTTTTACACTTTTTATGCATATAAACATATTTAAAAGTAGAATCTGCCATGTTGAGACTGTGAGGTTGAAGCCTTCGGGAAAGAACATCAAGATGAATGGAGTCTGAGTTCCTGACAACATGGAGCATCATGCCAGCCATGAACCACTTCTGAGACATCCCTATGAGACAAAAATAAACTTCCATGTTCTTTAATTTATCATTTTGGAGGGTTTTCTGTTATTGCCGCAAAACCTAATCTTAACTAATACAGACATTGTATCTGAAATTCCCAGGAAAATCCCTGTAAACGTGTTGCTTGCCACGAATAACTGGCCTCTACCAGTATCACATTCCAGATGAGCAGAACAGGGAAAGGATTGGAAGACAAGAGAGGGGAGGAACACACCTCGCTCTCTCCTGCTATTGGCTGTGCCTGGCTGCAAGCTAGAAATGCTGGGTCCATTGCAAATGGCCACACATCTAAGGCCCTACCACCATGGGAACAGCCACTGGGAGATAACTAGCAGCTTTTACCATTTGTCATTTAATTATTTTAAAGTTAGAAACTTTTTCTTTTTGAATGTCTGAAAGAGAATGGCCTGAGAAATATTTTGGAAAAGTTAAATAAAGCTGATTTGTGACTGTTAAAAAAAATAAAAGTACAATCATAGTAAATGGGCTTTTGTCACTTATTATATTTTAAACATGTTTCTAGGGCAGAAGTATATCCTGGCATCATCATTTTTAATAGCTGGATTATGTTAAGTGAATCATTGCCACCCCAGAGGTGAATTTCCTCTATATACATTTTAATGGACTCCAGTAAGGATTTTTGCACTGAATTCATAGAAGTAGAATTTCTAGAGGAAAATAATGTAAAACTGTTTTAGGATTTTTAAAAGAAATGTTCAAATTATCCTGTAGGAAAATTGGTTCAGTTTATGCTCCCACCAACAGGGACAGAGCTCCAGGTTCCCCCTTCCATTTGTCATCTTTGCTGGTCTTTAAGCAGAAAATCTCATTGTTTTCATTACATTTCTTTGATTTCTAGTGCTTTTGAATCTTTTTCGTTTGCTCATTGGCCATTTTTATTCTTGTGGGAAGTGCCGGTTTCTCCATTGCCCATTTTCTGCTGGAAATCATTCATTTTTTTAATGAGTAATTTTAAATTTTTCTTTTTAGGCTAAGGATAAGTCAGGATCAGTCAGTTCAAGACTAGACTGATCAACATGGAGAAACCCCGTCTCTACTAAAAAGACAAAATTAGCTGGGTGTGGTGGCACATGCCTATAATCCCAGCTACTCAGGACTCTGAGGCAGGAGAATTGCTTGAATCCAGGAGGTGGAGGTTGTGGTGAGCCGAGATTGCACCATTGCACTCCAGCCAGGGCAACAAGAGCCAAACTCTGCAAGAAAGAAAAAGCAAGAAAGCAAGAAAAGCAAGAAAGCAAGAAAGCAAGAAAGCATGAAAGCAAGAAAGCAAGGGAAGCACGGGAAGCAAGGGAGAAAGGAAATAAAGGGAAGAAAGAAAGGAAGAAGGAAGGAAGGAAGGAAGGAAGGACAGAAAGAAAGAAAGAAAGAAAGAAAGAAAGAAAGAAAGAAAGAAAGAAGAAAGAAAGAAAGAGAAAACAAAGAAAAAACAAATGAGACCATGGGCTTGGAAATGCCTTGAGAACATGTCAGGTGTGATTGAGAGTGAGGGAGTGTTACTGTGGAGTATCAGTGTAGCTGTTGTTCTGGTCGTCCAGCTACTCCTCTGCCTGCTCTATCCTGACTTAACCTTTCTCTATTTGCAGTACATCGAGAAATTAACAAAGGAGAGGGACGCTCCGAGTCTGGAACTGTACAGGAACACGTAGGATGGGGGAAGGTGGAATGGGAGGTCTGGGGGCCCTTAGAGTGGGTGGTGTGCTGGGAGGTGGGGGGTACAGGTGAGCATGGTGAGAGGCTTCTACAGGTTTTCATGTGTGCACAGGGAAGCTCTAGTGCCGGCGGTGCCACTGACTCATGGGGAAGCCTCAGGCAACTCATGTCTTCTCTCTGGCCTGCCACCTGTGACTTTTAATTCCTGGGGTCCTTTCCAATGCCACCGTTCTGTGGTTGTGTGGTGAAAGTAGAGGGTTGATCACCAAAGCGGTCCTTTCTATTCTTTGTTCATTCCTTTCTCTACTGCCTCTGGCCACAGCATAACCGATGAGGAGTTGAAGGAGAAAAATGCCGAACTACAAGAAAAACTTCGACTTGTAGAATCTGAAAAGTCTGAGATCCAGCTCAACGTAAAGGACCTTAAAAGGAAGCTGGAAAGGGCCCAGCTCCTGCTGCCACAGGCGAGCAGCTGCAGCCCCGGGGGTTGTGGGAGCCCCATCCGGCTGGGGCCATGGTCTAGGGATCATGTAGGGTGTGGGGAGGCTCCAGCCAAGAGCTGGAAAATTTGGGTCCTTGTTCTGGTCCCACCATAGAATCCTCTGGAGTGTGCTAAAAATATACAAATTGGGGCCCTGCCTGGGGAATCAGAATCTCAGAGTTTGGGCTTAAAAAAATATTTTTCAAAGGATCATAGATGAAAACCATTATTTTATAGATTACATTTATATGGCTAGCTCATGAGTCTGTTTCCTTCTGAGGTTTGAACCAACACTTTCACTATTCCAGCAGCAGCTGCAGGTGGAGGCTGACCGCCTGGGTAAGGAGCTACAGAGTGTGTCAGCAAAGCTCCAAGCCCAGGTGGAAGAGAACGAGTTGTGGAACCTCCTGAACCAGCAACAAGAGGAGAAGATGTGGAGGCAGGAGGAGAAGATACAGGAGCAGGAAGAGAAGATGTGTGAGCAGGAGCTGAAGATAAGGGAGCAGGAGGAGAAGATGTGGAGGCAGGAGGAGAAGATGCATGAGCAGGAAGAGAAGATACGGGAGCAGGAGGACAAGATGTGGAGGCAGGAGGAGAAGATACGGGAGCAGGAAGAGAAGATACGGGAGCAGGAGGAGAAGATGTGGAGGCAGGAGGAGAAGATACGGGAGCAGGATGAGAAGATACAGGAGCAGGAGGAGGAGATGTGGAGGCAGGAGGAGAAGATACGGGAGCAGGAGGAGAAGAGGCAGGAGAAGATGTGGAGGCAGGAGAAGAAGATGCGCGAGCAGGATGAGAAGATACGGGAGCAGGAGGAGGAGATGTGGAGGCAGGAGGAGAAGATACGGGAGCTGGAGGAGATGATGCAAGATCAGGAGGAGAAGCTGCGGGAGGTGGAGGAGAAAATGCAGGAGGAGGAGGAAAAGATGCAGGAGCAGGAGGAGAAGATACAGAGGCAGGAGGAGAAGATCCAGGAGCAGGAGGAGAAGACGTGGAGGCAGGAGAAGCTGCTCAAGCAGGAAGAGAAGATATGGGAGCAGGAGGAGAAGATGTGGAGGCAGGAGGAGAAGATGTGGGAACAGGAGGAGAAGATGCAGGAACAGGAGGAGAAGATGCAGAGGCAGGAGGAGAAGATGCGGGAGCAGGAAGTGAGGCTGTGGCAGCAGGAGGAGAAGATGCAGGAACAGGAGGTGAGGCTGCAGGAGCTGGAGGAGAGGCTGGGGAAGCTGGGGCAGAAGGCGGAGCTCTTGGGGGGAGCAGGCAGAGGTGTGTGCAAACCCTGGAGATCATACAGAACGACCTCACCACAACTTAGCAGATGGTGGTTGGCTCCCTCTGCTTTTCCACCAGTCTGCGGCCTACAGTTTAAGTGGTGGGAAGAAGGGTGTGAGATTTGAGGCTGGGGAGGGAGGCATGGGCCTCTAGGCAAGGGAGGCAGTCACTTAGGCCTGGAGGAAGGGGCCAGGGCCAGGGGCCTGAGCAGGCGACAGAGCCCCGCAGTGCCCTTGCCACCCTGTTTATGGGCCCAGAATCTGGAAGCCAGCGACTACCTACCCTGACGCCTATCCTGCAGGTGGAGCTGAAGAGCCAAGAGGCTCAGAGTCTGCAGCAGCAGCAAGACCACTACCGGGGTCACCTGCAGCAGTACGTGGCCGCCTATCAGCAGCTGGCCTCTGGGAAGGAGGCACTGCCCAGCTGCAGCAGCAGGAAGCTCAGGGCGAAGCGGTGGCTGAGATGGCCCACCAATAGTTGCAGGAGACCCAGCTGAGGGAGTTGATGAGGGTGGGGCCCTGAGGGGGACGACCTGGCAAACTCGGTGCCTTCTCACTCTCTTTCCTGGCCCCTTAGGAGCACCTGGAAGCTGCCATCTACCAAGCAGATGACAAGAACACAAATATAATAAACATGTAAAAGCCGGCAGCAAGGCCTGGAGAAGAGTAAGCTGCCATGTGACTGTTTAGAATAGAGTCTGAGCACAAACCTGAAAAAAAAAAAAAGAAAATTTATTTATTTTAAATTTTGGCAAAATACTGGCCAGGCACGGTGGCTCATGCCTGTAATCCCAGCAATTTGGGAGGCTGAGGTGAATGGATGACCTGAGGTCAGGAGTTCAAGGCCAGCCTGGCCAATACAAAAATTAGCCGGGCATGGTGGCACATGCCTGTAATCCCAACTACTTGGGAGGCTGAGGCAGGAGAATCGCTTGAACCTGGGAGGCAGAGGTTGCAGTGAGCTGAGATCGTGCCACTGCACTCAAGCCTGGGTGACAGAGTGAGACTCTGTCTCAAAAAAAAAAAAAAAGTTTCTTCCTTACATGTATGTTTCTATTAGTTTTTTTCTTGGTCTTTCTCATTTAGTCTGATGTTGTCTTATGGCATTCCTAGTAAAGTTTTATCTGCCTCCAGAGAGTATTGACTTTGACTTTATGGCACACAATTGGAGTAAGGGCAGATCGCCTTCATCTAGTTTGTGACTAAGCTAGTTCAAAGCAGGTTTTAGGTTTTGTGACGGCTGGTCTATATTTTATTCATTTGGACTCCTAGGGGTGGCCCTTCCAGGGTCCCCACCAATGTCCCATCTCCTTCCTGGGACCCAAATTCTCATTAGGTCATTTCAGCCCTGTGAGAGTGCCAACATTCAGCTAGGCTCTCCAGCCCCTTAACTACCACTTCATATTCAGTTTCTTAGCCTCTTAGCCCTCTACTGTTGACCGATCACCAAATGTGGGAAAAGCACTACAGACTGTCAGGATCACCTCCCAGGCCTGGTCACTCAAGTGCTGGCTGAGGTCTCCAATTACCTTCCAACAATTGTTTTTGGTGGTGGGGCACATTTTTGTCCAGTTTTTCTAACTGTTCCTATGGGGAGGCGAATCTGTAACAAGCTCCTCTGCCTTTAGTGAAAGTTGAAAACCTTCATCTGTCTCTCTCTCTTTTTTTTTTTTTTTTTTTGAGATGGAGTCTTGGTCTGTTGCCCAGGCTCTAGTGCAGTGGCATGATCTCTGCTCACTGTAACCTCTGCCTCCTGGGTTCAAGCAATTCTCCTGCCTCAGCTTCCCGAGTAGCTGGGATTACAGGCGTGTGCCACCATGCCTGGCTAATTTTTATTTTTTAAATAGAGACAGGATTTCACCACATTTTCCAGGCTGGTCTCGAGCTCCTGACTCAGGTGAGCTACCTGCCTCAGCCTCCCAAAGTGCTGGGATTACAGACGTGAGCCATTGCATCCGGCCCATCTGTCTTTTAAGAAATGTATTTAATTTGAGGTATAATTTATATTCAGTGAAATGCACAGATCTGGTTTCCATTTTGATCAGTTTCAACAAATGCATTACCCATGTAACCCACCTCCTTTGAAGATATAGAGTATTTCTATCATCCAGAAAGTTCTCCTACGCTTTCATCCTGTCTGGCACTCCCCCAGCAGCTGAAGAACGTGCTGAGGACATTGGTACAGGATTCTGGCCTCCCCAGAAGAGCTGCTTTGACAAGCCTTCTTGCCTTACCCAGCACTAAATCCCTGCCTACTCTCTCAAAATTTCCATCTTTTAACTGGTTGTACGTATAACCCTCCCTCATCAAGTCAATAGATAAACAAACCCTGAAAAATAAACACCCCTTCCTGGCCCAGCAGCCCACAGCCTAATATTTACTGTCTTCCCGGGCTTTCAGAAATGCAACTCGCCTGCCGGTTCACCCTAACTAGGGCGGCAGCTGCACGGGAGCTGCTGGGCTCACCCGTTAAGCAAGAAGCCAATAGCTGGACAGTGACACTCAGACCCCAGCCTGGGTGAGCCTGGTTGAAAGCCCCCTTCTTTCCCGTCCGACTGTGGAGAAAGGGGGCGGAGCACACACAACTCTACTGCCCTCCGCATCCTTCAGCTGTGCTTCCTCCTGGGAGAGGGAGCTACTCATTAATTCGGCCAAAACCTTCTTGAGGGCTGTAGGTTTCACAGGCTGGGTGTGTGGGGGCCACCATGCTAGAGAGAGAGGCTGGTGTGTCAGAAGGCAGCCACCTGGCCAGGGGAGGGTCAACCTGCTTGGTGACCTCCTTCCCCCGGCTGGACACAGCGCCCTGCACTCTCTACATGTGACTGTTCCCCTCAGAGCTGCTTCCAGAGGAGAGGTTCTAACCCTGTGGGTGGGGACATTGTGTTACTTTACAGTGGGCCATGGCTCCCTCTGACATCTCCAACTCAGAGGCAGTAGAGAGAAGATGAGAAACTCCATGCACCTCCTCGCTCAGCACCCCCACCTCTGCACACGTCCACATATGGAGACCCTGACGATGGGCCCTGGGAGTGCCGCCATCTGCGCCTCCTTTCCATGCCTGCAGCAGCCATGCCCACTCTCCAGACCCTCACCCGCCTCGCTCAGTAGACGCTGCACTGCCTGTGGTCCTGCCCCTACACCTGGGCCTCTGTACCCATCGGTTCTCGCAGTCTGGTTCTTATTCCTCGCAAAGAGTAGGGAGCCTGTAAGGTCACCTGTTGAGCAAGCTGGGGGAGAGAGTAGGGTGGGGCTGGGAGGATGAGGAGGAGAAGCTCATGGTCGTGCTGGAGACTCAGCTGAGCAGAGTCTCTGCAGGCCCATTGGCTGCCTAGCCAGTGGTGATCCTGCTCCCACCCTCATTTCTTCTTTGTTAACAAAACCATGACCTCATTAAATATTGGACACCTATAAACCTCATGGACCCTCCTCCAGCCTCCCCGCCATGTATTGGTGAGTCTAAGTCAACTCTAGTCATTTCATTCCTCTGGACATTGAGTGCTTTGGGCTTGGGCATGAGCTGCCTCTTCGCCTGAGCCTGAGCCACAGGTGCCCTCTGCACCTACCACACTGATGCACTGGGCCAGGGAGAGCTCCATCTCGATGGAGATGAGCTGTGAGGAGCTGGCGGCTGGGCGGATCAGGTTGTGGTAACGGGTTTTGTTCAGAAGGTCGTCCATCAGCTTCTGCTCGGCAGGGCCATGCGGCAGAACCCTGCGTAAACACACAGACCTGCTTGGTCCTTGTGCAGCTGTCCCCCACTGCAGCTGACAGCTATGAAGCAGGAGCTGAGAGGGCCAGGGAGCACAGACACCCTGAGAGCTGGCTGAAGCAGTGAAGGTGCTGGCCGGCCTGGCTTTCCCTGGGGACTTCAAATGACATTCATGACAGAGCTCAGCTACCTCCTCCCATGCCATACCTCTTCCTCCTCCTCCTCCCTCCGTCAATGAACAGCATCCCACGCTCTACACATCTGATACAAAACTGGGTGTCTCTTCCTGACTCCTCCCTTGGTTCATATAAGTGGCCACCAAGTCCTGTCTGTCCTCCCATCTCCACGGCTACAGCCATGTCCCTGCCTCCCCCGCCCTGCCCACCTTCTGTTCTCTCCACCTGCACTCTGCCCCTGCCATCCATGTGCCATACAGTGGCAGACTGGTCTTTCTACAGCAAACTGGACTTGGGCCCTTCCCTACCCACAGCTCTCAGAGCTGGAGGTGGAGTTGAAACTCATGTTTTGGCTTGGCATTCAGAGCTCTTTCCCCCTCAGCTCTGGCTTATCCAGAGTGCTCACAGTGCAGGGCAGGAGCCCCATCACTCAAGTGTGGGTTTGGTGCAGAACTGGGTCAGAGGTGGTGCTTTCCCTATGAAGAGACAGGGCTGAGATGGGATATTCGGGGTTCAGAGTCAGATCTATGGAGTGCAAGGTTTCTCTGAGGCACCAAATGGAGGGGTCCAGCTAGCAGCTGGCTCCTGGTCTGGAGCTTCAAGGAGAGGTCTCAGCTCAGAGCCACATTCAATAGCCAGCTTATATGCAGCCTCCTGCAGGGAGCCCCTGGAGCTTCCACAGCCTCCGATCTGCCCCTCTGCATACCCCAGATCTCCTGCTAAGTGGCGTTTGGGTCTTCATGTCATCTCCCTCCCATGTCTGGGAGTAAAGGTGAGGTGCAGGGACTTGCGCTTGTGTACTCTGGTGTCTTAAGGGAGAGTGTGTCAAGTAGAGTGGAGGCAGCTTGGAAAGAGGGAGACTCAGAGGAGAGTGAAGGACACATGACCAGGCGAGCCTGGGAGCAGGAAAAGAGTGAGCAGAGGAAACTGCTGGGTCAGGGGAGCGGATGGGAGGATCAGGGAATGCGGGGGGCTGGAGAGGTGGGTGTGGGGATGCTGGCAAGGGGCTGCCTGGCTCGCCAGGCTCAGGAGTTTTTACATCCTCCCACAATGGCCAGCTCACCTGGTCGCTCCAAAGCCCTCCCTCTGTGGGTGGGACCAGAGGGCCCAGAGCACGGATGACCCAGTTGAGCAGGACTGAGGTGGACTCAGGTGGGTGCTGGGCTGGACTCCTGGCCGTAGGGAGCAGCTGCCACCCTGCCTACTGCATCCACATTCCAACTCGCTGCCTATCTGAGCAGATGCAATATTGGGCACCTTGTGGAACATGCTCCTGGTGCACCTGCTGCCTCCTGCCCTTCCTGCAGAGTGCCCGGGCTCTCCAGAGGGGATTCCTGTGGAGGCTTGGCCTAGATTCTGAGTCCTGCCTCTCATACCCGGGGCTGCTACCCAAGAGGCCAGCTGCTTGAGTACCCTGGAAGCCAGTCTGTAGCCCCAGGCTACAGCTGGGTGCATCCCACAGCCCTTCTTTAGTTTACCTATTTGGACTGAGTGCTCATTTCATAGAGAGGGGTGTGTCTTTCCCCAGCCCATCTGGCATGTCTAAGGCAGCTGTGGGGTCAGAATCTGCAGCTCCCAGCCCCTAGCCCTGCAATAGTAGGAGAGGCTGGACCCCACATCTCTGAAGTCCCACTGGGCTGGTGCAAGTGGGCTCCCAAGTTCAGAGCTGCTGTGCAGGCTGTGGGGCTCATGCACCTGTTCTGAACCCACCTGATGTGCTCAGGTTACTCACCTTTGGGCCTGTCCTGCCTCTCTGGCATTCGGCTGACCCTGAGGGCCTCTCCCTCATCTTGACCACCAGCTATGGGCTCTGACTTAGGGGTTCCCAGAACCTTAGACCATTTGGCTGACCCCCCATTTCTCAGCTAAGGAAACAGGCCAAAAAGGGGAAGCAGCTTTCTCAAGGACCCCCAGCAAGTCAGAGGCAGAACCAGGTCTAGGAACCTCTTTTTGACAGAGGTTCTCCCTGTCCCCTGAGCCTTCTTTAGTGCCTCATTAACTTCCCTGTAAGGAGACTGCCCCGCTGAGGCTGGAAATGGTGCTGTCCAGGGTGGTGTGTGCCCGTGACTGTGCTTGTGTTTGTACTTGTGAGTGTGTATGGGGGTGGGGATGAGGGGTGGGAATAAACGGCAGGGATGCTGGGGGCTGGAATACACTCTGCCTCACCCCAAAAAGGGGCACAGCAGAGCCCAGCCAAGCACAGCACATGCTTCGACTTTCCAGTCCGCTGAATGAGTGTGAGGCCGGCTGGGCCCAGAAGACAAGGGACAGGCCTTTCCCCACAGACGGCAGGGGGGCCCAGGATGGGTGGAAGATTTTGCCACAGCTTTGGGGATCCCATCCCAGCCCATGGGCTGACTGTTAAGCAGAAAAGCCACCTCTAGGGGTCAGTCATGATCTAGTGATTCTGATGAGGAGGGGGCCCCACCAGCCTCTGTCCAGGGTCTTGTCTGGGAAAAACTGCTCCCTGGCAGAAACGGGCTAATAATTTGAGAGGAAGCCATAGCTGAAATCCTAAACTGTGTGAGTGTGTGTCCAGTTTGAAAAAGCATATTTGACCTAAACATTTATATTGAAAAAATGGAAAGATATTCCCCTTGTTTTGGAATACAAACTACAGAAAGTAACAGTTAACAGAATCCTATTGGAAAGGTCAGATTCTGCATCTGGAAAGGCACAGTGATTTTCAACTGGGGTGTGTGTCCTTAACTGAGGAAGGGAAGGTGAGATTTATGTTTAGTAAAAGGCAGCTATGAATTTACCTTTTATAAAGAGCTTGCCATATACTATTAGTGCTTTTTCAATCATGTCAGAATCTGCCGGATGCCTGTGGAAATGCAAATTCCCAGGCTTCATTCCCAGAGATTCTGGTCCTGTGAGCCTAGGGTGGGGCCCAGCAAACTCTATGGGGTGGTGCAGGCTGCCCCAGGACCACACCAAGAAACACTGCAACTGGCCCCCACACACATCCCAGTCCCCAAATATGTAGGCAGGCATCTTATCTCCATGGAACAGATAGGGAAACTGAGGTCAGAGTGGGGAAAGAAATGTCATGGGGTCACCCAGGAAGTAGTAGCATAGCCACGATACACCCACTGCCTGCAGACACCATCTCTGATGGCAGCTCCACCTCCCTACAGGAACCTTGCCTACCCCCACCCCTACCTCCTGTTGCCCCTATGCTGGGTCTCTGTCCAAGGAAGATGTAGCCCTGGTCCTCTAGGCTGACTGGGGCTTGGCCCAGAGTGTGGGAGTTAGAAGGGTCCTTGGAATTCAGGTGGGGAAACTGAGGCCCAAAGAAGGCAGCCCTCACATTTGAACTCTGTCTGGAGAAGGGCTAGGTCTTCTTCCTGAGTGGTAGTTTTGACTTCACCAGCCTGGCCCTCAGTCAAGCTGGCTGTCCAGGCCCGCCACACCTCGGGGTGGGTGACCAGAGGCGGTGGTGCCATAAAACACGTTTCCTGGGAGATCCACGCCCATAGCTCAAAACATTCCAGGTCTGGTGATTTGGGCAAGCCCCCTTCCCTCTCAGCCTTGTTTCCCCGTCTCTACAATAGCTGTGTTGCAGGAGACGTCTGTCTCGGACTGAGCTGCAGATTTTCTCCTGGCTGCCTTCACCGTCCAGGATGCTGGCTCCTCTGTGTCCACTCTTCAAGACAGTCACCTCTTAGGTGAGGAAGGAGCCTCGGCCCTATCGGGAGTGGGAGCCGGTGCACCCCCAGCCTCCCAGGCCGCTGGGGATGACTTAGGCTGCCTGCAAAGCCAGTGCCATTCGGCGCCGCTTCCCAGGCTGCAGACGACCTCCAGGGAAGGAGGCCCTGGCCCTCACAGCAGCTCTGAGAAGAGGTGGCCCCCACTCCAAACCTCGCCGAGCCACCCACACATTCCCTCAGCCCAAAGAGGCTTTTAGGAAAATGAATCATCTCAAGTTCATACCCATGGGGTTGCTGAAAGAAAGGACAGTGCAGGGTGAGCTGGCATGAGGGAGTGCTGCTCTCTGCAGACTTTGCTGGGATGGCTCTTAGGAAAAGGGCCTGGAATCTGGGATGGTGACTAGCTCAGGGTTAAAGGGAGGGGATGGAGCTGGAGTGAGCTGGCCTCATCGTCCCCCTTGGGCCTTCCAGCCTGGGCTCAGGTGATTCAAGGGAGCAAGCACCTCCTTCTCCTGGCCAGGGAGTTCTCGCCACGTTCTGGAATCAGTACCATTCCCTTGGGGGCTGGGGGACAGCAACCACCTCCGGACCTGGCTGGAACTGCTGCAATTCTGGATCCAAATGGCCCCTGGCAGCTTCTCCATCTCCCTCTCAGTCCAGCCCCCACCCCTTCCCCCATGAGGGCCCCAACAGCAAATCTGACAACTGGAGGAACAAGGCAGGAAGGGCAGAATCTGAGGGAGTGACCACCTTCAAAAGGCAGCTCTGTCACCTTCTCTCCAGGACTCTGAGGCTTGCTTTCATATTGCTTCCTCGACATCCTTTTGCTATAATCTGGCATGTTGACATATGGTCTTTAAAAACAAGAACACTGATGACGTGGAGCAGACTTCCCCTTTGGGATGGTGTGGAGAAGTTAGGGTTGAGGGCATCCTCTCTTCTGCAAACTGCAGCAGTAATAGGTGAGATATATAAAGTAAATAAAGGCCAGGTGCGGTGGCTTACGCCTGTTATCCCAGCACTTTGGGAGGCCGAGGTAGGCTGATCACCTGAGGTCAGGAGCTCAAGACCAGCCTGGCCAACATGGTGAAAACCGGTGTTTACTAAAAATACAAAAATTAGCCAGGCATAGTGGCACACACCTGTAGTCACACCTACTCAGGAGGCTGAGGCAGGGGAATCACTTGAACCCAAGAGGCAGAGGTTGCAGTGAACGGAGATCTCACCACTGCATTCCAGCCTGGATGACAGAGTGAGACTCCATCTCAAAAAATAAAAATAAAAAATTAAGTAAATAAAAAAGACACGCCCAGGCTGAAAAATAAGTTAATCACCTTCATGAATGAAAAGCAGTAAAGAAATGCAAAGTGGTTGGAGGCTGAAGAGCCTGGAGCCTGCTGGGCTTTGAAAACCAAAGACAGTGACAGGTCTTTTGGGATAAAGGGGTACCAAATGACTCCTAGCTAGAAGCTGAGAGCTTAGGTGTACCCCAGTACTTGAAAGCATGCTGGCCAGGTGCAGTGGCTCATGCCTTTAATCCCAGCACTTTGGGAGGCCGAGGTGGGCAGATCACGAGGTCAGGAGATCAAGACCATCCTGGCTAACACGGTGAAACGCCGTCTCTACTGAAAATACAAAAAAAAATTAGCCGGGTGTGGTGGCGGGCACCTGTAATCCCAGCTACTTGGGAGGCTGAGGCAGGAGAATCCCTTGAACCTGGGAGGCAGAGGTTGCGGTGAGCTGAGATCACACCACTACACTCCAGCCTGGGCGAAAAGAGCGAGACTTCATCTCAAAAAAACAGAACAAAATAAAACAAAACAAAAAACAACCAAGGGTGCTGGAGGGTGGGGGAGTCTGCTGCTGCTCTGTGGTCTGTATCCCTGGCTTTATGGGATGTATACCTTCCCAGTATCCCCAGGACAGGAGCTTGCACATGCTGTAAAACCTGTAGGCCACTGCAAAACTGTCAACGTCAGGCTAGCAAAGGTGATAGGATTAAATAGGTCTTTATAAAAGTTTGACAAGTTTTTTTAATAAAAGAAAAAGAGCTATTTAATTATCTATCAAGAATAATATAATCTTGGTACAAAGCTTGGCACAAAAGGATGTCCAAGGAAAGTTCACGATGGAACAGTCTGAATGACGAGTCTTTGTCACAGGGAGAGGGCACAGGGCAGTGCTTAGTGCTTGGCCTCTGGAGCCAGGAAATCCGGATTTGTATTCCTGCTG
The DNA here is from genome assembly GCF_000001405.40 of Homo sapiens. Lineage (NCBI taxonomy): Eukaryota > Metazoa > Chordata > Mammalia > Primates > Hominidae > Homo > Homo sapiens. The sequence goes on along the minus strand of NC_000015.10, from coordinate 32,479,996 downwards.
CCACTACTTATCCTCCCTGTGACCTTAGGGAAAATGGCTTGCCTTCACTGGGCCTTCACTTCCTCATTGATAAAGGGGGAAATAACCTTTACAATAAGCCTTCTAGGATGAAATGAAATAATTCAAGGAAAGTAACTTAACAAGACCCAGAACATAGAAAACCAAATAGATGTTAACTATTATTAACTTTTAGGAACATGAATTCCAAAACTTTAAGTAAAATAATACCAAGTTGAATACAGCAATGTACACACACACAAATAATGCATCATGGTGAATTAGGTTTTATTACAATAATGCAAGGGCAGAGTCAACATCAGATAATGCACTATTAGCAAGCTAGCTTCCTTTTTTTTTAAGACAAGGTCTCACTGTCACCCAGGCTGGGGTGTAGTGTCAACATCTTGGCTCACTGCAACCTCCACCTCCCCAGCTCAAGCAATCCTCCCCACAGCCTTCCAAAGTGCTGAGGTTACAGCTGTGCGCCACCACACCCGGCCCTATCTTCCTTAATGTAAAGCAATTATCATACTTAATAGTAAAATTTTAGAAGTGCTTTTCGTCAAAGTTAGGACATAGACAAGGGTACCTTCTATCGCTGTATCTACTGAACATGGCACTGGAGACCCTAGGTAATGTGTTAGGCTAATACATATGAAATTGCCATTTTTTTAAGGTTATGGAGTGCAGTGGAGTGCAGTGGCATAGCATCAGAAATGTATGTAATTCAACCTATAATAGAAATAAATCAGCTAGGTGAGATGGCTTATGCCTATAACCCCAGCACTTTGGGAGGCTGAGGCAGGAAGATCACCTGAGGTTAGGAGTTGGAGACGAGCCTGGCCAAAATGATGAAACCTCATCTGTACTAAAAAAAAAAACACACAAAAATTACCCAGGTGTGGTGGTGGGTGCCTGTAATCCCAGTTACTCAGGAGGCTGAGGCAGGAGAATCTCTAGAACTCGGGAGGTGGAGGTTGCAGTGAGCCAAAATTGTTTCACTGTACTCCAGCCTGCGCAACAGAGTGAGGCTCTGTCTCAAAAACAAACAAACAAACAAACAGAAAGAAAGAAAGTTTCAAGTTTTCTCTTTACACAATATGGATGTACTTCATAATGGACTTTCTCATCATGATTCATGAGTGAAGTGACATTCAAACTTGGTAGCTTTTCAGTAGAACTTCCTTTCCCAACATTTTTTTCTGTTCCTTTAATGATGGCAATATCTGAGAGCTCTGAACATAAGTCAAAGGTTTGATTATTTTTCATGTGGCTGGAAATTTTTGCCCTCTGTCAAACTTGGAAATTTTTTCCTCTGCCTGGAACTTTTTGCCCCGCATCTTCCGATCGCCCCGTGTCCTCTTGTTATGCCACTACCCTTTTTTGAGTGTGTCTATTTTCTGGCACTACAATACACTCTGGCACTACAAGGCTCATCTTGTGTTTTCTCTACCCTGACCCAGAATCAGCCATTACTTCAAGGAGCCCTGGTTCTGATATTGGAGAATGCTGTTAGAAACCAGGATGTGGTACTAGGCATGCCGATTTCTATTGGAGTGTCATATAAAAAATTTGTAAATTTTTTGTAGGTCCTCCCAGTGGATAGGATTAGGAAATAAAACATGCATACTAACCACACATATACACACATCTACATCTGTTTCTGTATCTGTCTGTATACATATTAAAATAAACATGAGTTGATAACGAATGTTTCCGCTTTAATCCAAGCACAGATTTCATCCTAGCCTCCCCCTCTTCCTTCTTTTTAGCCTTTTCAACAGTGGGAAGTGTGGCTCTTGTTATGTACACTTTATTCACTTATTTGTTTGACCCTAGTATCATAAAGTAGTTCCATATGCCTGTGACAGATTGATTAACTGGAGTCCATTGTTTGTGGAGAAATATTTTTGTCCTAAGCCTTACAGCAGGGGTGGCCAAACTTTTGGCTTCCCTGGGTCACACTGGAAAAAGAAGAATTGTCTTGGGCCACACATAAAAATACACTAACACTAACAATAGCTGATGAGCTAAAAAAAAAAATCACAAAAAAATTTCATAATGTTTTAAGAAAGTTTACTAATTGGTTTTGGGCCACATGCAAAGCCATCCTGGGCTGCAGGTTGGACAAGCTTGCCTTACAGTATCCAGTCAAAATACTGTTTTCCAAAATTAGTTATTTTCTTCTTCATCCCTTTCAGTGTGGCCACTATTTATAATGCAGTTTGGTTCATTAGTGTTTGTATTCCAAAAACACCCTCAGCCTTCCTATCCTAGTTTTAATGAATTATTACGGTGAAACATAATAAGAGTCGGAGCTATACAGAAAGGTCTACTCAGAGGTGCTTTGTTCCCTCCTATTCTGTTCCCACCACTCCTACTTTCCACTACTTTTTCCACTGACCCTGTGAGCATCATATTTATTGTTAATGGCAGTTACATTTTTACCAAGTGCTTACTATCTGTAGGCACTTGGTGTGTATTGCTTCTTCTGGTGTTCACAGCAACCTCTTGAGGTAGGCACTATTATTATCCACCCCCCCCCGCCCCGTTTTTTGAGACAGAGTCTCACTCTGTTGCCCAGGCTGGAGTGCAGTGGTGCGATCTCAGCTCACTGCAACCTCTGCCTCCCAAGTTCAAGCAATTCTCCTGCCTCTGCTTCCCAAGTAGCTGCAAGTACAGGTGCGAGCCACCACACCCATCTAATTTTTGTATTTTTAGCAGGCATGGGGTTTTGCCATGTTGGCCAGGCTGGTCTCAAACTCCTGACCTCAGGTGATCCCCATTTTTTAGATGAGAAAGCAGAGTCCCAGAGAGCATAAGGAGCTTGTCCAGAGTGGCATCTCTGATGCATAACCAGTACTCAAACCAGTATTTTTCTGACACCAAGGCCTGTGTGTAAACTGTAAAAGGGCTGTTTGGTACCTGCTTTCCTAAAGTTGTCTGATCCCTTCTCAGTCCAGGTCTTCCTGAAGCTTGGCACTTCTGAAGTCACCTTTCTGAAAACATTCTGGTAACTGTTAGATCCCTTGTTGTAGCTATTCATATGTTCTGTGTGGTTAAACAAGGTTCACAGTGGGCCACCTGGCCTTTGGAACTTGGCTGAAGAGGCTGCCTTCAGTTCATCCTCCCCACCCCCGTTTTCAAAACATGGGTTTCCATGTGTTCGTTGTAAATTAGGAAACATAACCATGTTTTGAGGCTTCATAGAAAACAAACGTCTGGGGTCACACAGGTTAAAGGAGGAACCAAATTCAGCACTATCACTGTTCTATTCGGCAGGCAATTCTGGGGCCTTCCTGTGTCTCAGGTTCTGTACTAGTTGTTTCAGGACTTTGGGATAAACACAAACTATCCCTGCCCTCAGGGGGATTAAGGTCAGGTGTACAAATGACTCTAATGCGAGGCAAGGCTGGATTCAGTGCTGGAAGAGGAGGGCATACCTAACACTACGGGAATTCAAAGAGGAAATGATCAGAATGAGGAGGGAGAGATGGGTCATTCCGGGAGAAGCTTCAGGGAAAGGCAACATTTGAAATGAGACTTTGGAGAGTGAGGGAGGTTTGGGCAGATGGATAGAGAGGATGCAAGGCCAGGGGAAAGGTTTGAGCCAGAAAGTCAGCTTGGGCAAGTGCATGGGTAAAAAAAGAAAATCCACTTTGGGAGGCCGAGGCAGGTGGATCGCCGGAAGTCAGGAGTTGGAGACTAGCCTGGCCCACATGGTGAAACCCTGTCTCTCCTAAAAATACAGAAATTAGCTGGGCATGATGCTGGGCACCTGTAATTCCAGCTACTTGGGAGGCTGAGGCAGGAGAATCACTTGAACCCAGGAGGCAGAGATTGCAGTGAGCTGAGATCACACCACTGCACTCCAGCCTGGGCAACAAGAATAAAACTTCATCAAAAAAAAAAAAAAAGAAAGAAAATCACAAGGCAGTGTGGAGAATGGTGAGTAATCTAATTTGGTTATTGCAGAGAGGATGTAGAAGGAAGTGACAAGAGAGAAAGCCAGACAGGTGGCTTGGGGTCATCTTAAGGGCCTTTGTGCCAGTTAGGATGTTCCAGACTTCAGTCAGGCTGCCCAGCTCAGACTGGCTCAGACAATGAGGGGGTTTATTGGCCGTGTAATTGGGAAGTCCAGAGGCTCCAGGACTACAGAAAATTATTATTTAGTATTAGTTTGACAGCAACACCTTCTGTTTTCTGGGAGCAGGAGATGCTTGTCAAGCTGTAGGTCACTGAGTTGAATATTATCCTGCTTTATTAAATTGCCAAGGGCACGGTAATTGTTGAGAGGGGAGAAGTACACATGAAAGAAAACATGACCAGCTTAGAAACGTCAAATCATTATGACGTTGTTATAAAGTATTATAATTCTTTGAGCGTCTACTATAAGTAGAGAAACTTGAGTTCCAGGTTGTCGGCTTGGTTCTGCCAACAATCAGGAACGTGGTTTTGCATGAAGCCCTTCTTTCTCCTATAATCTTCAGTGTCCTCACCTGCAAAATGAGGCCTTTATATATATATATATATATATATATATATATATATATATATTTTTTTTTTTTTTTTTTTTTTTTTTTTTTTTTTTTTTTTTTTTTTTGAGACGGAGTCTCGTTCTGTCGCCCAGGCTGAAGTTCAGTGGTACAATCTCTGTTCACTGCAAACTCCCCCTCCTGGGTTCACAGCATTGTCCTGCCTCAGCCTCCCGAGTAGCTGGGACCACAGGCACCTGCCACCACGCCCAGCTAATTTTTTGTGTTTTTAGTAGAGATGGGGTTTCACCGTGTTAGCCAGGATGGTCTCCATCTCCTGATCTCGTGATCTGCCCGCCTCAGCCTCCCAACGTGCTAGGATTACAGGTGTGAGCCACCACGCCCGGCCAAGGCCTTTATTATACTATGGTTCCTACTGTTTTTTAAAATACTTTTATTAAGTCCAACATTTTTATTAAGAACATTGCTTTTATACATGCCTATTTATGAAAGGGGTTTTCGAGTGTTTACCACTTTTTATTAGAAATAGAGACAGTAAGAATGTTTGACTTAATTGACACAGGCATAATTGAATGGGTATAAATGGCATGCCATAGAAAGAGAAAATTAAGTTGAGCTACTCTGTTGGTTTCACTGATGAGGGGATACATCATTCAAACAGCCAGGAATTAAATCCGTCCAGCTCACAAATGGGGAAACCAGCTGTGTCTGTACCCATGGCCAGCCAGATTGAACACAAATCAGGAAAGTCAATAACTTTTCCTCAGTTCTGAGGGACTTCAGTGGCTGCGGTTCATTTTCCTTTTGCTTCTGAAACAGTGCAAGTTGATGCTCGCCTGGACAGAGCGGCAGTGAGTGGTGGCGTCTGAAGGCCAGGTCTCTGTTGAGATGACTACACGTCGTCTCCCAGTGCCCAATGCATAGAAAAGATACACTACTAAGTGTGAGATGCTCAGTGAAAAATAAAATCTGGGGTTGAATCATCATGGGGGATACTGCATACTCTGTTTCCCCCCTGCAGATTTCCAATGCTCATTAGTTTATAGAGACTCTGAGAATTCCTACAGCAAAGGCACCTGCCAAGGTACTTACAAACTAGTTTAGCTAAACCAGACTTTCAACAATTGGTTACTAAAGACCACTCAAAGTCTGTCAACACTCTGTCATCTCTATGTAATGACAGAAACATAGAAATTCAGGGTAAATGTTTAGAAATTTCTATAGAAACTTGACATTCTCCCAGCATCTGTATGTGACATCAGGGGACTTGTCTCAATGAGCAGTTACAGACCAACTCAGGTTTTGTCAGACTCGATGGAAAGATGCAGAGGCTGTGAGCTGCAAACGAGTCACATACACAAGGACCACATTGCAAGCTGTGTTCTTTAAGGTTAGTTTGTCAACTATAGTATAATCTCACACATCTGAAAAATGGGAACATCTATTCTATAAAGTCTTATTTTTGCAATAATTTTAATTTTAAATCAAGCCAATGTTAGCATTATTAGTGAAAACAAAAGAAAGTTGTGTTATTTATTATTAAACCTAATTTGAGAGTGAAATAAATTGTATTAATTTTTTTAACCAATAAAAGATGCACCTTGTAAACCAAGAGATGATTATGAAAGTGATTCTGAGGACATGAAGACCAAAGGAGTTTGTCCTCGTTTTACTCAGAAGTACTATTTCTAATGGACAGATGATCCCTGACATACAATGGTTTGACTTATAATTTTTTGACTTTATGATGGTGTGAAAGTGATACGCATTCAGCAGAAACCATACTTCAGTATTCAATAAATTACATGAGATATTCAACACTTTAAAGTGGGTTTGTGAGAGAGAATTTTTGCCCAATGGAAGGTGAATGTAAATTTTCTGAGAATGTTTAAGGTAAGCTAGGCTAAGCTATGATGTTAGCTTAGGTGTATTAAATGCATTTTAATTTAATTTAATTTAATTTAATGTTTTGAGACAGTGTGTTTTGTTCTTGTCACCCAGGCTGGAGTGCAATGGCATGATCTCGGCTCACTGCGACCTCTGCCTCTTGGGTTCAAGCGATTTTCTTGCCTCAGCCTTCCCAGTAGCTGGGATTACAGGTGCGCACCAACATGCCTGGCTAATTTTTGTATTTTTAGTAGAGACAGGGTTTCCCCATGTTGGCCAGGCTGGTCTCTAACTCCCGACCTCAGGTGATCCACCTGCCTCAGCCTCCCAAAGAGTTGGGATTACAGGCTGAGCCACTGCACCCGGCCTTAAATGCATTTTCGGCTTATATTTTCAACTGATGATGAGCTATAACTCCTTTGTGAGTTGAGGATCATCTGTCTTGAATTTGGTTTTACAGGCATAACTGAAGGTGAAAGGACAGAATCACCATGTGTTACTGGCACAGATGCATCGGCTAGTGAAGAAAGAAGACATTCAAACTGTAAGTTGCATTCACGTGGGAAGCACAAAGAATTAAATTCAAAACAATGAAACATTAGAGAAAAGCATGGAGTTAAAACACAACAGAATCAGATGTTTACTATTTCTCATTTTAACACTAGTGCTTTGCGGGCTTCTAATAAAGTTGTACTCCAGGAGGCTAAGACTGAAAAGTGACACTAGTGAAAAGTAGCATTGAAATAGTTCCTTAGAAAAGTTGGGTGAATGTGGGGCAAAGATGCCACTAAACTTTAATTTTCCATCGACACACAAATTCAAAGTTTTCCAGAACTGGCAAGTAAAATGGAAGATCCACTCACAGGACACATGCAGTGTGTGAGGGGAATGCTTTTCAGCACTTCTTGATGGATGCACAAATAATGCCAATGTGGTAAATGTCTTTGGTAAATGTGCAATGGAATGTAGTGGTTGTGTGAAGGAAGAATTTTGTTTTCAGCTTCATTTTTGATAAACACAAGCAGCTCTGGACTGTGTGAAACCATGGAGCACCGCACAGTTAACAGAGGTGGTTTGGAGTTTTTTAGCTTTGCATAAGAGGATGTTCTGATGCAGAATCTACAGTGACAGGAAACCATTCTGGACAAGTTACAGAATTAAGGGGCTTGTGCCGGGATGGAAATAAATCAATGACTTCTGTCTTTGAGAAGGTTTTTCTCTGCTCCTCTGTGATGGTTAATTTTTTTTTTTTTTTTTTTTTTGAGATGGAGTCTCGCTCTGTCCCCCAGGCTGGAGTGCAGTGGCGCCATCTCGGCTCACTGCAAGCTCTGCCTCCCGGGTTCATGCCATTCTCCTGCCTCAGCCTCCCAAGTAGCTGGGAGTACAGGTGCCTGCGGCTAATTTTGTGTATTTTTAGTAGAGCCAGGTTTCACCATGTTGGCCAGGATGGTCTCGATCTCCTGACCTTGTGATCCACCCGCCTTGGCCTCCCAAAGTGCTGGGATTACAGGCATGAGCCACCATGCCCCACCTTTTTTTTCTTTTCTTTTTTTTTTTCTTTCTTTCTTTCTTTTTTTTTGTTAGTCCTTCCCTCCAGTGTCGTGGAGATAATTGGAAAATATTTTAGAGCAAAAAAGTTTATTTCTCCTTCTTGTTGTTAGCAAAGAAATTTATTTTTCCTTCTTGTTATTTATTGGCCTTGGAGACATACACCAAATAGCTCATTCTACTTCTGAAATTTTGTTTTGATTTCCCTGGCCCTCCCCACGAAGTATTTCAGATTAGCAGGGAGTCAAGCATTGTCTGTCTGTCTGTGAATAAAATATTTCAGGCTGCTTTTGCATAATATACATGCTCTTGCCTTTACGAGTCACACTCACATCTTCTGGTTTTGTAAGACACCAGGTAGAGAAGAAAACAATGTTTCTGAATTCTGCTTTATCAGCCCAGTAGAGAACTCCTCCCTTCCCTGAACTGAGGGCCACATCTAAGGGGTTGAAACAGGGCCAGTTACATTCTATGTTCCCAACATAATTGTCCATGCATGGATCCGATCAAGTTAAATGAGAAATAGGATATTTATTCTAAAAACAAGTTATTGCTACAATAATAATAATACTATAGTAATATTATTATTCTAATAATGATATTAGAATAAAAACTGGTTATTAAAGTACTAAACAGTTGAAAATCTAAATGTCTCACAAGGTCAACTATAGCAAGTATATAAGATTTCATATTAGTCGCACGTCAAAAATTATATCCATAAAAGTAATGACATATGAAAACAGTTTATTGATACAGATATAACAAATATAACTAAACTGTGCTGAAATGTATTTTAAAATAAAATATGCCAAAATATTATTGATGATGACTTTGGATGATGGTATTACCACTAAGGTTTCAAATTTAATTTGCCTCTTACTTCTGAGTACTTTTATAAATTTTTAAATAATAAAATTAGTGTGTTAAAAAATATCAAGTGATATCTAGAAATCAGAAAAAGGCATATTGCCAGAGGAGGACCGAGTTAGTAGATTTGAGGCTCCATTAAGTTTTGTTTATGATCAAAAAACAAACAAAAACCAGGCAACAGTGGCAAAAAATATCTCACTTCCTTCCTGGAAAAGTAAATGAGACTACAAAGAATTTCCAAACTTAAAAACTATACATTTCAAGTCTGTTCATAACTAGTGAAGTCACAGTTTCTGAAAACAATGATAAAATTTTAATTGATATTTAATTCATATTTTTTGTTTAAAAAACTATCAGTATTGGAAGATAAATTTCATGGGAAAAGCATTGAATCATTAAGTTTTGCAGTCACAAAGGTAAATATAATTTGCTTAATGCTGCCCTCAGTTTACAATGAGTCTTTAGTATTTTCTAAGCTATGAGTTCACCAAAATATAGGATTGTTTTGCTGCATATAATTTGCTCAGTGATCAAACACTAAGGAGTTACCTATGTTAAGATGTGAATAATAAATTTATGCAAAATTTATGAAAGTGTACATTGTAAAGACAATAAAACTTTCCATTAAATTGGTGGGAAAGGAGCTCAAAACCTAGCTGGGTGATTCATTATTTTAATGACTTCCTGCTTTACTGCAAAACCTCTCTCTTCATTCGGTGTTGGTAGTTTGAACCCCTGTTAAGGATATAGGCTCACAATGAAGCTTCTATAAATTTCTGGACCTCTGTCATGCTGGCATGTATGTCATTCTCCTTTAGGAATGATGAAGAGACTGGAAAGCGGTTGCTCCAAGGGAAGGGATAATTTTGCAAACCTGAGCTGTCTAAGCTCAGCATGAATTGGAGTGGGCTGCTGACTCAGGCTAGCAGAGGCAGCCAGGAAACATGCAAATCTGCAATCCGTTCTGCCAGGTCTGTCGCAGCAGGTGTCACTAAAGGCACCCCTGTGTGCTTGTCACTGTGGCAGCCTTGACAAGGAAGGTGGAAAGGAAAAAGAGACCCAGTGCTGAACTCCAAGCAGAGATGGGGCTTTTCTCTATGCATATTTTCCCTCCCCTCCCAGCCTGCATTTCCAATAACATATTGATTTATATTTGTATTATGAAACAAAAGTGGTTGTAATCAGATGTTCTTTCCTTTTACACACAATGTTAGCTCCTATTTACATTCCTAACTGAACAATGTCTAAAGAGGTATTTAAACTGATGTAAAACGCAGATAATCTCATGACCAAATGCTTAGCGCAAGAAAAAACTTCAATTTGCAAGAGAAGTCCCTCCAAATACAGAAAGGACCAGTATTGTAAGAGGTACCTTAACTAAAATGTAACAATGTAAGGCGCAGAGCAGGAAGAACTTTTAAGTCTGAAACTTACAACAAGTCAATTTCATAGTCAGTTTCCCTGGGCCTTCCACAACAGCCTCCGGCACCTGTTTTCTCTACAATGGAGGTAACAATAGTAGCTATTTCAGAGCAGGAAAAGGCTTAGAGCAGTGCTAGAAGAGGGTCGTGGCTATATAAAGTTTAGCTATTTGTATATTGTAAGAAACCAACGATGTGTTCTTTTATCGGTAGTCAGTAATGGATTTCTTGTGGGAAAGTAGCAGCCTCCTATGGGGGGAACACCCGCAGGTCCCACTAAGTGAACACTGGTGTCTGCTAACCTTTGCCTCTATTTGTCGCAATAATATACTGTCAAGCTGTTCCTTGAGTTAGCAATTTTATTTACATTCTTTTTCTTTTTTTTTTCCTTTCCCTTTTCCTGCCACAGAGTCCCGCTCTGTCGCCCAGTCTGGAGTGCAGCAGCGCCATCATAGCTCACTGCCACCTAGAAGCCGGGGTGAAGCAATCCTCCTCCATCAGCCTTCAGAGTAGCTGGGACTACCTGCGCGGCCCACCACACCCGGCTAATCTTTGTGGTTTTTGTTTTGTTTTCCGTTCTGGGTTTCCGTCGGGCGCAGTGGCTCAGGCCTGCAATCCCAGCACTTTGGAAGGCAGAGGTGGGCGGATCACCCGAGGTCGGAGACCAGCCTGACCAACATGAAGAAATCCCGTCTCTACTAAAAAAAAGAAAAAAACTACAAAATTAGCCGGATATGGTGGCTCATGCCTGTAATCCCAGCTACTAGGGAGGCCCAGGCAGGAGAATCACCTAAATCCGGGAGGCCGAGGTTGCGGTGGGCAAAGATCACACCATTGCACTCCAGCCTGGACAACAAGGGTGAAACTCCGTCTCAAAACAGAGACCGGGTTTCACCATGTTGCCCAGGCGGTCTGGAACTCCTAGGCTCAAGCGATCTGCCACACTCGGCCTTCCAAAGTCCTGGGATCACAAGGGGGAGGCACCACGCCAGGCAGATCTATTCCTTTCTGGTTACTAAATTGGACCGGGGGCGCGGTGGCTCACGCCTGCAATCCCAGCACCCAGGGAGGCGGAGGCGGGCGTATCACTCGAGGTCAGGAGCTCGAGATCAGCCTGACCAACACGGAGAAACCCCGTCTGTACCAAAAAAATAAAACCAAAATTAGCTGGCATGGTGGCTCATGCCTGCAATCCCAGACACTCAGGAGGCTGAGGCAGGAGAACCACCTAAACCCGGGAGGTGGAGGCCGCGGTGAGTCGAGACCACGCCACTGCACTCCAGCCTGCAAAACGAGCGAAACTCCACTCAAAAAAAAAAAAAAAAAAAAGACAGTGTTTCACCACGTTGCCCAGGCCGGTCTGGAAGTCCTAGGCTCAATCGATCGCCGCGCTCGGCCGTCCACAGTACTGGGATCACAAGCATGAGCTACCACGCCAGGCCGATCTATTCCTTTTTGGTTACTAAATTGGACCGGAGGCGCGGTGGCTCACGCCTGCAATCCCAGCACCCAGGGAGGCGGAGGCGGGTGGATCACCCGAGGTCAGGAGCTTGAGATCAGCCCGACCAACACGGAGAAACCCCGTCTGTACAAAAAAAAAAACACCAAAATTAGCTGGCATGGTGGCTCATGCCTGCAATCCCAGCCACTCAGGAGGCTTAGGCAGGAGAACCACCTAACCGGGAGGTGGAGGCCGCGGTGAGTCGAGACCGGAAAACACTCTAGCCTGGAAAACAAGAGCGAAACTCCGCTCAAAAAAAAAAAAAAAAAAAAAAAAAAAGACCGTGTTTCACCATGTCGTCCAGGCTGGTCTGGAACTCCTAGAACCTGTAGATGTTACCTCATTTGGAAAAAGCATATTTTCAGGTATGATTAAGTTAAGGATCTTGAGGAGAGATTATCCTGGATTGTCTCCGTGGGCATTAAATCCTGGCACATATATCCTTATAAGAGGGAGATAAAGGAGATTTAACTTCAGACAGAAGAGAAGGAGGCCCTGTGACCAAGAAGGCAGAGCCTGGAGTGGTGGAGCTGCAAGCCAATGAATGCCAGCAGCCATCAGAAGCTGCGCAAGTCAAAGGATGGATTTTCCCCTCAGCCTCTGAGAGCACTGGCTCTGCTGAGACCTAGATTTCAGCCCAGTGATACTGATTTTGGACTTCTGATATCCAAAACTGTGAGAAAATAAATTTCTGTTGTTTTAAGTCACCACATTTTTGGTAATTTGCTCTAACAGCCACAGGAAAGTAACATACATGCCTACCTGGGTCCAGTTGTGTCCTGTGACTCCTGCTTTCCTGGGACAGGCAGGCTGCTCCGTGCCTCCTGGCCATCCTACTGGGTGCTGGACGCTGTAGGCTACTCCATGCCTGTTGGCCATTCCCTTTGGTGCTGGACAGCACTCACATTGTGAAATCCACTGGCCCTGTGAAAAACACCTGGAAATGTTACCAGGAGAGGGGTTAGTTCTCTTTTTGGCAACCCATGTTATTGCTTATGGCTTAATATCTGTGCCTCCAAGATCCCTTCTCTCTGCCTTCATCGATGCCAGGAAAGCAGTCACCTTTTGCCTTTCTTTGCTTCTCAGCAAGTGGCATGTCTCCATGTCACTTTAAGCATCAAGCACACGGAGCCCAATAAGATGCTGAAAAGTGTCTGCCTACAAGGTTACAAGGCGGTGGAGACATTCTGAGCCGGTAACTGCAGGGCTCAGTAAAACCGCTACAGGAAATCTCAAGTTCAAAATGCTGAAGTGAAAAATGGGTGATCACAACGAAGGGAAACACAAACCCCTTCTTTTAAAAACATTATGGTGATAAGGCACAACATAAAATTTACCATATTAGCCACTTGTAAGTATACAGTGCAGTAGTGTTAAAAATATACATGTTGAGTAACGAGTTTCTAGAACTTGCTTCTCTTGGAGAACTGAAACTATAGCCACTATACAACAACTCCCCATTTCTCTATCCCCTGGCTTATGGAAACAACCGCTCTATTTTCTGTTTCTATGAGTTTGACTAATTTCGAACCTAATGTAAGAGAAATTGTACAGCATTTGTCTTTGTGTGATGGGCTGATTTCAATTAGTGTAATGTTTTCAAGGTTCATCTATATTGCAGCATGTGACAGGGCTTCTTTCTTTTTTAAGGCTGATAATTTTATAGTATTCCGTTGCATGGATAGACCACATTTATTTATTCATTTATTTATTTATTTATTTACTTATTTATTTATTGAGACAATCTCACTCTGTTGCCCAGGCTGGAGTGCGGTGGCATGATCATGGCTCACTGCAGTCTGAATCTCACATTCTCAAGCGATCCTGCCGCCTCAGCCTCCTGAGTAGCTGGGACTACAGGCACATGACACCATGCCTGGATATTCGTCTTTCTGTGTAACTGGTTGAGAAACAGGGGAGTAACAGTGAAGAAACGGTCTTAGAATAAATCTGGTGACAGCAGAAGAGAATATGAGACAGATTGTGCTCACAGAGCCTTGAAGAGTGTGACAGTATTTGAGGGCCACGCTGTTGTCTTAGAGTGAAGTGAGGAGAACCTGCACTGGTTTGGTAGTCATGGGAATGGAAGGAGGAAAGAAATGTGAAAGCTCATCGGTGGCAGAGTCAAAATGGCTTGGTCTTTGTAGTCAACGATTAAGTGAGAAGGAGGAATTACTGGCTGACTTAGAAGAAGTAAAAAATGTGAAATACCGATAAAACACAAATCTCGTGATTTTAGTCAGCGTAAAGACTAAGCATTGTGTGATTCTAGATATATTATTAAGCAGTTTTGTTCCAGTATTTTATATCCCATATCTTCTAGCTATGACCCTATTTCTTTGTTTCTTGACATAGACAAACATTTTTTAAACTAAGAGCTTTATTGTGATACAGTTTTTGTATGATAAGCCTCACCCTTCAAGTGTACAGTTCAGTGGTTTTTAGTATATTCAGAGTTATGCAGCCATTACCACTCCCTAATTTCAGAACATTTTCATCTCCCCAAAAAGAACCCCGTACCCACTAGCAGTCACTCCCTGTAGCTCTCTCCCCCACCATTGATCCTGGCAACCTCTGATCTAACTTCTATCTCTGTAGATTTGCCTATCCTGGGCATTTCATATAAATAGAATCATACAACAGTGGCATTTTGTGACTGATTTTTCTTTACAGTGATTATAAATCAAATGCCTGAAGACGCTAAGCTTAGGATAGTGTTTGCTGTACAACTTTGATAACTGAACTTTTGTAAAGCTGAAAATGTGACTGTGTCTGTATATGTGGCATATTATCCTTAGATGATCCTTACTTCGATTATTAAGAATTTTTTCCCCTAGTAATCTTCAACTGTCTCAATATTCAGCAGGAACCCCTTGGAGACAAAGATCAGTACGAATTTGGAACACCTATTGACAAAATGAATGTAATTTAATTTAGTACAGTAGTAAAGTCAACCACTTTTAGGTGTTGATGCTGCTGAAAGTGTATATTAAGGAAAAACTTACTTACCTTACTTTTTGTGGAGGTGCTAGAACTACTTCTGTCTTGTGTTTAGATTTCAAGAAACCTTTGCATGGGCATTATGTGGTTGCACAAATGTACTTCGTTTTGACCTGAAAATGCAAAAACTTCCTTTCTTCCCACTTTCTGAGACTCTGCAACCTTAAAGGAAGAGTGGGGTTCTTTAAAGGAAAGGTGGTGGTGGTTGGGTCATGGGTAACAATGTCTACTGTGTACTTCCTTTCCCAAAACAAGTCCCTGTCTACCGTCAGCATTTCCAAAACTTGAAGGTCAAGTGTGGTGTTAACTCATGAACTAATGACTAGACTTTGAGCGGTTGTGGAAGCAAAATCTCAGTGAGTGCCTGGATGTTCTAATTCTGTTAAGTCAGTGAGTGCATATTCTGTACAATACTCTCTTAGCCCAGTGGCAGGTTTAAGGAGTGGGAGAGAGATTTCTATGTTTCGGAAATCAAATACACAAAGAATAAAAATTTTTAATCCCATGAATCTTTGCCCGAGTTTAATTTCTTGGAGAGTTTTTCTTTTAGATTTTCTTTCCCTTCCATTAAACTTTTACTTAGAAAGGTCCCAGGGTTTGGGCAAAGCAAGTGGGAAAGACACTTGCTTGGGTTCTCCAGGATAAGGGATTGAAGAGGACTTCTTTCCCTCATTTTATTATTGAATAATGTCACAATAACAATTATTAAGGTGAATAGTCTACAGTGGAAGTGTTTAGATGCCTTGTCTGCAAAATAACTTGGTTTAGTCAACCCAAGGATGCCTTTGGTTAGCTGGAATGGGAGATGTGCAGGTTAGAGTGGTCTTGGCAAGTCTTCCAGGGGGAAATACAGCATTTGGAAGGGTAGGAAGCAGAAGGAATCTCAGG
Source organism: Homo sapiens (assembly GCF_000001405.40). Taxonomy (NCBI): domain Eukaryota; kingdom Metazoa; phylum Chordata; class Mammalia; order Primates; family Hominidae; genus Homo; species Homo sapiens. Next base: position 32,464,385 of record NC_000015.10, on the reverse strand, counting down.
CAAGGGAAAGGCGTGGGCAGAGCCCCGGAGGACAGAACAGGTTGTGGTGGACTTGGTGTCCACATAGACCTAATTAGTGGTCTTAGCTTTTGTGTTTTCAAAATTACCACAGTTTGTGTTCTAAAACTGTCATTCTCTTGATTTTATTTTAGACATACTATCTGTGTATTTTGAAATTTAAAATAACAGTAAAGGAGAAACGAATTTATTTTGTTTGAGAAAGAGTTAAAAGGTTAAAACATCTTGATCTTAATAATTTTCTAATGGGAGATTTGGTACACCCCCAGAAGTTGTCTTTGGTTCAGAGAATAGTGTTCAGATCTAGAAAGGACTTGAGAAGTCCCAGAGAGGTGCTGCATGGTCTGAACCATTTGATTCTCACGACAGAATGGATAAAAACAATTTGAACCAGGAAACCATGCAGATGTTCATATTTTGGATAGGGTAAGGTCAGTGCCGTCGTCAGAGGAAAAACTCTTGGCCATCACAGGATGGGAGAGAAAGTTTGAGTTGTGAAGAATACTCAAATGCCGTTTAAGGAAACGGGTTCTTCTGCACCTATTCTTTGGAATATTTAGGGCTAAGTTCTTAGTTTTTGACATCATAAAAATGTCAAAGTATTCTGTTCTAAGAGCCATTTCAAACAACTGACTAGAATTTCAGAGCAATTACATGAGAGTAATACCATTAAAATGTTTAAATTACCCATAGTCCTATATCCCTAACAAGTATGTTCACGCTTGCATGTTCTCTTCTCATCTTTACTGTGTGCATACTTTCTTAGTAATGGCACGTAGACATTGTTTAAGCAGGAATAATTCTCGAGATAATTTTGTATGTTTCCTTTTTTCTTTTTAAGGTAGGTATTGGGTGGAGGAGCATTATATTTGCAACTTCTCGCAAAACACGTGATTATTTTCTTATAATATTCAATTTTCACCCTCAATAGAGTGTTTTGATTATGTAAGTTAGACAGAAAGTAGAAGGTTCTCTTAGGGAAATTTTAGTGTTTTTTTTTCATAGCTCCTACTTTCAAGAATGAAAAAGGTAAACCAGTAAAATGACACTGTACTTGGTGCTGCATCTATGCTGGGATAGGCATTAAGAGTGACCTTTATTTAAGGTTCTAATTTGCTCATGTTGGGCACTTAGAACGTCAGTTTGTTGCTTTTTGTGAGATTTTGGAAATGGTCCAATTTTACTTTTTCCCCTTGACTCCAGACTTTTTAACACTGATCTGCTGCTGTTGAGGCATATGCCGTTTTGTTAGGCCTCCTCAAGTGGGAGTCAGGAATGCTGCTGTGTTCCAGAGAGGTTTTGTTCTTCCTGTAGGGCTGAAGCAGTGCCTACTCAATAAAACCAGTCATCGTGCAAAGAAATGCCACCTGACTCAAAGGCAAAGCCAGAGTGCAGCTAGGAGCAAAGAAGGTATTTTATTAAGAATTTTACATAAACCATAAGATATATTTTATATTACTTTGCGAGCCTTCTTCCTGTCTTGACTTAATTCTTTTTGAGAGAATTCATTTCATTTTCATTTGGTTGGTTTTCTTCTTGTTACAAAGATGATCTATAGAAAATATAGAAGTATAAGAAAATTAAAGATACTGATAATTGCTTAATGATTTAGTATCTGCTTGTTTAGTCTTTGTTATATTTACAGTAGGCAAACATGTCTACCGTTGTGAATTTATTACTGGTATGTATACCCTAGTAAGTTAAAAGTTGTACGTACTTTGAAGTTTTGCAAAATTGAGTTCATATTATAGAATTAATTCCTGATGAACTTTTATGTGCTAGGCACTGGTCTTTTTATTTAATTATTTATTTTTACTTTTTTTTCCTCTGTGCCTATGCTTACCAAGTCTTTTTATTTTTTACTTTTTATTAACTCTTTTAATCCTCTGGATAAATTAAAAAGAGGGTATTATTAATATCTGCATTTTGTAGATGAGGTAACTGAAGGTAGGTAACTTGTCCAAGGTCACAGGTGGCAGAGCAAGGATTAAAACTAGACAGTCTGGCTGCCCAAGGCCCAACGAAGAGGAGCTGAGAGCAAGCCACCGGGCAGAAGGATGTTGGTCAGGCTGGTTTCCTGTTCAGTTAACAGGAAACGCAGGCTTAACCTTAATTCTAGGACGTTACCGAGAAAGCCTTCCAAAGCCATAGGTTTTTTACCATGACCATGACTTCTTTTTTTTTTTTTTTGAGACAGAGTCTCACTGTGTAGCCCAGGCTGGAGTGCAGTGGCGCTATCTCGGTTCACTGCAGCCTACCTCTCTTGACAGTCCACTGGTTAAAGTGATTCTCCTGCCTCAGCCTCCCGAGTAGCTGAAATTACAGGCGCCGGCCACCACGCCTGGCTAGCTTTTGTGTTTTTAGTAGAGACGGGGTTTCACCGTGTTGGCCAGGCTGGTCTTGAACTCCTGACCTCAAATGACCCACCTCTGCCTCCCAAAGTGCTGGGATTCCAGGCGTGAGCCACCGTGCCAGGACCCAAGGCCCTTAAGTTTTAACGTCTCATTCTTCAGTCAGGTTTTCCTTGTTCCTGCGTGTTCAGCCATTTGTTTTTAAGTTTGTGTTGAAGGAGAAACTAACAACGAAAATGGACTTGTTGACGGAAGAAAAGTAGGAATGCAGCCTCTGGTGCTGTTTGAGTGATCCCTCTGCCCCAGGCCTGGCTGCGCGCTGCTGTGTTCTGGAAAGGCGCATTGTGCCCTCGCTGTGGCAGGTAAGAGTCCTGTACAGGTGCTCTGCCCACTTTACCTTTCAGGCTTCTGTATCAGCTGTTTTTCCCTTGTAGAATGTGCCCCTGACCTGTGCCCCTGACTTCCACCCCTTAACCCTGCCCAATACATCTTTACATGTCTGACCATCAAGACTCTTCTGGGTCATATTCAGTTCATGCTGATATTTTCCCTTCCTCCCCTCTTTAGTCCTTACTATTTTTGCTTTGGTCATGTTATGCTATATTCTGTAAGCCTTTAAAAATTTTGTTGTATCATGGCAGGGGAGAATATTTTATAATTATGCTTTGTGCGTTTTATCTTCCACTCAATGAATGCTTGGTAAATATTTGTTTTATTGAGTATATGACCCTTTTCTAGCTATACCGTGAACAAAAATGTTAACTGCCTTGTACGTTAACTGCTAAGAATTTGTCAAAAGTGCAGAGATGACATCCAGAACTTGTCAGAATATTACAAAAAGGTCTCTAAGGGCATGATGGAGGTCTGTAAATTGACTTCATGTGAAAGAGTGTAAGAAGTGAAAATGTGAAGCATGACTGGAGAGCCGGAGTGATAAAGCAAGGGTCCCTTTCTCTAGATCCTTTGTAACAGTGTCATGTGACCTCTTCTAGATCATTCTGAAAGACAATGCCAGCTCGGAACCTAGGAAAGCATCCAGTGGGTTTCTGCATGTTAGGTGGTTCAAATCCTCATTAGCACCTTTGTTTTCTCTGCCTCAGTTTGCTTACAGTGATGTTCTCAGTAGCTGTAATTGCTGTCTGTCTTTGAATATTTAAGCATTTTTTTTTTTAGATCACAGGGTATATGTGCATTTTTATTTTACCAAGTGTTAGAATTTTTACTCTGCCTTTGTGGGCTCTGGGTTAGCTACTTGGCTGTTTCATCGTAAAATGATTAGCAGGAAAAACTGTGTGTGTGTGTGTGTGCGTGTGTGTGTGTGTGTGCGCGTGTGTATTTTAAGTTTCTTAATTGGGTTGGTACATGTAAACCATTTAGAACAGTGCCTGCTGCATATCACATCCCCATCAGTATTCACGTCTCTCATATTCTACCCTCACACTTGATTGATAGTTTGCTTGATTATGTATTTCTAGGTTGAGGATAATTTTACCTTAGAATTTCAAAGTCTGTGCTGTTGTCTTCTAACCAGTCGTGGTGGCGAAGCCTCATGCCATCCTGAGTTTCACTTGTTTATGCATGACTTTCTCCCTGGAAGCTTTTAGGAGTTTGTCTTTTCCTTGGTGAGCTGAAATAGCACAACAGTGTACTTAGTGTGGGTCTTTTTTCATTCATTATGCTGGGTACACCAAATGAACAGGCCTATGGATAGGCTCTTTCAAAGTTGGAGTCTTGAATCTTGTCATATTTTTGTTGTTAACTTTCTCTTTTCCATTTTATTTGTTCATTTGGAAGTGTCTGTTAATTGGATTTTAGACCTCTTGTCTTGAGTCTTATATCTCACGTTATTTCTAAATGTTTTTTAAATTTTCAGTTCTGGAATATTTTCTTATCTTTCGACTTTCAGGAAATTTTATTTGGACTGTCATAACTTTAAGTTTTGTTTCGGTTATTTATTGTTGCTTAACCAATTATCCCAAAACTTAATGGCCTAAAACTACACATCTGTCTATCTGTCACGACTGTATGGATTACCTGGGGCTAGCTGGACAGTTTTTCTGCTGGTCTCATTTGGCAGCTCTCACTGTGTGGTTAAACAGTGTCAGGGACTGGTCATCTGGATGCTCAGCTGCAGTGGAATGTCTGAGACGGCTTCTTTACCCACAGGTCTGCTGCCTTGGTAATTCTTGATGTGGCCTTTCTCTCTGCATAGCATCTCATCCTCTCGGATCTCTTCATGTGGCTTTCCTTTCTCCAAGAAGGTAGCCAATTCTTATTTTTGGCTTCCAGAAGCACAGAAATGGAGCTGCCAGGAGTTCTTAAGGCTTAGACCTGGAACAGGTCCAGTGTCATTTCTACCACATGCTATAGGTTAAAGTGAGTGTTGGGGCCAACCCAGATTGACTATGGGATGGGCCTGTCTGAGGACATGATGACAGGAGGTATGGCTCATTGGAGACCAACTCCCAAGATGGAGCATGAGTTCTAAGAACTTTTTCTTCTCTGATTATTTCTTATTCATATTGTTTTGTTTTATACATGTAATATATTCACAAGTGTCTTTATGAAGTGATTTTGATACTCTTTGTCTTCTCCCTGGCATCTCCTTGTTCTTTAATAATCTTTTTCTTAGTTTATTTTGGTCTTATTTTTCTTTTTAAAGCCTTTCCTTAAATATCTATTCTATGTTGCTTATCATTTGTAGTCTTTTTTTTTTTTTTTTTGAGACCCAGTTTCGCTCTTGTTGCCTAGGCTGGAGTACAATGATGTGATCTTGGCTCACCACAACCTCTGCCTCCAAGGTTCAAGCAGTTCTCCTGCCTCAGCCTCCCAAGTAGCTGGGATTACAGGCATGTGCTGCCACACCCAGCTAATTTGTGTATTTTTAGTAGAGATGGGATTTCTCCATGTTGGTCAGTCTGGTCTGGAACTCCCAACCTCAGGTGATCCACCCACCTCGGCCTCCCAAAGTGCGGGATTACAGACATGAGCCACCGTGCCTGACCTGTAGTCTTTTTTCCATTCCTTTATTTGTTCATTCATATTTGAGAGAGGTACTAAAAGACTGGGAGCCGAGGTGTGGTGGCTCACACCTATAATCTCAGTGCTTTGGGAGACCGAAGTGGGAGGATCACTTGAGCCCAGGAGCTCAAGACTAGTTTGGGCAACATAGTGAGACCCCATCTTTACAAAAAAAAAAAAAATAGCTAGGTGTGGTGACACCCATCTGCAGTCCCAGCTACGTGGGAGGCTGAGGCAGGAGGATTGCTTGAGCCCAGGAGGTTGAGGCTGCAGTGAGCTCTGATCATGCCACTGCATTCCTGCATTCCAACCTGGGCGAAAGAGCAAGACCCTGTCTCAAAATAAATAAATAAATAAATAAATAAAAATAAAAATAAATAAAAATTGATTGGGAGTTCTTTGTGGCCAAGACTTGTCAACTGATAGCTTTAAGGGGAATGTATGCTGATTCCTAATTGTTATCCTCCATCCCTCTATCTTGTCTCCTGTTGCAATCATAAATGATGGCTGGATGACTACTCCATTCCTCTGGATGTAAAATCTACATTCTCTTGCCTGAGGTGGATACGTTTGCTTGGGTTCTGTTTAAGGAGATGGGGCTAGCAGTGTGTTTCAGGGCCTGTGAAATGTGTTCTCTATCCGGGCTTTTGCTTAATCTCTGTTTTCAGTCTTGCCTATCAGTCCCACTGTCGGGGGTACCTCGTGTCTGAGTCTAGAACCTTTCCAGGTTGCTGTGGGACAGATTAGCCTCCTTGTTCTCAGTATCCCCCTGACCTCCACCTTTGTTGCTTTGCTCCATGAATTAACCATTTTCCATGTACTGTCATTGTCTAATGAAGATGAATTCTCTTCTGTTGGTAACCCCATTCCTTTTTTGTAATGGTGTGCTTATACAATGTTTATTCTTCACTGTATTTCTATTGGAGCCTCAGGACAAAGAGCAGATGGTGAGAATCTGTGTTCAGTGTTAAGTTTTCCTTCTGTAAGACATGTGCAACTTGTGTTTTTCACTGAATAGATCATGGACTTAATGCATATAGAGCTACTTTGTTTTTCATGATTGTGCCTTCAATTATATGTAGAAATATAATTTGTGAATTGCCTGATGAAATTTTCCTAATTTTGAATTATCTTTGCATTCCTATAATAAACACTGTTAGAATGGCTATGGTAATATTTTATTTTTGCATTTTTACTTCTGTATTAAATAAGATTATAGTTTTGTTTGTTTCCTTTAAGGCTGTTATTTCAGTATCAAGGGCATGCAGGGCTGAGTTGGGAAGCTTTACATCTTTTTTCTAAGATCTAGGATGTAGATCTGGTTTACACAGTAATTTTCAACTGCAGGAGTATTTTGCCTCCTATGGGACGTTTGGAAATATCTGGAGACATTTTTGTGGTCACAACTGGTCATGGTCGGGAGGTCTCATTGGCATTCTGTGGGTAGAGGGAATGTTACTAAATGCCCGACAACACACCAAGAGAACCCTCCACAAAGAATTATCTGGCCCAATATATCAATATTGCTGAGGATGACAAATTCTGGTTTAAATATCCAATTTGGAGGATGAGTCTTTGTCTTTTTCCTTCTTCTGCATATTGGTCTCCAGATTTCCCACTTCTTCAGTTACTTTTCGTAACTGTAGGTTCTTAAAAAAAAATGAACACTTTGGATGGGTGCGATGGCTCATGTCTGTAATCCCAGCACTTTGGGAGGCCGAGGCGGGTGGATCACGAGGTCAGGAGATAGAGACCATCCTGGCTAACATGGTGAAACCCTGTCTCTACTAAGCCAAAATACAAAAAATTAGCCAGGCGTGGTGGCGGGCGCTTGTAGTCCCAGCTACTCGGGAGGTTGAGGCAGGAGAATGTTGTGAACCCAGGAGGCGGAGCTTGCAGTGAGCCAAGATCACGCCACTGCACTCCAGCGTGGGTGACAGAGCGAGACTCCGTCTCAAAAAAAAAAAAAAAAAAAAATGAACATGTCATCCATACTTCTAAGGTGTTGTAAAGATGTGTAAAGTTTTCACTTTTTGCATCATATTCACATGTGGCTATATGCCCTTTTCTCTTCAAAGTTTTCTTTATCTTGATTACTTATCAGAGGCTTGACTGTTTTATTATCTCAGTCTTTTGAAAGAATCCTCCTTTAGTTTTATTTTTTAAATCTAGTGGTTTTTCTTTTTCCTTAGGTCTTAATTATTTCCCCCTTTTTGTTTGTTTTGCTTTTCCTAGTTTAGTGGATCAATGTAATTTAAATTGCTTTTTAAACAAACGTGTAAGGGTATACATTTTCGTTGGCTGCTGTTTGACTTCGTTGCACAAGTTTTAAAATCTATTTTTTAATAGTTTGTATTTTCTAAATTATTTTATTGCATCTTTTGTTCACATTGCTCTTACTATTAATTTTTTATTTTAATTAATTAATTAATTAATTAATTAATTGAGATGGAGTCTTGCTCTGTAGCCCAGGCTGGAGTGCAGTGGCATGATCTTGGCTCACTGCAAGCTCCACCTCGGGGGTTCATGTCATTCTCCTGCCTCAGCCTCCCAAGTAGCTGAGACTACAGCTGCCTGCCACCACATCCGGCCTTTTTTGTATTTTTAGTAGAGATGGGGTTTCACCGTGTTAGCCAGGATGGTCTCGATCTCCTGACCTCATGATCCACCCACCTTGGGCTCTCAAAGTCCTGGAATTACAGGCATGAGCCACTGCACCCAGCCCAAAAGCTTTGTGCTTTTACAGATATTAGACATGTTTCTTGTTTAAGAAAAAAAATCTTAACGAAAACGTAGGAGAATAAGAGAAACATTTTTCCAAAAAAGAGAAATCATTGTGATTATTTTATCTTATTAGAATGTTGGATAATATAGTCTGCTTCATTAATCATCAAGCATGCTATGCATTTTCCATTTTTATAGGATCTGTATCTCAGTTAAGGTAATACTGGTAATTTTTGTACTGTAATCAAAGATGAAAAATATAGGCCAAAATCATAGACCTTGCATAGAAGCTGGATAATGAAGACAGCTATGGAGAAAAACATAGATACACACACATGGACACACATATATATAAAGTATACACACATATATTTTTTAAAGTTTTAAAGCTTTTAAAGCAAAAGCCAGCCCCTCTTCTCTTCCAGAGTGGGAGGCCTCTCCCCTCTCTTAGAGTGGGTGGGGAGAGCGGTTGCCATGGGCAGCTTTCCTTGTGAGCCACAGGGCCCTCTGGACACGCTGCTGTCTGGCCACGCCCCCTTTCCCTTTCATCTTTCTCATTGACCAATGGGCTTGGAGCATTAAGGCCACGCCCCTATTCCGCATTCTACTGGGGCCCTGGTTACGCCTCCTCTGGCTCAGTCACACAGCTGCCTGGTAGGTGACTGGAGGCCTTGATCGGTTCTTATTGGGATTTTGCTGCTGTGGCCCCAACCCTTCCTCCCTCCCCACCCTGCAATGGCAGAAGAAACTCAACACAACAAATTGGCTGCAGCCAAGAAAAAGGTAAAAACGCACTAGGTCATAGCCCCTCAACCCAGCCACAGATCCCCTCTGATGACAAGACCCCTGCCAGAGTCTATATGACTCCTGAGGCACACTGGACTGGTCCCCCCAACCCCGGTGCCTTGGGCTACCCCCACCAAAGTTTTGTCAGTCAGCCCCACCCCTTCAGAAAGCAGCCCAGTCCTTGCCCTCGCCAATCACCCCAGGGTGACTTTGGGTGGGTGACTCCTGGGGCTTCCCGCTCCATTACTGGGCTGTCATCTCCTGCCGCCCCAAGCTTGATCTCCGTGGGCTCTTTGGGCTCTCATCTCCAAGGAGCCAGGCCCCACCCTCGCCAGTCATCCTTGGGTGACTTTGGGCTGGTGACTCCTGGGACTCCCTGCTGCAGACTGTGCCCTCCCCTCCTGCTGCCTCAAGGTCGACCTCCCTGGGTTCTTTGTGCTGGCGTCTCCAAGGAGCTGGGTCCCAACCCTGTGCTTCCCTCCCCCATCGTGGAGCAGCGACTTGGACATGGTGCTGACATGGTCCCTCCCCCCGACCAGGAGGAGTGGAATGTTGTGATGTCACAGTCCACCTAGTAACTGCCGTTACTGCAAGACTGGCCTTTGACCTTACGACCCAGTCCCCTAAGCGTTCTCACCCCGTTTCTGGTTCCTCTGGTCACAGCACAAATTTCCAGCTGGAAGGGGAATGGAGACTATGGGACCTAGGAGCAAGAGGTTCCAGGCTGCCTCACTCCCTTACAGATGTTGACGGTGGGAAAAGCCTACACTTCCCCCATGAACTCAAAACATTGACAGTATCTCTGGGTGGCAATGAGAGAATGGGTTTGATTTGGTTTTCTCCCAGGCTTCTACTTTCCAGAGAGATTTTAACATTTTTTTCTGAGTTCTCCACCTCATATTCTAATTCTCCATGGTTCTGGGACCAGACTCTCCTTCAGTCAGTGGTCTCTGAAGTGAGATTTGCTCATCTTCTGTGGAATAGAACTTGGGAAACTGAACTTGACACCTTGAATCTTCCTCATATTATCTCAACCTTGGGTACTTTGAGTGCCACAGGATAAATGTGGGACATCTTTCTGAAGCATCAGTTTCCCTTGATTCTCTTGAGATCAAGAGAAAAAACATGAATGTACTTAGGGAGGACAGTCACATAGGTTTCTAAGAGTATACCAGACCTCTCTCTGAAATGAGGCTTGGGTTGTCCTCTTTCTGATAAATTCTGATTTAAGAGAAAGGCTGCCTTCTGCCATGAGGACACATTGATATAAAAGTTTGAGAGGTACTGGTGCACTTCTTCACACTAACAGACGTGTGAGGATGTATGACTAAACCACATGGCATACAGTTCCTGCCTACTTAATGTTTACTTTTCTACCTCTGCCTCTGGTTTTGGTCCCTGGCAGCTGCTGATTCTTGGCAAAACCTCAGAGCTTGGAGTCAGAAGACTGAGTCTCAAAGTTCCAGTATTGCCTTTTTCTTTTTTTTTTCTAGCCATGATATCAATCCTTCTCAGTCACTAAATGAGTGTGACAACACCTTGTACAGTTGTTGGTGTCATTAAATCAGATGGTGTGTAAGTGTATTTTGTAAAAACTGTAAAGGAGGTTGTGGCTGTAGGGGCTGACGGTTCTCATGAATATTACTGCTCTTCTTTCCAACAGTTAAAAGAATATTGGCAGAAAAACAGACCTAGAGTTCCAGCAGGAGTGAACAGGAACAGGAAAACAAATGGCAGTATCCCTGAGACAGCCACTTCCGGTGGTTGCCAGCCACCTGGGGATGTGAGTCTTGGCTGACCAGGCTTCTGGGGACAGGGGGCCCAAGGGGCAATAGAGGGTAATTCTTAAGATTGTGGATGGACTGCTGGGTACTGGTTAAGAATTCTGGCTTTAGCCGGGTGTGGTGGCCCATGCCTGTAATCCTAGCACATTGGGAGGCCAAGACAGGCGGATCATGAGGTCAGGAGATCGAGACCATCCTGGTTAACACGGTGAAACCCTGTCTCTACTAAAAATACAAAAACATTAGCCACGCGTGGTGGCGTGTGCCTGTAGTCCCAGCTACTCAGAAGGCTGAGGCAAGAGAATGGTGTGAACCTGGGAGGTGGAGCTTGCAGTGGCCAAGATTATGCCACCGCACTCCAGCCTGGTGAAAGAGCAAGACTCTGTCTCAAAAAAAAAAAAAAAGGAATTCTGGGTTTGAATCCTGCCTCTCCATCTGCTCTGCTAGGGATATGATTTAGGGCAAGTTGCTAGACCTCATTGGGCCTCTCTTTTCACATCTGTATAATAGAGGTGTTATTGTTTCACTTCCATTTGTGAAGTTTAAATGAGATTTGTTATTGTTGTTTTTATGTTAATCCCTAGTACATGGCCTGCTGTAAACACTCAGGACACCCAGGATATGGTTTGATTTTCCTCATCCCCAGTCTCAAGGGGAAACCAGGACAAAGAGAACAGCCACTTGCCATCAGGAGTCACTGAAGGGGCCCCAGGATGGGATGGTGGGGAGATAAGAACCATGAGAGAAGTTGGCACAAAGGAGTTATGGGACAAAAGGTCCAAGATAGGCAGAAAAGAAAATGTTGCAGTTGATGGGGAAGAAAGGAAGTCAGAGGGCTCAGACACTGTGGGGGACAGAACATCTCCATGTGCACTCTCATCTCTTGTAGTCAGCAACAGGTTTCCACAGGGAAGGCCCTACATCATCTGCTACCCTGAAAGATCTGGAGGTAAGAGGCTCTGGGCGGAGGTGCAGTGACCCTTCGGGTCAACCCTCCAACCTCCTCCTCCAGGTGGGACTGGGTGCCCCTCTGCCAGCTGAGACAGCCCACACACCCCAGCCCTAACGATCATTCTCTCTACCTCTCCCCCCACTCCTGCTCCACCTCCTCCTCTCTGCATGCACCTCAGAGCCCGTGCCAAGAACGAGCAGTAGTCCTGGATTCAACGTCCGTAAAAATCAGTCGACTGAAGAACACCATCAAATCTTTGGTAAGAGTCCGGTGGGGTCCCCTGATTCCACGCTGCCAATCCTGGGCTCCAGTTTCCCCTTGGGGCCCTGAAGAAAGGGGCTGGGGGTCCCTGGTGCCCGGGACAAATAGGGAGCTTGGGTGCCCAGGCCTCACCTGGAGGGACCCCAGAGCATGCAGCATAGCTCTTCTTTTGCTGCCCTCTTTGCCGACTCTCTCCTCTCCAGACACCCCTGCTCGAGTCCTTGCTACACACGCCCTGGGGTTGTTGCCTCTTGGGGAAGTGCTAGCCTGACTGGTTGTCAAGGGCCCCGTATTTCTGCCATGACTCAGTCCCTAATTTGCTCTTTGATTCTGGACAAGCCACCTCTCCTTTTTGGGCTCGTGTTTCCAGAGGAGGTAGTGAGTATCAAAGGTCTCTGTTAGCTCTCGAGTCTGAGATTTAAAGGCCCCCGGGAATGGAAACCTCAGGGCTAAGGGCTCCTGTCTGTCCTTTTCCATCCTATATCTGCTGTGAAGAACCGTACCTGGCCCATACGTGCTCAGTAAGTGTTTATTGAATGAACCCACTTTTCTAAATCACAAGCTGCCAGAAGGAGGGGCCTTTCTGAAACTCCATCTCTAGAGGTTTATGTTGCTGTCCTCTCAAGAGATTCCAGATTCAGACTGAGTTCTGTGGCTGTGGGCAAAAGCCAACAAAGACCCAAATCCTCTGTCCTTGGGAGCTTGAGGAGAGTTTACCGGTTCGTGTTCCCATTATGTCTGAGAACTTTGCCTTTAAAATCCATTCCTGGCCCCTGCCTACCGCTTCCTGATCTGGGGAATAGAGTTGAGGGGGCCACCCTCCATCACCTTATTTGACTCTCCCCACAGAAACAACAGAAGAAACAAGTGGAACATCAGCTGGAAGAAGTAACGTGATTTCGTTTCCTCGCGACATGACTGCTGGGTTTGGGGGGCACTCAGACATACAGGCCCCAGTCTCGTCTCACCCACTCCCAGCTTGGGGAAGAAGGCTCACCCCTCAGATTCCACCCCATCCCCACAGGGCCCCTGATAACCTGGTCCCATGGGTGGGCCTGTCCTGGGGCATTGGTGGCATTCTGGGGGCATGTCTCTTGCTGTGCCATCTCTGCCTCCCCCTGGTAAGAGCTCTGTCTTCCTCTTCCTACAGGAAAAGAAAGCAAACAACGAGAGACAGAAAGCCGAAAGGGAGCTAGAGGTGAGTGGAGGGTGTGCAGTTTCCTCCTGTCCTCCGGAGAATGTTTCTTTCCTTCTCTTTCAGCACTTGCTTGGCTTTTCTCCCAAAGGTTCAAATCCAGACATTGATCATACAGAAAGAGGAACTAAATACGGACCTGTACCACATGGAACGTTCTCTCAGATACTTTGAAGGTGGGAATCTGGGCACCCTGTCATCCTTCAACCTGGCACTTTGACAGGTCTTCAGGAGGAGTCCTTTGGGCCCCATCTCAACTCTCTCATTACAGAAGAGTCCAAGGACCTGGCTGTCCGCCTGCAACATTCATTGCAGTGTAAAGGAGAGTTAGAGAGCGCTCTGTCTGCTGTCATCGCCACAGAGAAGAAGAAGGCAAACCAGGTGAGTCCAGCCACCTGCCCCATCCCCTGGGAGCCTGGTTTTGCAGATGGAGGAGTGAGCCTAAAGGTCCCTTCTGCAGGATGGCGTGTCCTGCCCAGAAGGCAGCATGGCCATTTCTTGCTACTTTTTTGTATGGTTTTTAGTGGCAGCCTGGGGCCGAGTCAGCTGCTGTGGGTGAGTTGGGGGGTACTGTGGGGAGTGAGCACTGGACGCAGAGCTTGGAGGCCAAGTGCCTGCCCCGCCCTTACCTGGCTGTGGTCTTGGGCAAGTCCTAGGTGGGGTATTGGGTACTTGTACTGTGAAGGTACAGAAGAGTACCTTTAGTATGTTACCATTTCTGTAGAAAGAGGAAACGCGTGCATGTGTGTGTGTGTGTGTGTGTGTGTGTGTGTGTACATACTGTGATAATATACATAAAACATGTCTGCAAGGGTTCATAAAAAATTCAGGAGAGAGAACAAGATGGCTGGGAGATACTTCCCTTCTGTACCTTCTGAGTTTTGGACTATGTGAATGTATCATCCTGTCAAAAAGTGAACAAAAGATTAATTTTCCCCTTCCTATCTGTGCCCCCATCCCCAGCAAGAAAAATGGGCTTAGAGAATTGGATAGACCTGGGTGTTTATATCCCAGCTCTGCCTAAGTGAACTTAGGCAAGCACTTAACCTCAAATACTCCATGTTTTTTCATCTCCACAATAGAGGGAATCATAGTAACTGTCTCCTATGGTGGTTGCGAGGATTAAATGGGATTGTTAGCACGGTACCTGGTGAAGCATTCCACAAAGGTTCAAACAGTGGTAATAATGACAATAATAACAATAGCAATATTATCTGATCTCTCTGGGCCTCTGTTAGCCAGCTATAAACTCAGTCTCATTCCCTGTCCGTTCCAACTTTACTGTGTTCTTTTAAAAACCAGACCACGGGCTTGGAAATGCCTTGATCTTTACTGACCGAGTTGTATATTGGGCCTAGCCCTAGCCCTGTTAAGGGGCACTGTGTGGAAATGCCCAGGCTCTCCAGATTGAAACTTCTCACTCTTCACCATCCAGTTGTCCAGCTGCAGCAAAGCACATACAGAGTGGGAGTTAGAGCAGTCCCTACAGGACCAGGCACTGCTGAAAGCGCAGCTGACACAGGTGAGGTTTTCCGAGGGAGGGATGTGGAAGGACGATGACCCCAGGTGGCCAGGAGCAGGTGAGGACCAGTGACAGCCCTTCCTAACTTCTGTGCCCATTCTTGCAGTTGAAGGAGTCATTTCAACAACTCCAATTAGAAAGAGATGAGTGTGCTGAACATATAGAAGGAGAGAGGGCCCGGTGGCATCAGAGGATGAGTAAAATGTCGCAGGAGGTGAGATCTGACCCTTCAGCCCCCCCACATTAGATAGGTCACTGGATCTTTCTGGGCATCTGTAAAATGGGAATAGTAGAGCCAGAGGTGGTCATGGGTCTGGGCTTTGTGGAGGTGGGGGCAGAGAGGGAGAGGGCAGCCTGTCCAGCCTCCAGCCCCTCTCTCCAAGGCCCTTTCCCCTTGTGCTTTGGGCAGATTTGCACATTAAAGAAAGAGAAGCAGCAAGATATGCGTCGGGTAGAGGAGCTGGAGAGGAGCTTGTCCAAACTCAAAAACCAGATGGGTAAGATGGGGCTGGCATGACCTGGGAGCAGGACTGGCATCAGAGGGCTGTGAGGGTGGCTTAGAGTGCCCCAGGGAGGTGGGTGGATGGAAGGGCTTTGAGGCAGAGGGAAAGAGATCTGTGCCAGGAGACGGCGAGTCTTGTCATCTCAATGAGTCTCAGTGTCTCAGTGTCCCCATCAGCAAAGAGGGCCCGTTGCCAGCCACCCACAGTGCTCTTTCTCTGAAAGTCCTTTGGAAGACTGGCTACCATCTGGGTGCGAGGAATCATTAGCAGTGAGGCCAAGTTTGAGGAGCCTGAGAGGAGCTGTGCGCCAAGAGGAGGGTTTTTCTTTTCCGAGAATCCAGAGGCCCTTATTATCTGCTTCCTTTGTCAGCTGAACCCTTGCCCCCGGAGCCCCCAGCAGTGCCCTCTGAGGTGGAGCTGCAGCACCTGAGGAAGGAACTAGAGAGAGTGGCAGGAGAGCTCCAGTCCCAGGTCAAAAACAATCAGCACATAAGTCTCCTGAACCGGCGACAAGAAGAGAGGATTCGGGAACAGGAAGAGAGGCTTCGGAAGCAGGAGGAGAGGCTTCAGGAGCAGCACGAGAAGCTTCGGCAGCTGGCCAAGCCACAGAGCGTCTTCGAGGAGCTGGTGCGTTGCCCCAACTGGGGAGCCTGCCCTCCTCCCTAGCCCTCCGGGCCTTTGTTTCCCCACCTCTAAAATGGGGCAGTGTAGCCCTCGCGTGAAAGGTTACTTCTAAAGGCACCTGTGAGCCAGGTGGCTGTGGGAGAGAGGGGGTGATTTTTCTAACCTGCCTCCAGCCTTCCCAGTGCCATGGGAGGCAGACACCAAGTTCTGGGGTCTCCAGCTGCAGTGGGTGGCTGCTGATTGCTTCTCTCTGTCCAGAACAATGAGAACAAGAGCACACTGCAGTTGGAGCAGCAAGTAAAGGAGCTACAGGAGAAGCTTGGCGAGGTGAAGGAGACGGAAACCTCCACCCCATCCAAGAAGGGCTGGGAGGCGGGCAGCAGCCTCTTGGGAGGGGAGGTGCCAGGTCAGAGGCAGCTTCCAGCCTGGGGGCTGGTGACCACAGCACCCCGCAGGGCAGTCCTGCGACTGTTTCTCGCTTCCTGCCTCTGACTTTTAAAGGTGGGTAGCCCTGGGCTCCTCTCAGGTCTGGACATCATCATCCCAGCTAGAGGCATGGAGCCCCCAATCACAGGGGAAGAGACAGTGCTATAACAGGCTCCTTATACCAGGTGCAGTGGCTCATGCCTATAATCCCAGCACTTTGGGAGGCTGAGGCAGAAGAATCACTTGAGGTCGGGAGTTTGAGATCAACCTGGCCAATGTGGTAAAACCTCATCTCTACTAAAATTAAAAAAAAAAAAAATTAGCAGGGCATTGTGGCGCATGCCTGTAATTCCACCTACTCGGGAGGCTGAGGCACGAGAATTGCTTCAACCCAGGAGGTGGAGGTTGCAGTGAGCTGAGATTGCACCACTGCACTCCAGCCTGGGCCACAGAGTGACACTCTTGTCTGAAAACAAAACAAAAAGACTCCTTAGATTGAAACTGGATTCCAGCCTCGGTTCCACTGGTCACCATTCAAGTACTTTGCATCTCTAAGTCTCTGTTTCTTTAACTTCAAAGGGAAGTTAGCATTTTCCTTACAGAGGTGCTGAGGATTAAATGAGAAGAGGGTATGAGATTTGAGGCTGGGGAAGGAGGCATGGGGTTCTAGGAAAGGGAGGCAGTCACTTAGGCCTGGAGTAAGGGGACAGGGGCCTGGGTAGCTGACAGAGCCCCACAGTGCCCTCGCTACCCTATTAATGGGCCCAGAATCTGGAAACCAGCCACCACGTGCCCTCACACCCAGGGTCTTCCTGCAGGTGGAGCTGAAGAGCCAAGAGGCTCAGAGTCTGCAGCAGCAGCCAGACCATTACCTGGGTCACCTGCAGCAGTACGTGGCCACCTATCAGCAGCAGGTGGCCGCCTATCAGCAGCTGACCTGTGAGAAGGAGGCGCTGTACAGGCAGTGACTGCAACAGACCCAGCTAATGAACCAGCTGCAGCAGTAGGAAGCTTGGGGCAAAGCAGTGGCCGAGATGGCCTGCCAAAAGTTGCAGGAGACCCAGGGGAGGGAGCTGCCGAGGATGGGGCTGTGAGGGGGACGACCTGGCAAACTCCATCCCTTCTCACTCTTTCCTGGCCCCTTAGGAGCACCTGGAAGCGGCCAGCCAGCAGAACCAGCAGCTAACGGCCCAGCTGAGCCTCATGGCTCTCCCTGGGGAAGGTACGGGAGACCGCTCAGAGGAAGAGGAGAGAGCCCCAGGAGGAAGGGGGGACTGCTAGCAGCATAGGATTGAGGAGTTGGAAGAGACCTTTAGAGCAGCTGGTCATTATGCCGACCGGGTGCCTGCACTAAGTTCGGCATCAGTGTGGTGACCTCCTGTGAGCGGGCGGTCACCAAGTTGCCTAAGGGTGGCTGAACTGGCCAAGGTCAGAAAGGGAGCAGGTCAGAACTCCCACATCGACCAGTAGTGGGAGTGTGCCTGGGCGGAATAGCAAGATCTTGATTCTTAAAAGTAAAAATAAAGAACAACAGCTCATTCCTCTCTGGGGAGGGGCTGGCTCAGGGTTACACAGTGAGGGTGGAGGTAGAGGTGGGCCCACAGTACCTCCCTTGTTGGGTTGTCTGAAGACCCCTCTGGCCACCCCCCACAGGACACGGAGGAGAACATCTGGACAGTGAGGGGGAGGAGGCACCTCGGCCCATGCCGAGTGTCCCAGAGGACCCGGAGAGCAGGGAGGCCATGGTGAGCCTGACTCCCCCCTGCACCCATTTTGCCACCTTTCTCTGTGGTCCCTCCAAGACCCCTTTATGCTCTTCGTTTCCCTGCCTTCTGATTTCTCTGGACCCTCACCCCTTCCGAGAGCCAGTGGTCAGACACCATTTCACCTGTGGCCAACAGGTGCACTCTCTGAGG
Organism: Homo sapiens; assembly: GCF_000001405.40. NCBI lineage: Eukaryota > Metazoa > Chordata > Mammalia > Primates > Hominidae > Homo > Homo sapiens. Next base: position 32,446,302 of record NC_000015.10, on the reverse strand, counting down.
CCCCAAGGGAAGGGGCTGCGCTCCACCTCTCTGCCCCATTTCTTCTGTGTATGCCCCTAGAAGAATGCTCACATCTTGCCCTCAGGTGGCATTTTTCAAGTCCGCTGGAGCTAGTGTCCAGGAGAAGCAGGCACAGTTACAAGAGCAGGTGAAAGAGCAGAGGGTGTGCTGCCAGCGCCTGGCTCACCCGGTGGCCTCGGCCCAGAAGGAGCCAGAGGCAGCCAGAGGCCCTGGAGCCCCAGGGCCTGGGGGCGAGTCTGTGAGTGGGGAGACCCACTGGGCCCTGCAGGAAGTCACGGAGAAGCTGGCCCATGCCAGGACTCACCTCCGCCTTCTCCATGACTTGAAAATGCCACCTGAGGGCAGGTCGCTGCCGAGATGTGACTGCAATATTTTGTCTCCAGAGCAGCTTTATGGACCACCTGAAGGAGAAGGCAGACCTGAGTGAGCTGGTGAAAAAACAAGAACTTCGCTTCATTCAATACTGGCAAGAGAGATGCCATCAGTGAGTGGGAGGCCAGGGCACGGCAGGGGGAGCTACAGAGCCATCAGAGGGGCCCCAGAATCTGAGCCCTGTCCTCCCGCAGGAAAATCCATCACCTTTTATCAGAACCAGGGGGCCGTGCCAAAGATGCAGCACTGGGAGGAGGACACCATCAGGCTGGAGCTCAGGGAGGAGATGAAGGTAGGGTGTGCAACATCTCTGTGGGGGTGGGGGTGGGGGTGGGTGTGAGGGTGGGCGCAGGCAGCGGCATGGCAGCTGAGCACCCCTCCCTCCAGGTGAAGCTGCTGGAGCTGCAGCAGATGGTATTGCGGCTTACAGCAACTACAACAATGGGCACAGAAAATTCCTGGCCGCTGCCCACAACTCTGCTGATGAGCCCGGTCCAGGAGCCCCAGCCCCCCAGGAGCTTGGGGCTGCAGACAAGCATGGTGGTGAGTAGAGCCCTCAGGTGGGGTGGGTAGGCAGGAAGAGGGGGGCTCCCACTGTGCTCAGATCCCCGCCTCCCTCTCTCCAAAGATCTTCGTGAGGTGACCCTCACCTCCTCTGCCCAAGGAGAGGCCAGGGAGGATCCTCTCCTTGACAAGCCTACTGCACAGCCGATCGTGCAGGACCACCAGGAGCACCCAGGCTTGGGCAGCAACTGCTGTGTGCCATTATTTTGTTGGGCTTGGCTGCCAAGAAGAAGGAGATAAACATCACCATCATCAAACAGCTGCTCAAGAAATTTTTAAATAAGAAACCAAGTTATGGGGTTAATCTCCTACACAATTCATTTACTTCCTTTGAATGTTAGACTCACTCATGATTATTTGTGTTTCTAATTTATAGTTTAAGTTTATTTGTAAAAAGTTAAAAGAGAGTGGGTGTCTGTGGCTCTCACTGATGTTCACTCTGGCATCCTTTAGCATTTTTCTTTTTTAATTTCATAATTGTAGGTCATTAGCGTGCATATCGAGTTTGCCCTTACGTGGTGGGAGTTCAAACACACAAAGACCCACTCTTTGCCCAAAACTGTTCTCTTTGGTTTGGAATAGGCTGCCATGCTTTTTTAATGTTATTGCAGCATGTATATTCACTACAGCATTCAGACAAAATTTGCCTATGTTCTGCTGTTGTTTGATGTAATCTTAATCACAGTGAGCTCTTCCTTAGCTCAATATGTAGTTTGCCCCCAAGTGTGCACTGTTTATTACTTTGTAATACGCCACTATGAGTACTGACATTTAGAGTTGTTTAAAGGCCAAGAATTGGAAACAGCCTTTCCTCCATTTTCTGTGTATTGGTGATGGGAGTGATAACCTTTTGGGGGAGCTTTTTAAATCTCACAGAAGAGGAAAGTGGCCTCCTCTGGCAGGTATGTGCAAGATAGAGTGTGTTTCATCTCTTCCGGTGCCAGGAATTAGCGGTGTATTATGGTGGTGCCCTTAGGATTTGTATGTGCTCTGGGCTCATGAAGATATTGCATCATGAGCTGCAGCAGTTGCACTCTTTTTCGATGACCTAAAAAGGGCTTATTTCTGAGGAATGAAAGGTTCCCATCGTTGACTGTGGATGTGGAAAACCTTTCCTAGCTTAGAGCATTTGTATCTACAATACATTTTAAAGTCAGAGTTCATGTTACCTGTTTTAATCACATGACTACATGCCCCAGTACACAAAAGGGCACTGGTTGGCATTCTTCTTAATGTATTTAGTGAAGATCATAAGAAATCCTTTACGAGTTCAAATGTCCCTGGAACAGGCATACAGGCTCTAGTCAAGAATGAATTAGAGTGAAGGAAAGCTGTGTGACTCCTGGCATTCCTCTCTGTTCACGGAGATTCTTTGAGGCTTGAAGATTGATTTTACCATCTAGACCTCTTTGGCTAATACCTATTCTTCAACCACCTTGGTTACTCTGACATAGGAATTTACTTCTTTTTCTTTGAATGGAAAACACTTTAAAAAAATAGAAACATTCTTATAAACTAATATATGTGAGATAGTTGAAACAAAAAGGAGTTTTAGTAGATGGTATTATACTATCTTTGAAAATCAAGGAGAAGTTTATGAAACTTAAAATGTGTACAAACTGCAGTGCAATCTACTGTTGTTCGTGAATGTCAATGTATTATCAGGAAACGTGTCTATACAACCACAGAGTTATATTTTCTCACAAACTTCTTTACAAAGTGAAATATGTTTTTGTACCTCTGGGTTTCTGTTCGGGACATATTTTGTGCAATATTTATGTGATTGTGCCTATGCATGATGAATGAATGCATTTCAGTTATGTATTGCCTAAATCGTAACTTGATGATGCTTGGGAAAGACTCAACAGTTAAAACTTCATGAAGTTCTAATGTCTGTGTTCCAAAACACATCACATTGTTAGGATGCAGGGAGATAGGTGTGTGTGCTCCCTGCGGTGGGGATTTCTAGTTACTAGATCATCTCCATTTTTAGCATTTGGCATCCTCATGATACTTCTATAAATATGACATTAACAGGAGAGCAACAATACGATTTTACCGATGGAATAACAGATTTGCTGGCATTCACTGAAAGAGTGCAAATATTCGGTCCTTGTGACTTCCACTGACTCTTCCAAATTTTATGAATGTATCAATGTATTAGATAAACCCAGTTTCAGAATGATAAAGAAAAAATCTTAGACCAAATAATGCGGCTAATTAACAGTGGTACGATTTGTAGCCCGTGGGTTTAAAATGCACTTAAAGTCCTGTTCTCGCCTTTTATTTTCTGAACTTGCCGCTTTTGCATTCTTTGAGTTCAGTTTAAAGACAGTTACTTTAAGAGCATTTTAAACCCTCGGGCTAGAAATCGGACCACTGTTAATCAGCCACATTATTTGGTCTAACGTTTTTTCTTTTATCATTCTGAAACTGGGTTTATCTAATACATTGATAAATTATTGCAAAGGTACTTTTATCGTTGAAATCACTTCACTTTTACCCTGATAAATATCAGTGACTAGGAATGACCTTCGGATAGCGTTTAGCATCTGTAACCAATCTGACAATAATGTGTTCATGAGGTGCCTATGGATTAAATCACACACTGGCATATTTAAGCTGAAGGTCAGTCTGGAAAATAAATTTACTATATTGACTGAAATACCACTCTTTGTGTAGGTATTTGTCATATATTTAAGAAAAAGCTAAAAAGAATGGAAATTGTATGACAATAACTCAAGTCTTTCTCCAAAGTGCATGCAGTCTTTTGCGATACCTCATTCAGCCGAGTATTTGTGCTCTTCCTCATTCAGTATAAGGCAGCTTTCAGTTTGCTTAGAAGGCAACATTGGAATGTTAGAGTTCATCAGAAACATAGAATTTTAAACTGTGAGTTCCACTGAATACATTTTGATTTCTGTAGGAAGAATCAAAATACCTATTTAAAGATGGCAATGTATAATAATCATTTTAAAAGTATTTGATTAAACCTGATAATTTTCCAGAAATGAAAAAAAAAATCAGCTCTAAAACCAAAGCTGATTTTAGAAAATTTGAAAATGTAAATCAGCCCTATCCATAATATAGTTTCTCTAAAACTTTATTTTAAAGAGTTATTTTAAAATAATATAACTATTAAAAAATGTAACTGCTATCTTAATGTTCTGAAATAATTTAAAACATTTTAAAATATGAATACTGTAGTATAAAAGAAAGAAATGGTGGGAACGAAAAGCAGAGAAAGAAATGCCAATTCCAGTCCAAAGTTTTATTTGCCAAGTTTTCTTAGAATGAATTTTACCAGTTTATGAATTATTGTAAAGAGAATGTGTCGTGGAAATACTGAAAGATTTTTCCCTAGAGTGGCCTTATTGACTGCTGGTGTGATGCCACTGTAATGTAATAAATTATTAAGTTGTTTCAATGTGTTGTTTTTGTCTTAAAATTTTATTTTGCGTTTCTTGAAAACTATAGTATTAAAGGTATTGATACTGTGCAAATGCTGGGCATGCTTGGCATGAGATAATGTGTTTCATTTTTACAAAGTTGTGATATAACTATGCAAGTGTTTCTTAAAAGAACACAAGATTTTAAAAGTTATGGGATTAAAAAAGTTATGGGTTGAAAAAGTTATGGGATAAAAAATGTAAAAACGTTGTGGCAAAAAAACTTGTGGGAACAAAGTAGAAAACAGTATTATGAAAAGTTACCAAAAAAGTTATGAAAAAGAAGTTACGGGATTCTTTTTTAAAAAGTCATGGAATAAAAATAAAAATTAAAAGCAGGCCCCTGTCAGCAAAGCCTGGAGAAGTGGGGCTGGGGTCTCCACCGCCACCATGTCCCTACCACCCCTTCCCAGGCAGCCCTTTACAATGAGGGTAGCAGGACAAGACCTCTGTCTAATGGGGAAAGACAAACAGACCCTTTGCCACCCTGACCAGGGCTGAGTCCCTACATTTCTGGATGATGATGATTGTTATTTAAGAGCCAGAGGCTGGTGGAGTTGGTTTGTTTGGAGGAGGCCTGATGCCCCCCTTACTCTCACCATAGCAACTTTTTCCTCAGGGGGGCTCCCACCTTCTTATTCAGAGAGGCAGGACAGTGGGGCTAACTGTGGACCAGGCGAGGGCACGGGCTGCTGGGGTGGCCCCCGTTCCCCGGTGTACACATTGTGTCTGTGTAAGGTTTTGTATATTCCAGAGGGTAGGGCCACCCCTGTGTCATACCTAGCTGAGGTTGGAGCCGGCACATGGGGAGGAGGTTGTAATAATTATTTGTGGCTGGGAAACTTATTTATTGCTAGCATAGGACAGAGGAAGGAGGCGGGGATGGGGTCATGGCTCCCTGGTGATGCGACTCCTGTTTATTTTGCTTTTTATTTTGGAATAAATGGATTTAGCCATACTGCTCGGCCTGGTGTGTTTCCGTTTCCCTCACTGGGTCCTGGAGTTTGTGCCACCAAACAAGGAGTCCCAGAGTGTCTTGAGCATGTCCAGCTAGGCTGTTGGGGACCTTCCAGGCGTGTTACCTGTATGCTGCCTGGTGGCGCCTGGGGGATTCCAAGGGGACTGCCATGTAGTCTATGGGGCGCAGTCTGGCCCTGACAGCCAACAGGCTCAGAAGCCTGATCTAGCGGTGGCCCGGAAGACAGGTACCAGCACCTAAGGGCACTGACTTCCACCCAGCCCCGGCATCTTCCGTTCTATCCCCTTGTCTCCCTCTCCTGTCTGCACCTGGTGGCCTGTTCTGTCTGTGCCTCCAGAGTGCCGGCTGCCCTGCAGGCTCCCTCTGGGCTGAGTTCATGGCCCTGCCCCCTGGTGGCCAGAGCCGGCTTCACAGGATAAGAGCCCGCTAAGCTCCAGGGGCTTTCCAGGAAAAGTGTCCCTTGGAAAGGGCATGGCCTTTTCACTGCTCCCAACAGCACCCTAGAAATGGCTTGGCCTTTCCCCTCCCCTGAGCTCCACAGAGAACACAGCCAGCAGAGGACACACTTCCCCGCCATCCAGAAGCGGGTTTGATTCTCAGCCAAGGGACAGCAGGACTGGTAGAGACTGTCAGGCCACTCAGCTGCCTGCACAGCACTCCCATGCTTGGTGGGGGGGTGGGGGGCGGGAGGGATGGCGGGGTGTGTCTCTCCATAGGCTGGGCGTGACAGGGAGGCTCACTGAAGGTAGCGCACTTTGGAGGGGCAATGTCAGGGGTTAGCTTTCTCTTGTTTGGCCACAAGACTCCAAAAGGACAGCACGGTGACTGATTCCCAGCGCTAGAGGCGAGGCGGTCGGCCACATGTAGGTGTATGTGTGTGTGTGTGTGTGTGTGTGTGTGTGTGTGTGTGTGTGTATGTATATGGGTATTTGTAGATATTTCTAGAACAGGGCAGGGGCATACCACAGAGGGGGGCACAAGTTTTCAGCAACGGTCACACCTGGATGTGTCAGCTCACCGCAACAATAGACTAAGTCACAGATGAAGGGGGGCTGGCTTTGGGGCTGGGGGAGCCACTGCCAAGTCACAGAACAGCCGCCCAGGCAGGCTTGGAAAGGGAAGTCTCTGAGAAGAGGAGGAATCTGTTTAGAGGTCAAAGGGGGGCCTGGGGCTCTCAGGATGGGATGGACTTGCCTGAGCCGATTGGCTGGCAGTTGGAGAGAAAGCAGAGAGAAGACAGGAGAGAGAAAAGCGAGCATATCATCTCACACCAGTTAGAATGGCAATCATTAAAAAGTCAGGAAACAACAGGTGCTGGAGAGGATGTGGAGAAATAGGAACACTTTTACACTGTTGGTGGGACTGTAAACTAGTTCAACCATTGTGGAAGTCAGTGTGGCGATTCCTCAGGGATCTAGAACTAGAAATACCATTTGACCCAGCCATCCCATTACTGGGTATGTACCCAAAGGACTATAAATCATGCTGCTATAAAGACACATGCACACGTATGTTTATTGCGGCATTATTCACAATAGCAAAGACTTGGAACCAACCCAAATGTCCAACAATGATAGACTGGATTAAGAAAATGTGGCACATATACACCATGGAATACTATGCAGCCATAAAAAATGATGAGTTCATGTCCTTTGCAGGGACATGGATGAAATTGGAAATCATCATTCTCAGTTAACTATCGCAAGAACAAAAAACCAAACACCGCATATTCTCACTCATAGGTGGGAATTGAACAATGAGAGCACATGGACACAGGAAGGGGAACATCACACTCTGGGGACTGTTGTGGGGTGGGGGGAGGGGGGAGGGATAGCATTGGGAGATATACCCAATGCTAGATGACGATTTAGTGGGTGCAGCGCACCAGCATGGCACATGTATACATATGTAACTAACCTGCACATTGTCACATGTACCCTAAAACTTAAAGTATAATAATAATAATAAAAAAAAAGCGAGCAGAGAGCTGGTGAGGCAAGTGCAGAGCACAGGTGTGCCACAGCAGCTGTGGGAGGGCCAAGGAGTAAAGGGTGCACGTGCGGGTGTGGCAAGGTTCCTGGAAAAGAGGGGCTGGAAGGGAAAGGGGAGGAAGACAGAGGGAGGAGCCGGAGTTTCACATGTAGTGCCTGGGGGCTGTGGCAGCCCTCCCCACCCCACACGTGCTGGCCTCTTCCACGGCACCCAGTGCACCCACTGTTAAGACTGATGCTCAGCCCCTTTGGGCTTCCCTCTTCTCTGGTCACCGTGTCTTCCAACCCACTTGTCCAGGGCCACCTCTCGCCTTGGGGAGCCCAAAACAACAGCCACCAGGCCTGATAGAGAAGAAACACTGCTTGAACCAGGATGATGAAGCTAAAAGGGATGGATGGGTGGAGTGATCGCCGGAGCCCCCTCTGGGGGGTCAGAAAGCCCAGGAACCCTTGAAGGGTCCCTGGGGGAGGAAAGGAGGGCATGCAGCTGGATGCCACTGGCTATAGACTTATAAGTCTAAGAGGGGAGCCTCAGCTTGTTGGGGGTTGCAGGTCGGATAGGTGAGGCTGGGCCCTTCCTGCTGGGAAAAGCAGAAGAGGGAGAGTCTATGGCAGGGGAGGTGGGTGGGCTTGTGGGGCGGAGGTCAGCTGGGCCAGCAGGCACTGTGGTCCCCTTGGCTGAATAGCAGAGGTGACCTCTAGGAGCAACACTCCAAGGTGCGTGAGCCTGCTGGCCAGCAATAGTGCTTCAGCGGGGGCCAGGGACCCTGCCTTCAGTCACACGCTAGCAGCTATGATGGTACCTGGGAGGGAGGGAAGGGGCCTGTGTTTCCTGCCTGGCCTGTGAGGTGTGTTGTGGGTTGACCGTGTGTATGGGACTCTCAAGGTTTTATCCTATCTCACCACTGCATTGCCGACAGATAGAGGAGGTGGGACTCTGACTATCACCCCTGCTCTGCAGTGGATTTGGCTCTCAGCACTCCCAGGCTGGGAGCTGGATGCCCTGCCCTGGCAGCATGACTCAGACTGCCCAACAGGTGCGGTGTGCACAGGAGGACTATCCTAGGACTCTGGCCGCCTCAGAGTACAGCCCCACACACCACCCCCTCTAAGCTCTCAGCCCTTACACCATAAACCATGAGCTCTGTGACGGCTCCAGGGAGCACCCATGTCTACCAGCGTGGGCACGGAGCCTGTTCCAAGAGTCCCCAGGCTCAGCCATGGGGGCTGGGGGGCTTTGGGGCCGTGGGAGCCAGCCTTGGTACCTGCATCCGGCAAGGACGCTCTGCACCTGCAGGCAGGAGTTGTCCACGGGCCCCCATGTGCGTGCTGATGGTGGTCGTGTTGATGTTGCCGATGATGCCGAGTGCCTCCTTCAGCACGTGGTACATGCGCAGCATCTCGTCGCGCCACTGTGCCTGCTCTGCCGACTCTTCCATCAGCGTTTTCTGGTCCCCACGTGAGTACAGGTTGGACAGCAGCTCCGAGAAGATGAACTCCTTGGTCTGAGAGCGGGCAAAGAGGGAAGGAGGTTGGGACCTGATGCCTTTGCTGCCCTGGCCTCCTGCCGGGCCCTGCTGGGACTGTGTGCTGGACTTGGAGCCCTGAGTATGGCTTTTCAGACGCGGCTTCTACACCGCTTAGACTCAAAGATCTGCCTCCCCACCACCCTTTTCTCACTCAGATAGGGACACTGAGGTCCAAAGGAAAAGTCACCTGTCCAAGGTCACACATCTGGGAGGGGACCCAGGACCTATCATGCCACCAGGACACCGGTCTACTCAGTTTCTTAAAAATGTTTTTTGGAGATAGGATCTTGCTCTGTCGCTAGGCTGGAGGACAGTGGGCGAGATCACCACTCACTGTAGCCTCAACTTCTTGGGCTCAAAGTGATCCTCCAATGTCAGCCTGTCGAGTAGCTAGGACTATAGGTACGTGCCACCACCAAGCCCAGCTATTTTTAAAATTTTAGTGTAGAGATCAGGTCTCACTATGTTGCCCAAGCTGGTCTCGAACTCCTGGGCTCAAGCTATCCTCTTGCCTTGGCCTCCCAAAGTGCTGGGATTACAGACATGGGCCACTGTCCCCAGTCCCACGTTATATTTCTATGAGACAGCTCTGGTCTGGACTGTGCCTCCCTCCCTGGACCTTGGTCCCATAGGGCTGGTCAGCATCTCCCCCAGGCCAACATGGCCACCTGCATCCCCAGTGCTACAGGAGCCCCCTGCCCCTATGAGGCGGTGCATGCACGTTGTTGATCATGACGTGCATGATGGTCTTGGGCATGACACCAACCATGAGGTCCCACACGGTCTTGTTGACAATGGCCATGTAGGAGTCCACAAGGTTCTGGGTGGTTTCCATTTGCCGCTCCAGCTATGGGTCCATGGAGTGCATGAAGCTGTCGGAGCCATTCTCCTCAGCCTTGCTGTCCTGTCATGGAGAACACAGTGGCATCAGGGTGGCCAGGCCATGCAGCCAGGCTCCAGGAATCCCTAGGATCTCAGCACCTCCAAGGGTACCTGGAACATTGAGGCACAGAGAAAAACAACTGGCGTGAACATGCACCGAGCTCCCCACACGCTCTAGACGGTTTCAGGTATCTGCCTCTCAGGACCCCAGACTCCCCTGATTCAGTCTCCTCTTAGTTCTGACTCTAGTGCCCAGAATCTGCCTCAAGTTACCAATCCAGAAATTGGAAAAAAACATCTCCAGGTCCCCTGTTGGAGACCTGGCCAGAGCTTGTGCCAGGCTGCAGACGCCTGGCAGGGGGCAAGAAAGGGGCATACTCACTTTCCCCTTGTCCTGGGAGGCCCATGCACCAACACTGCCACCGCCGCCGCCACCAGGGAACACGGCAAAGTAGACACACACACAGAGGAAAACGGGAAGGGTTGAGTGAACCTGGGACACTGCACCCCAACTTTAATGTGTTGTAGAATTCAGTTAGCTAATATTTTATTGAGGATTTTTGCATCAATATTCATCAGTGATATTGGCCTGTAGTTTTCTTTTTTGGTCTGTGTGTTTGATTTTGTTATCAGGGTAATGCTAGCCCTGTAGAATGAGTTTGCAAGTATTCCCTCCTTCTCTATTTTTGGAATCGTTTGGGTAAGGTTGGTATTAGTTCTTCTTTAAATGTTTGCTAGAATTCAGCAGTGAATCATCAGGTCCCAGGCTTTTCTTTGCTGGGAGACTTTTTATTACCACTTTGATCCCATTATTTGTTATTGGTTTGTTCAGGTTTTGGGTTTCATCATGGTTCAATCTTGGTAGGTTAGATGTGTCTGGAAATTTATCCATTTTTGGTAGGTTTTCCTATTTATTTGCACATAGTTGCTGACCACTAGTGATCCTTTGAGGTTTTTTTTCTTTTTTTTTTTTTATATGGAGTCTTGGTCTGTCGCCCAGGCTGGAGTGCAGTGGCGCGCTCTCAGCTCACTGCAAGCTCTGCCTCCCGGTTTCACGCCATTCTCCTCCCTCAGCCTCCCAAGTAGCTGGGACTACAGGCGTCCGCCACCACGCCCTGCTAATTTTTTGTATTTTTTTCGTAGAGACGGGGTTTTACCGTGTTAGCCAGGATAGTCTTATCTCCTGACCTCCTGATCCACCCGCCTTAGCCTCCCAAAGTGGTGGGATTACAGGCGTGAGCCACGCCCCCTTGGGACAGGGACACACACACACACACATAGACACACACACACACACACACACACACACACACACACACACAGAGTTGGTGGTTGTGCCGCCCAGTCGCGAGTGTGAGGAAGGGACCAGATCGGTCGGGCAGAAAGGTGCTGGGTCAAGAGAGGAGGGGGCAGCCGGTAGCGCGGGCACGCCGGGTGCGCGCGGGGCGCGCCGGGTTGAGGGGTGAGGGGTGAGGGGTAAGAGGTGAGGGGCGACGAGGACCGGGGCGGGGTAGGGGCAGCCCTTTCCCAGGCGGTAGCGGGGGCAGTGGTGCTGTTGCCCTTTTAAACTGCGGCTTGACGGGAGCCGCGCCTCCTGTCGGTGGAGTCGGTTATAAAGGGAGCAGCCCCGCAGGCCGCCACATAGCTCCCGCCAAGTCCTCGGTGCCCCTTGCCATTTTCCAGCCGCGCTCCCACGAGGGTCACGGCGGCGGGGAGAGGTGGAGCCGCGAGAGCTCGGCCGGGGGCCCCGCCTGGTGGTCGCGGCCATGACAGCGGCTCGGGACAGGCTCCTTTTCCGCGCCCCTCCCGCCGGAGGTGAGGGGAAGATGTCCATGTCCGGGTTCAAGGCCAAACCGAAGTTACTGGCCTCTATCTTCCAGGAGAACCAGGAGCCACAGCCGCGGCTCACGCCCCACCGCAACATTAAGGTGAGTCGCCGGGTGGCGGCCTGGCGGGGCAGGGCGAGGGCGGAAAGCGGGTGCCCAGAGTCCCAGGAGAAAGGGGAAGCTGCCCCAGAGAGGCCGCGGTTCCCCGCCCCTTTCTCCCGCAACTGGCCCGCCCGGCAAGGCAGAGGCTTGGGTGGGAGAAGGCGGAGGGCGCGTCTCTCCAACTCCTAGCGCGGGGCTGGCTTGGGGGCTGCTGGCCCCTCTCGGCCCCTGTCGCTGCGCCTCGAGGTGGGAGCCCGCGGCTGCGGGAGCCCTCTTGGGACCCATGGTCGCCCTCAGTCAGCCCACCTGCTCTAGGGACCGCGACAGGGCGGGGCAGGGCGGCTCCCGCGTTGTTGGAGCCCAGGCGGGGAAGGGGAAAGGCCTTTAAGATTTTCGGTTTTTTGGCCGGGCGTAGTGGCTCACGCCTGTAATCCCAGCATTTTGGGAGGCCAACCGGGCTGATCACTTGAGGTCAGGAGTTGGAGACCAGCCTGGCCAACATGGTGAAACCCGTCTCTACTAAAAAATAGAAAAATTAGCCGGTCGTGTTGGCAGGCGACTTAATCCCAGCTATTTGGGAGGCAGAGGCAGGAGAATCGTTTGAACCCGGGAGGCGGAGGTTACAGTGAGCTGAGATCGAGCCATTGCACTCAAACCTGGGGGAGAAGAGCGAGACTTCTCTCTCTCTCTCTCAAAAAAAAGTTTTCTTTCTTTTTTTCTTTTTGTTGAGACAGAGTCTCACTCACTCTGTCGCCCAGGCTGGAGTGCAGTGGCGCGATCTCGGCTTACTGCAGCCTACCTCTCTTGACAGTCCACTGGTTAAAGCGATTCTCCTGCGTCAGCCTCCCGAGTAGCTGAGATTACAGGCGCCCGCCACCACGCCTGGCTAACTTTTGTGTTTTTAGTAGAGACGGATTTTTTAGTAGAGACGCGGTTTCACCATGTTAGCCAGCATGGTCTTGATCTCCTGACCTCATGATCCACCCGCCTCAGCCTCCCAAAGTGCTGGGATTACAGGCGTCAGCCACCGCGCCCGGCCTCTGTTTTGTTTTATACATGTAATATATTCACAAGTATCTTTACGAAGTGATTTTGATACTCTTTTGTCTTCTGCCTAGAATCTCTTTGTTCTGTAATAATTTTTTCTTAGTTTATATTGATCTTATTTTCCTTTTTAAAGCCTTTCCTTACATATCTATTCTATGTTGCTTATCATTTGTAGTTTTTTTTATTATTTATTTATTTATTTATTTATTTATTTATTTTGAGAGGGAGTCTCGCTCTGTTACCCAGGCTGGAGTGCAGTGGTGCAATCTGGGCTCACTGCAAGCTCCGCCTCCCAGGTTCACGCCATTCTCCTGCCTCAGCCTCCTGAGTAGCTGGGACTACAGGCGCCAGCCACCACGCCCCAACAATTTTTTGTATTTTTTAGTAGAGACGGGGTTTCACCGTGTTAGCCAGGATGGTCTCGATCTCCTGACCTCATGATCTGGCCACCTTGGCCTCCCAAAGTGCTGGGATTACAGGCGTGAGCCACCGTGCCCAGCCCTGATTCTATATTATAGTGAGTTGTACAATTATTTCATTATATGTTACAATGTAATAATAATAGAAATAAAATGCACAATAAATGTAATGTCCTTGAATCATCCCAAAATCATCTCCCCCAACCTTGTCTGTGGAAAAATTGTCTTCTGCAAAACTGGCTCCTGATGCCAAAAAGTTTGGGGACTGCTGGCATAAGTGGTCTCATATAGTAGTTGTCCTTTTGTGCCTGGCTTATTTCACTTAGCATAATGTCTTTAACGTTCATCCATGTTGTAGCATGTGCCAGAATTTCATTTGTTTTTAAGGCTGAATAATATTCCCTTGTATGTATTTAATATGCCTTTTTATCTTTTCCTCTGTTGATGAATACTTGGGTTGCATCCACCTATTGGCTATTGTGAATAGTTTTGCATTGCCTGTCTTTCTCATGATCGCCATCCTATTTCACATCTAGCAGGTGTGAAATTCCATTGATTGAGTGATTGATTGAGACAGGGTCTGACTCTGTCGCCCAGTCTGGAGTGCAGTGGCATGATCTTGGCTCACTGCAACCTCCATCTCCCAGGCTCAAGCAATTCTTCTGCCTCAGCCTTCCGAGTAGCTGGGATTATAGGCATGCACCACTACCAGCTGGCTAATTTTTGTATTTTTAGTAGAGACGGGGTTTCACCATGTTGGCCAGGCTGGTCTCGAACTCCTGACCTGAAATGATCCACCTGTCTCCGCCTCCCAAAGTATTTGGATTACATGTGTGAGCCACTGCGCCCAGCTAGTAGGTGTGAATTTCTATGTCTTAGTGGTTTTGATTTGCATTTACCTGATGGCAAATGATGTTGAGTATCTTTTCATGTGTTTATTGGCCATTTGTCTGTTTTTTTTGGGGAAATACTTATTCCAAAATTTAACTTATTTTTAATTGGGTTATGTATCTCTTTATTATTTATCTGTAAGAATTTTTTACATATTCTAGATAGGAGTTATAACAACTTTCTTCCTTTTTCTGGATTGTCTTTTTTCTTTCTTGATGGTGTCCTTTGAAGCAGAAAGATTTTAAATTTTGATATAGTCCAATTTATCTTTTTTCATTTGTGTTTTTTTGCTCCTTGTGCTTTTGGTGTAATATCTAAAAAAACGTTGCTACTCCAAGGTCACAAAGGTTTCTGCCTATGTTTTTTTCTATGAGTTTTATAGTTTATCAATATCTCTTATATTGAGCTCTTTTATCCATTTGAATTAATTTTTGCATGCGGCATGAAGTAGGGGGGTATAGCTTCATTGTTTTGCACCTAGACATCCAGTTATCTCAGAACTATCTGTTGAAAAGCTTATTCTTTCCCCATTGAATTGTCTTGGAACGCTTATTGAAGATCAATTGACTGTATATGTGAAAGTTTATTTCTGGATTCTATTCTTTTCTCTGTTCATCTGTCCTTATACCAGTAGCACACTCTTGATTACTGTAGCTGTTTAGTAAGCTTTGAAATCAGAAAGTATGAATCCTCCAGAAAGTTTTTTAAGGTGGGTTTGGCTGTTCTGGGTCACTTGCATTTCCATATGAATTTTAAGATCAGCTTGTCAGTTTCTGCAAAGGAGCCAGCTGAGATTTTAATCACAGTCGCATTGAATATGTAGATCAACTTAGAAAGTACTGCCATTTTAACAATATTAAGTTTTCCTCCACGAACACAGGATGTATTTGTACTTATTTAGGTCTTCCTTTAATTTCTTTCAATCGTAGTTGTGTTGAATGCAGACCTACTTTGAATTAATTCTAAGTAATTTTTATGCTACTTATTGGTTGACAAATATAATTGCTTTTAGTTTTTAACTGTAGTTTTGATGTAATGTGAACTGTATTTGGACCTTGTGAAGCTTATTTCTGCTTTGAAATTTAGTATAAATTGGTTATAATAAAATCTGACTGTGCTAATTTTTTGGTTATGTGAAATAGAAAATCAATGTAAATTTAAAAATTTATTCTGGGCCGGGCGCAGTGGCTCACACCTGTAATCCAAGCACTGTGGGAGGCTGAGGAGGGCAGATCACAAGGTCAGGAGATCAAGACCATCTTGGCTAACACAGTGAAAGCCCATCTGTACTAAAAATACAAAAAATTAGCCGGGTGTGGTGGTGGGCACCTGTAGTCCCAGCTACTTGAGAGGCTGAGGCAGGAGAATGGTGTGAACCTGGGAGGCGGAGGTTGCGGTGAGCTGAGATCGCACCACTGCACTCCAGCCTGGGCGACAGAGTTAGACTCCGTCTCAAAAAAAAAAAAAAAAAAAATTCATTCTGAAATGCGATAGATGTTGAAGCTCTTCTGGCAGATGGTTATAAAGAGGAATATATAATCATTCTATTGAGAAAATATAATCAATAATGTGAATACCTAAGGTAGTTTATTTTACATATATATCTCGGTATTTATTTATTTTTGAGACAGAGCCTCACTCCTGTCACCCAGGGTGGAGTGGAGTGGCACGATCATGGCTCATTGCAGCCTCAACTTCTTGGGCTTAGGTGCTTATCTCATCTCATCGCAGCCACCTGAGTAGCTGCGACTACAGGTGTGCGCCACCATGCATGGCTAATTTTTTGTATTTTTAGTAGAGGTTTCCCCATGTTGTCCAGGCTGGTCTGAAACTCCTGGACTCAAGTGATCTGCCCGCCTCGGCCTCCCAAAGAGCTGGGATTACAGGTGTGAGCCACTGTGTTGGCCTTATGTTTTATAATTTTTAAATGATACTTTTTATTCTATTACAAAACATATATAATTGTAAAAAACTTGTAAAATATAAAAGAGGACAAAGACAATAGAAAAATTATTTACAATATAATTCCCAAGTAAACACTGATTACCTTTTTTTTTTTTTTAGAGCCTGTTGCTCAGGCTGGAGTGCAGTGGCACCATCATAGTTCACTGTAACCTCATACATCTCATACATTTTGATATTACTACTTCTGGTTTTATACATAATGTGTTCACTTTGAAGCAAGAGAGTATAATTTTATAACGATTATTTTCATTTAATGATCATGATCTCATTGCAATTATTGATCATTTAGTTTATTCCTGAACATTTTGTTTTATATATTTTTGCTATTGTGAGTGGGATATTTGTTATAACTTGGCATTTGTGCCTACACTCAATTTACCTATAGGAAACTAATTTTTGCATACAATTGTTTTAATTGGTGCAGTGGCACAATCTCAACTCACTGCAACCTCCGCCTCCCAGGTTCAGGTGATTCTCCTGCCTCAGCCTCCTGAGTAGCTGGGATTACAGGCACATGCCACCACACCCAGCTAATTTTTGTATTTTTAGTAGAGACAGTGTTTCACCATGTTGGTCAGGCTGGTCTTGAACTCCTGACCTCGTGATCCACCCGCCTCGGCCTCCCAAATTGCTGGGATTACAGGCTTGAGCCACCGTGCCCGGCCTCGGCCTCTTTGTGTGTTTTCGTATATCTTTCATCTGAGTTGCAAGGGGCACCTTGGGTTTCCAGGAATTTTCTTAGCTAACTCTGTTCCTTTATCTATGACCCTTCCTCACTAGTTTTGGATAATTTATTTTCCTTCTTCCTTACTTCACTGATTTACTTTTCTATTTTATTTAGTTTGCTAGTCATTGTTTCTTTTAAGGTTCTTAAGCATAAATCCTTTTTTTTTTTCTGATGGGAAATACTGGGGCATAGCACTAGGAATACAAATTATGTTTAAATAGAGCACAAAGAACCATCTCAAAGGAATAACTGATGGTGAATGTCTGGTGATTGATTTTATTATGTATCATCTCTAATGAGGCTTAATAAATAATTGAGGTTTAACACTTAGGTAACCGGTCTGTATTTAAGTCTGAAAATTTTTGTATGTTACAGTTTCAACTTCACATTGAATATTCTGTAAAGCAGAAATAAATTGATCAGCATTCTATGAATGAAAAATAAAGCCATGGGTCGGGTGCAGTGGCTCACACCTATAATCCCAGCACTTTGGGAGGCCGAGGCAGGTGGATCACCTGAGGCCAGGAGTTTGAGACCAGCCTGGCCAACATGGTGAAACCTTGTCCCAGCTACTGGAGAGGCTGAGGCAGGAGAATGACTTTAACCCAGGAGACAGAGGTTGTGGTGAGCTGAGATCGCGCCACTGCACTCTAGCCTGGTGACAGAGCAAGACTCTGTCTCAAAAAAAAAAAAAAAAAAAAAAAAAATTAGCTGGGCATGGTGGTGCACACCCGTAATTCCACTACTTGGGAGGCTGAGGCAGGAGAATCACTTGAACCCAGGAGGCAGAGGTTGCAGTGAGCCAGGGTTGCACCACTGCCCTCCAGCCTATGTGACAGACTGAGACTCCATCCCTAAAAAAAAAAAAAAAAACCAAAAAAAACCATGCTGGTAATCGAAAAAGCAGTTTGCCTCATCAGAGTTTAGAACGTTGAATTGTAAAGATCTTTTTTGTAGTCCTAGCCAGTTTTAATGGTAACATGAGCAATTCAGTTACTTTCTCAGAGTTTTATATTTTTATCTGTAAAATGGAAATTATGGTACCTACAGTTTAGGATTTTTGTGAAAATCAAGTGAGACTGCAAGTGTCTTGAATAGCAGTGGAAGTACATTGATATAGGTGATATTTTACAGTGGTGTCTTCCTCAGCATCATATTAGTTCAGTGTTTTAAAGCTCTATATTAGTCACAGAAACAAAGTCAAATTTTTGTTCTCATTTCAGATTACAAGTGGACACCTGAGTCAGCAGGACCTGGAATCCCAGATGAGAGAGCTTATCTACACGACTCAGATCTTGTTGTCACCCCCATTATTGACAATCCAAAGGTGCAGAAAGCACTCTGACAAGTGAGTTGTAGACTTTACTGAGATCTGAAATCTGCATAAGATTTTCATTCAGAATATTATTTACTGTCTAATCTTTCCTGTTTCTCTTGTCCGCTTCTCTTTCATTTGTGCTGCATGTCTGCATTTCCAGCTCCCGCTCTGTCTGCAACCCTTTCCTCTGCCTTCACTTCCGCTTCACTGGAGTTCTAAGTTTTCCCCCCTCTGTTTTGAATGAGTCAGCTCTGCTTCTCACTACTGCTTTCTTCCACATGCCACGGAGGGGTTGCCAGCCTCTTGACCTCAGACCTTAGCTCTCAGTCCCATCGTTTCTCCATCTGCACTAATGTGAATCACTCTAAGTATTCTAGTCTCTGATGTGTTTTGAAGGCAGAAGCAGTCAGAGGGCACTGCTCACCAGGCTGGGCTGGGCAGGCAGATCACACGGAAGCCCTGCCCTGTCACAGGTTGTTAATACTGCAGGGGAGATGGTGGGGAGACACTATGGGAACTTGAGGAGTCATGGTTCACAATGTACTTCTAAACCACTGTGAGTTTTTTTGCTTCTTGTCTTTTGGAATATAATACTTTATTGCTGGGGGATAATGAGTATTTACTTTAAAAAACAGATGCATTTCTAAGTCCCTCTGTTTTGTCTTGACTTCCAGCTCCCCAACATACTCACATTCCACTACTTATTCTCTATTTTAACTTTACTGCTTCTTTTACTTTTTTTTAGTTTTACTTTTATTTTTTATTTTTTTGAGACAGAGTCTTGCTCTGTCACACAGGCTGGAGTGCAATGACGCGATTTTGGCTCACTGCAAGCTCCGCCTCCCAGGTTCATGTCATTCTCCTGCCTCAGCCTCCCAAGTAGCTGGGACTACAGGTGCCCGCCACCACGCCCTGCTAATTTTTTGTATTTTTAGTAGAGACAGGGTTTCACCATGTAAGCCAGGATGGTCTCGATCTCCTGACCTTGTGATCCACCCACCTCGGCCTCTCAAAGTGCTGGGATTACAGGCATGAGCCACCACACCTGGCCTTCTTTTTCTTTTTTAAATATCTTTTTCTGTATTAATTCATGACTGTTTTTTTCTTGTCTCATTGGGAACATTAGTGTGGTTTAGAACAATGTAAGGGTTTTTGGATTCATGTTTATTTTCTAGATAGACAGCATTTTATATAGATGATTTAGCTGTTTTTCATAATGGAGCTAATTCTTTTTGTGAGTTCATATGTCTGGCAGTGTAACTTTATTATGCTAAGTTTGATGTGCATTGGCGCATTTTCAAAATGGGCTTTCTAGAACAATTTGTGATATCTTTCCCAGGGGTGTCCAGTCTTTTGGCTTCCCTGGGCCACACTGGAAGAAGAATTGTCTTGGGCAACACATAAAATACACTAACAATAGCTGATGAACTAAAAAACCAATAAAAAAAATTGCAAAAAAATTCTTACAATGTTTTAAGAGAGTTTATGAATTTGTGTTGGGCCATATTCAAAGCTGTCTTGGGCCGCATCCAGCCCACGGGCTGCGGGTTGGACAAGCTTGCTTTACACAATATTCTGTGTTTCGTTTTTTCCTCTTATAACCATATTTGATAGTTTATGGGAAGCCTTCATCAGTGGAAATTTTTGTGTTTAACTTTTAATTCTAAACTACTTTTAGAGAAAAGATTAAAAAATAGTTGAGAACTCCTGTATAGCTTTTGCCCAGCTGCTCTTAATGTTCACATCTTATAGGTCTATAGTATAGTTAGCAAAACCTGGGAATTAACATTGGTATAGTGTTAGTCAGGCGGGATAATCCTTACCTGTTCCTCCTTTTGGAGGGCAGTAGAATGTGGTAGTTGGAGTTGCATGATACTTGATTGATATCTCTGTGTAATGATGGCATGCAATACCCTGACTGCTCCTTTCGAATTCTTCCTGAAAAGGGAAAAATAAAACATGAGAATAGTGCTGTTAACTACCAAATGCATTTGAATTTTACCGGTTGCCTCTAATGTCCTCTTTTTTTTTGTTCCAGGATCCCACATTACAGTTAGTTGTTATGCCTCCTTAGTCTCATATAGTCTGTCCTAGTTTTTCACGGTTTTGTCAGAATTTCTCAGACTTTGCTTGTCTTTCATGATCTTGACAGTTTGTCTTTTATTTTGTTTTGTTTTGTTTTTTGTCACCCAGGCTGGAGTGTAGTGGCACGATCTCAGCTCACTGCAACCTCTGCCGACCGGGTTCAAGCTATTCTCCTGCCTCAGCCTCATGAGTAGCTAGGATTACAGGCACCTGCCACTGCACCTGGCTAAGTTTTGTAGTTTTAGTAGAGATGGGGTTTTACCATGTTGGCCAGGCTGGTCTTGAACTCCTGACCTCATGATCCACCTGCCTAGGCCTCCCAAAGTGCTGGGATTACAGGCGTGAGCCACGGCACCTGGCCTTTGTATGTTTTTGTAATACATGTTATAAAACGTATGACTCAAGTCCTTGACACTTTGAAGAGTAACTGGTTGGGTGTTTTGAAGAATGTCCCTTAATTTAGGTTTGTCTAAGGGTTTCTCATGACTCGAATGAGATTATGAATTTGGATTATGAGATTAGAATGAGAATATGCATTTTAGTAAGAATACTACAGTAAATACAGTAATGCTGGTTACTTAATTAGTAAAGGTTTTAAAAATATTACATATAGAAGTTTTGCAGAAGTTAGGTATAGAAATGATGGTTGAATTTTTAATTAAAAGTCTCAAGATGCAGTATCTGGCTGTCCTAAGCTCATGGATCCAACTACATGGTTTCTTCACATTTCTGAAATAAATTATGCACTTTCCAATTCATGCTATTATGGCTTCCTTGAATGGTGTCTTCTCTGATATAATCATAAAGTTCTAGCCATCCTTCAAGACCTCAACCCACCTTCTACCTCTTCCGTAAACCCGGTGTCAACTATATCAAGTAAAGTGCTTGCTGTATTCTCTAAACTACTATTTACAAAAAAAATTCTTTCTGTCCAGGGTTTTGTCTGTAGTTATGTCCTGCCTCTTTTGAATTGTGAAATATTTTCTTGTTTATCAAATGTTTGTCTCATCTTCCCAACCAGAAAGTCAGCTCGCTGAAAATAGGATTGTGTCTTTTATATCTTTGTATCCCCCTTAGCACTTGACATAGAGCCTTACCTTGGCAGGTAAGCAATAGATATTTGTTGAAAGACTGAATTTCTAATTAGAGGTAAATTACCTAAAAAGTAAGCCAGGATGGGGTGAATTTTTTCTTTGAAGCTTTATTTTATTACAGATATCAATTGAAATGATTTTAAAAAATAAATTATTATCTATATATGTATGTTTTAATCTGAAAAGGCATCGTTCTTTTTGTTTTTGGTAACAAATTTTACACATTCTTTTTCTGTCCTCATTGATTTATTATCTGATATAAGGGACATATAAGGAGACAGATATCCATCTTTAAAATTGCCTCAAAAGTTTTTTTTTTTTTTTTAACCACAGATAATGAAACAACCACCATCGGTTAAATTTGATGCAAAAATATTGCATCTACCAGCATTTTCAGGTAGGATCATAAAGGAGTTATCGAACATGTAGACTGTCTGTATACAGATACGAATATGAAATTTATTCACAAATGGAATATTTGTATGTGAACAACTAAATTTATTTTGTCTTGACAATTGGTTATATTCTTGGGTCAGTGTTATGTGAATTGTAAATAATCTGTAATTCATTTGTGCCAGCTGTTGACATTTCTCAGCTGAGTCTGGGCTGCCCTGTCCTCTTGTGAGTGGGGAGGTTCCTGTAGATCTGGGCAAGTTTTCCTGTAGAGTGCGTGGGGGGCCTCCTCCCTTCCGTTCATAGAGCTGGTTGAATTTCCACCATTTATGGCAGGTGTAGGTGCACAGGGTTGGGGACAACAAGGAAGGATTGGGATTCTATTGGCGGGACCAGGACATTTGAGAACGGGACTAGGTGGTTCATGACTGTGGAGATGGTGTGGGAGTGGAGATACTTAAGGGATAATTATTACATTTCTGTTGAGCTAATGAAAATCTTATTTACGGTGAAAGTCAGAAATTTTTACATACCTTAAACTTTTTTTTTTTAACAAATTATATTTTAAGCTGTTAAACTCAATTTGGGGAAAATTATTCATTGTGGCTAGAGTAGAATCTATGATTTGAAGTAAATTTAAAATATATTTAGGTTTAAATAAACCAGCTAAGGGTTTATATCAGTCAACTTAATTAGTGATAAAAACAACCAAAAAAACCTGTGTAGAAGGACGTTTTTGAAAGACCAAAGTGAAGCAAAATATTAATAGTGCTTTCAGTGCCAAGTAGGTCTATTTATGCAAACCTAGAGAATTATTATTGGGAAATACTATTTCCTTTTTCTTCTTTGAGTTACTTAGGAAATTATATTTACAATTTCTTTGTCTAAAGATTGAGATCAGCAAAAACATGTTAGCAAAAAATTTTAGGGAGTATCACATTTCCTAGATTTTGCCCTTTTTTTATAGGGATTTGGAGGTAGGAATTTCAGGTGATTTTAGCTATCATGTTATCCTCGTTATTTTTTTACAGTAATTTCATTGGAACTTTTTAATAACTGTGTGGTTTGTGCTTTTCTCAATATCTGAGAGTTGATTTATTTATACAAAGGCTTTTTTGTCTTTTACTCCAGTTGTATTGAACTTTGCATTTTGTTATAATCTAGGTTGTGAGACAATTCTGCTTTAGACATCTGCTTGGTTTGAAAGCATAGTTTTCCATTGAAGTGTTTAAAAAGTTTCCATGGATAGATAAAGAGATGAGGAATATAAAAGGACAAATAGAAGTAGTGTCATCTTTGGAGTATTTTTGGTGTTGACAGAGTAATGTTTTCTTTGTCCTCATCTTAGCTGTCGTAACTCTGTGTTTATTTCTCATGTAATGTTTCCAGCAGTTGTTTTTCTCATCATCATACTTTTGTTATTTTCTTTCCTTGGCAATGGATAAGTTATAATTTCTGAAAGACCAAGATTGGAATGACTTTTTGTAACAAGTGTGCTCGCAGATCGACTCCAGTGAGAAGAGCTCGGGGACCTCCTGAGCCAAGCTTAATCTCCTTTGCTGTTTGTGAGTGGTGGCTGGTCACCAGGAGGTGGCCACCAGGCTCCTCCTTTCCCCGCTGGTAGGCCTCTGTGACATGACTTATGCATTTAAATTTATGTTTTTTATAGAGGCTCAAACAAGTGCTAAAATAGCAATTTGATTTAACTACCATGAAAAAACTGATTTATCACGATTTTAGGTTTATGCAAATTATCCTCTGCTTAATCCTTACGTCTTAAAGTAGATAAGAGTAGACGGTGATTTTGAACTTTTTGTTGTTGTTGTTGTTTGTAATACTCAGGTTTCCATTTTATGTTAACTTGTAAGATTTTTAAAAAATATGTGAAATCAGGCCGGGCGTGATATCATAAGACAGACCTTTTACCTTCTCATCAGTGACTGGAATGAACGCCTGTAATCTCAGTACTTTGGGAGGCCGAGGCAGGTGGATCACCTGAGGTCAGCAGTTTGAAACCAGCCTGGCCAACATGGCGAAACCCCATCTCTACTAAAAATACAAAATTAGCAGGGCGTGGTGGTGCACTCCTGTAATCCTAGCTACTTGGGAGGCTGAGACAGGAGAATCACTTGAACCCAGGAGCCAGAAGTCGCAGTGAGCCGTGATCATGCCATTGCACCCCAGCCTGGGCAAAAAGAGCGAAACTCCATCTCAAAAAATAAAAACAAAAAACAAAAAAAAAATGTGATATCATAAGACAGACCTTTTCCCTTCTCATCAGTGACTGGAATTAACTGCCCATGTGGAATGGGTTGTGGGTGTTGGTTCCTTTACTGGGTCATCTGGTAAACTGCAAGGTTTCTGCTGTGACATTGAAGGCAGACATCAACCCTCTAAGACATTTTTTTCCTATCCTCTGGGAATATTACTTTTTGGACAATCTTGGTCCATTGGTAAGCTCATGGGAATTTGTCAGAGTTTTTTTGTTTCTTTTGGCTCATGTTTAGCATCGATTGGCAGAGTGTTTGGAGTCATCCTCAGAAAGGAATTACAGTGGTTCGGAGGTGTTTTCTGTAGTGGGCCCTCATTTGGGAATTGGCTTGAAAAAAATGTAAGTTCACTTGCTTCCAGGATGGTATTAAGATTGCTTTTTTTGATAGTTGGCGTGTGTCTATCAGGTAAGGGCTGTCATTTAGAGAATATAAAGTGGTAGGAGAAACTAAAAGTACTGTTCTTAGTTTTTATTTTAATCTTATTCATATACAAGTGCCTTTGTAATTTAGCAAATATCATTTTTGGTGTACAGTATAAATTTCCTTTTTATAAAGATCTGAGTTTTTAACTTTGCTGTCACTTTCTGTGTTTCATGACTTAAATATTTTAATTTTTTCTTTTTTTACATTTACATTTTTTATTCTAGTTCCAATTGCTAATCCAGCATTTGTGGATAGCTGCAAACTGCGATATGTAAGTAACATTTACATTTTAAAAATTATTTCTCATGGTTTTATTAAGTAGTTACAGCATACATATTTATCAAAAGCAGAGTCCTAAGTAATTATCATAAATTTTTCTGATGTAATGATGAATCTACTCATAGGCAATTTTTATGGGCATTCCAATTATAAACTTTAGAATATTTAAAAATAGCCCTTCTCCTAATATAGATACGATTCTGGGATTATCTAAGCTACTCCTGGAAACTTTATTAACTGTTGTTGTTTTTTTATTTTCGTAGAGACAAGGTCTCTCACTATGTTGCCCAGGCTGGTTTCCAACTCCTGGGCTCAAGTGATTCTCCCATCTCTGACTCCCAAAGTGTTAGGACTACAGACGTGAGCCACTGCGCCAGGCTAACTGTTACTGTTTTGAGTATTGGTTATAAAATACTTCAACCCTGATCCCTGTGTATTAATTTAGTTATACTTCCTCAAAGTTTCCCTTGGGCACCCTTATCTGTCCCTATGTAGCACATAGCTTCCCTATGATGTTATTTATAATCTGAGATTAATTATGATTTATAAACTCCCGATGGAAGGAAGTGTCCTTACTTTTTATAGAAGCAACATACCAGGTGGAAAGCACCGTAGATCAAGTGTTAGAAGGCTCTGGGTTCCTGTTGCCTATAAGACTTGGCCAAATGATTATCTTTTTCTCAATCTCTGTTTCCTGGGGAGTGTGGGTGGGACAAGGAAATGGCATAGGTTTAGGATTCAGACAGACCTGGGTGTGGATCAAAGATCTGCTTTCTGGGCCAATTACTTTAATTGCTGAGCCGCAGTTTCCTCATCTGTAAAATTGGGATGGGATAACTACTTCATAGATTTTTGGTAATTATTCAACTTTGAATGTGGTAAATATGTGAGATACCTGGTATAGTGCCTGTTTCTTTCTTTCTTTTTTTTTTTTTCTGAGTCGGCATCTCCCTCTGTCACCCAGGCTGGAGTGCAGTGGTGCGATCTCAGCTCACTGCAAGCTCCGCCTCCCGGGTTCACGCCGTTCTCCTGCCTCAGCCTCCTTAGTAGCTGGGACTACAGGCGCCCGCCACCGCGCCCGCCCGGCTAATTTTTTTCACCGTGGTCTCGATCTCCTGACCTCGTGATCTGCCCACCTCAGCCTCCCAAAGTGCTGGGATTACAGGCATGAGCCACCGTGCCTGGCCGTATAGTGCCTGATTCTTAGTGGGTATTTCATTGACAGTGGGGTTGGGGTTGTAGAAGTTGTAGTTATTATCACGAAGCTTGCTTATCTCATGATTGTTAGGACAGGCACATGAAAAAACGGAGGTGAAAGGATTTTGTGAATTGTGGCAGTGGTATAATAATTATTCTTCTATGCTGGTGAAATATGGGTGAAACAATAGGAGTTTAGAAAATGTTTAATAATAAGGGTAATTCTTATTATACGTCTTCTAATGTTACTCTCGCAAAGTAAAATCTGGTAATAGAAAGTAGGATTTTTAGGTAATGGTTGAGCATTTAATACTTTGAGAAGGCTTATGGTATGCTCATTAAAAATGAATCAATGAAATATGTATTTAAACACTTTTATTTAAAACGTGTTATATACCTGAATGGGGTGCTCCCTGCTGACATTTTCAGACAGACATTCCAAATCATTTCCGAGAACAGTCATCCCTCTGTATCAGCCAGGAGAATGGTTCTAGTATCCCCTTGGATACTAAAATTAACACATACTGTTTTTTCCCCCACTGTTAAAAATTGAGGTTTGATTGTAAAACAGTTTTAATTTGAATAAAATGATACTGAGGTAGACAAGTTCTCTGGTAGGAATCTTCTTTTATTCTCTTTCTCCATCCAAAGCCACTTCCAGCGAGGTTTTCTCTGACCTCAGGTTATATTACCTTGATAGCATATGATAAAGGGTCCTTAACTTAGTCTGGGAGATAATTATTATTGAAGTAGATACTTAGTTTTGTTTTGCTTATAAAAAATTAGAATCACATGATATAGTTTTTTATGTTTGTTTTCCCCCATAACATATATATTATGTATTTTAAATGTTATCAACATTTTAAAATAAAATACATAATACTTAAGGTAAACGTTTTATATGTTGTGAATATCTGATCATTTTGTTTACTATTTTTGGATAGTATTATAATGTTGTAAACAACATTTTGATGAACATTTTTGAGATTAAATCTTCGTGCCCGCTTTTTCTTTTTCCCTTTAGGAAAGATTCATAGAACTAGAACAAATGGGTAGAAGGCAGTAAATATCTTTGTGACTTCTGAAAAATTGCTGAAATACTCTTAAAAAAACATTGTATCAATAGATAATCCCAGTCAATGTGTTTAAAATGTCTTTTGTTAGAACTTCCAACGTTGAGTATTTATCAAATTGTATATCCTTTTATCCTTGCCAATCAACTTTATGAGGTATAATTCATATATAGTAATAGTGTAATACTGTAACTTTAAAATGTGTTACTTGTAAATTACACATAATTTAAAATGTTCCATTTTAGCTATTTTTATGTGTACAGTGACATTTAGTTCATTCCCATTGTTGTGTAACCATCACCACTATTCATTTCCAGAACTTTTTCGTCATCTTGAACAGAAGCTCTTTACCCGTTAAACATAACTTCCCCTTTCCTTTCCCTTCCCCAGTCCTGGTAACCTATACTCTACTTATTCTATCTTGGTAAATTTTCTTATGGTGAGTACCTCATATTGCTACTGAAACATCGAGGGGTTTGGTCTAGGTCCTGTTGCTCACAGCGCAGAAAGCCAATCACGGAGACGATGAGTGTTGCTAGGGAAGAAGGCTTCAATTGGGTGCTGCAGCTAAGGAGATGGGAGATCAATCTCAAATTTGTCTCCTCGACTGACTAAAACCACGGGTTTATTTAGCAGGGAAGAAATGTAACCACGTATGGGAAAACAGGAGTTAGGGAAGGGTGAGGGAGAGGAGTTGGTCGACAGGAAGCAGGTAGTTGGTTAGGCAATTGTGATGGGTGAGGTGGTCTGGTGTCTTATGGTCCAGATGTGGTGATCTGGTAAGTTTCAGTTCCTTGATAACTATCTGGGAGGCCTGATGGTTGGTTTCCCAAGAAAGGAACTCAGATAAGACAAATGTAACTTTCTCAAGTTTTAAGACTGGGAGGGTCAATTTCTATCTTTATTTTAAAAGACTGTAAACATCAGTTCTATAGGACAATTGGGCTGGTTTCATTTGCAAGGTTTATCCATGTTGTAACTAACATGTGTCAGCATTTCATTCCTTTTTAAGGCTGAATAATATCCCTTTGTATGTAATATACCACAGTTTATCTTTTCATTTGTTGTTGGGCACTGGCTTGTTTATATCTTTTGGCTATTGTGAACAATGCTGCTATGAACATTAGTGTTTTCACACCTGATGGGTGTGAAGTTAGTATCTCATGGGTTTGATTTGTATTTTGTGACTAGTGATGTTGAACATCTTTTTTTGTGATTGTTGGCTATTTGTATATCTTCCTTGGAGAAAGGTCTAGTCAAGTCATTTGCCAATTTTTTTTTTTTTTTTTGAGATTGAGTCTCGCTCTGTCACCCACGCTGGAGTGCAGTGGCGTGATCTCGGCTCACTGCAACCTCTGCCTCCCAGGTTCAAGCGATCATTCCATCTCAGCCTCCCAAGTAGCTGGGATTACAGGCACCTGCCATCATGCCCAGCAATTTTTGTATTTTTGTAGAGACGAGGTTTCACCGTGTTGGCCAGATGGTCTTGAACTCCTGACCTCAGGTGATCCACCCGCTTTGGCCCCCCAAAGTGCTGGGATTATAGGTGTGAGCCACCGCACCCAGCTGGTAGATTTTTTGTTTTGTTTTGTTTTCAAGAAGGCCTCTCAGTGGCTTACCTCTGTGCCATGCTTTGGAGTTTGAGCTGTCTTCTCTTTACTAACTGTAGCTCTGTAGGACTTGGGAGTCAACCTTACCTTCTTTTTTCCTCCCTATTTTGTAGGTCTTGTTTGAGTTAGCTTTTCTTTTTATTCCAGGCCTGTAAATTTTACTAGATTGTCTCTAGGAATTTCATTTTACTAATTTGCTTCAGCCTGCCTGCCTGCCATCTCTTTTTACTAATTTGCTTCTGCCTGCCTGCCTGCTTCCTTCCTTCCTTCTTTCCTTCCTTCCTTCCTTAATTCCTTCCTTCCTTCCTTCTTCCCTTCCTCTCTCTCTCCCTCCCTCCCGTCCCTTCCTTCCCCCCTCCCGTCCCTTCCTTCCCTTCTTTTCTTTCCATTTATTTTGAGATAGAGTCTTGCTCTGTTGCCCAGGCTGGAGTGCAGTGGCGCAATCTTGGCTCACTGCAACCTCCGCCTCCCGGGTTCAAGCAGTTCTCCTGCCTTAGCCTCATAAGTAGCTGGGATTACAGGTGTACGCCACCATGCCCAGCTTATTTTTGTATTTTTAGTTTAGAGATGGGTTTTCACCATGTTAGCCAGGCTGGTCTCGAACTCCTGACCTCATGTGATCCTCCCGCCTTGGCTTCCCA
The DNA here is from genome assembly GCF_000001405.40 of Homo sapiens. NCBI lineage: Eukaryota > Metazoa > Chordata > Mammalia > Primates > Hominidae > Homo > Homo sapiens. The sequence continues at coordinate 32,417,152 of NC_000015.10, read as the reverse complement.
AAGTGCTGGGATTACAGGTGTGAGCCACAATGCCCAGCCTCCTCACCCCTCCTTTAGCTATTATATTACTTCCTAGATTTCTTCCTCTCTATTTCACCCTTTTTCTGTTCCTGAAACCCCTACAGGATGGGTGTGGGAGTTTGTGTCTCTTGACTCTTCTTTCAAATTTTCTTTTGCTTTCTCACTTGCTCTTGTTTATTGAGATATAATTCACATACCATAAAATTCACCATTTTAATGTGTACAGTTCAGTAGGTGTCAGTATATTGAAAACTGTTCAACCATCGCCACTATCTAATTTCAGAACAGTTTTCTCACCCAGTGAAACCCAGTACCCATTCTTCTCCAACCCCTGGCAACAACTAATCTACTTCTTGTCAGCTGATTTGCTATTCTTGATATTTCATATAAATGGAATCATACAGTGTGTGGCCTTTTGTGTCTAGCTTCTGTCATTTAGCATAATGTTTTCAAGGTTCCTCCGTATGGTGGAATGTGTGAGTACTTCATTCTTTTTCTAGCTGAATAATCTTTGTATGGCTATTCCACATTTTGCTTATGTGGTCTTGATGGACATTTGGGGTTGTTTCCACATTTGGCTATTATGAATAATGGTGCTCTGAACATTTGTCCACAGGGTTTTGTGTGAACATATACGTTTTTATTTCTCCTACAGTGGTGAGATTGCTGGATAAAATGGTAACTCTGTGTTGAACCTTTTGAAGAACTGCCAAAGTCTCTTTGTTAAACTTTTATTTTAGGTTCAGGGGTACACATGCAGGTTTGTTATATAGGTGAACTCATGTTATGGGGGTTTGTTGTATGAATTATTTGGTCACCCAGGCACTAAGCTTGGTAAGGACCAATTGTTATTTTTTCTGATCCTCTCCCTCCTCCCACCCTCCACCCTAAATAGGCCCCCGTGTCGATTGTTCCCTCTTTGTGTCCATGCAAACTTTCTTCTTTTATTGCTCTTCCTTGACTTTATCTTTGAGCTCTCAAACTTGATATTTATCCCCACTCATTTTATTATTTAGGATTTCCAGTTAATTTTTTAATTTCAACAATCATATTTGAAAGTTTTTGTTCATTTTCTTTTTCTCTGATTGGTCCTTTTTCCTAGCTGCCTATATTTGGTGTATAATATACTTTTGAATTTGAGGATAAATATTAGGATTATAAAAATCCTCGTCTTGGAGCAGAATTTAGAATTAAATATTGTTATTAATATTTAAGGCTAAACATTAGGATTATATAATATAAGCCTGGAACCTGGACTTTGAAAAAAAGGGAACAAAATTAGGATTATGAACATTGTATTCTTATCTCTTGAACTTGCAGGTCACTTCTTTTTCATCATGGTCCTGCTTTTTTTTTTTTTTTTTTTTTGAGACGGAGTCTCGCTCTGTCGCCCAGGCTGGAGTGCAGTGGCGGGATCTCGGCTCACTGCAAGCTCCGCCTCCCGGGTTCACGCCATTCTCCCGCCTCAGCCTCCCAAGTAGCTGGGACTACAGGCGCCCGCCACTACGCCCGGCTAATTTTTTGTATTTTTAGTAGAGACGGGGTTTCACCATTTTAGCCGGGATGGTCTCGATCTCCTGACCTCGTGATCCGCCCGCCTCGGCCTCCCAAAGTGCTGGGATTACAGGGTCCTGCTTTTTAATGCTGTTTATTTCTCAAATGCCTGGTGATCTCTGGTTCTTCATTTATATTATGAATAAATGATTAAATTGATTGGTATAGAAGTTGGCAATATGAGTTTCCTTTATTCTTGCCTAAGTCTCTTTCTCCAATAGCTTCTCCTTTAAAGAAAGGGCTGGTATGTGGGTAGGTGAGGCCTGTTGACTGGTTGACTTTAATTTGGGATTCCAGCTGGCTGAAGATCAGTAGGCAGGCTGGAGGCCTCTGCAATTGCCAGGGTGGGTTTTTCTTTGCAGTGGAACTGGCTTTCCTCATTTATTCCCTTCCCCGCTTCGGTATCTGGAGGACCACAGTTGCTGCTTCCCACATCCATCCATCCAGTGAGCAAGGTGGATTGCTCACTGTAGGAATGATTTTCCACATTTACCCAGGAGGCCAGGGCTGCAGGGTTTATTCTGTGTACCAGGGAAGGGAGACGGAAAAGAGACAGGACCTGATTGGCTCTGCTGTTCCTTGTACAAGGACACAATTTTTCCTTGTGCAGTTGTTTAATCTGATTATTGTCCTGTGGCTCATTCTTTCTTTTTGTCTTTGTTTATTCCAAGTCCCTGAGGCTTCCTTGGGAACGTCTGTCTACCTGTGGTTCTTAGACAGGGGATTCCTTTGTTGATTCTCTGTCAGTCTTAATTCTATTTGTGCATGTCATCTGAGATTTTCTCAAACTTTCTAGTCCACTTTTAGCCCTCCTTTTTGTTTCCAATTATCATTTAATAAGAAGAGCTTGTATTTTAGAGACTCTAGAGGGTTCAGAAAAGTGAGTGTCAAGTGTTCAGTGTGCAATCATTAAAGACAGAATATCTCATAAGTTTGCATCTGTGTTACTTACACGATTGTGATTTACGGATGCTTTATTTCTTTCCCTTTCCCTTTTATTTTTCCTTTTGTTTCTTTTATGTATTTTTTATTATTATTATTTTTAGAGACTCACTCTAAAAAAAATAGGGTCTCACTGTGTTCCCCAGACTGGAATGGGACTACAGGTACATGCCACCATGCCTGGCTAAATTAAATTTTTTTTTTTTTTTTTTTTTTTTAGAGACAGGGTCTCACTTTGTTGGCCAGGCTGGTCTTGAACTCCTGGCCTTAGTGATCCTTCCATCTTGTCCTCCTAAAGTGCTGGGGATTACAGGTGTGAACCACTGTACCCGGCCAAAGTTTTTATTTTTTAATATGATGTATAAGGTTTAGAAGTGCTTTATTTTATTTATTTATTTATTTTTGAGACGGAGTCTCGCTCTGTTGCCCAGGCTGGAGTGCAGTGGCACGATCTCGGCTCACTGAAACCTCCGCCTCCTGGGTTCAAGCGATTCTCCTGCCTCAGCCTCCCAAGTAGCTGGGATTACAGGCGCCCACCACCACGCCTGACTAATTTTTGTATTTTTTAGTAGAGATGGCATTTCACCATGTTGGCCAGGCTGGTTTTGAACTTCTGACCTCAAGTAATCAGCCTGCCCTGGCCTCCCAAAGTGCTGGGATTACAGGCGTGAGCCACCATGCCCAGGAGAAGTGCTTTTAACTCCACACGTGTTTAGGTTTTTTGGTTTGTATTTGTTATTTTTACTTTTTTCCTTTTGCTACATCAAAATGAGTCCTTTATAATTTCTGCCCTAGGGAATTCTAATAATTTATCTTTGTGGTCCAATATAAAATCATTTTTAATGTATGCCATGAATGTAGTCAACTATTGATAATAATGTAGTACTAGTAGTTTGCTCAGTCAGCACAAATTGTCAGGACACATTGGTAATTTCTGCATGTGGATTATCTCCTGATTCTTAGAACAACATGAAACCAGGCTCATGAAAGATGAGTAATTATCCCAGGGTACTGTCTCCCTCACCTCCAATGGTGGGCCAGAGCTAGGTCCAAGACTTTGAATTCTAGAGTGTTAGACACCATCCTATGCAGCCTCCCACTGAGTAAGGGTGGTCACTGTTTGTAGGGTGTAGAGTTTGATAGATACGTCTGTTACTTTGACTTCATTAGTTTTATTTAGGATGCTTGAATGTGTGAATGTATTGATTAATATATTCGTTATTGCCTTCTCTCTGTGCTTGGAAGAGAAGAAAATTGAAGTTTACCACTACCATGGGTTTACTTTGCGTGCTTTGTTATTTGGTGTATAAAGATTCACACCTTAGATCTTTTGTAGGTCATATGGTGTTTCGTTTAAAGGGAATCTTCTTCTGAAGAGTTTAGCCTTGAATTCTGCTGAGATTTACATTGGCAATCCTGTTTGCATTTTGTTTGCCTTGGACAGCCATACTTTTATGCACTCCTTTCCTACTAATGTGTTTATTTTGCTTTTGATGTTGATATATTTGTTCAACCAACATTTTTAGATGCCCGAGTGCGCTCCAAGCACTGTCTAGGTGTCACAGTGGCGATCGGGATACAGTCCTGCCTTCATGGATCTTCTGGGCTGGTCGAGGAGACAGACAATAAACCAGTCAATGAATGAATAAGTAACTGCAAAATTTTAGTTCTGCTCTAATGTGGTAGCCATTCACTTCATGGGGGTTATTTAAATTAGTTAAATTAATAGTAGCTTACTCATTCAGCATGTATTGTCGGACACAATGGTACTTTCTGCACATGGATTATCTCCTTTGATTCTTTTAACAACATGCGGTATGTATTGTTATCGGTCCTACTTACGAGGTAACCAGGACTAGGCACATGAAAGATGAGTAATTACCCCAGGGCACTGTCTCCCTCACCCTCAACTGTGGGGGTAATTTTTAAAATAAAAATTAAGGCCAAATACAGTGGCTCACGCCTATAATCCCAGCACTTTGGGAGGCTGAGGTGGGCAGATCAGTTGAGCTCAGGAGTTCAAGACCAGCCTGGACAACATGGTGAAACCCTGTTTTTACTAAAAATACAAAAATTAGCCAGGTGTGGTGACACACACCTACAGTCCCGGCTACTTGGGAGGCTGAATTGGGAGGATTACTTGAGCCCGGGAGGCATTGCAGTGAGCGGAGACTGCGCCACTGCTCTCTAGCTTGGATGACCCTGTCTCCCAAAAAAAAAAAAAAAAAATTAATTTGAATAAAATTTGTTGTTCCTCACTTGCATGTGTCATATATTATGTGCTTGATAGTCATGTGTCTAGTGGATACTGGATTGAACAGTGCAGATGTGGGACATTTGTCAGTGCACGAAGGTTTGGTAGACAGTGGTGCCTTAGATGCTGTCATGGAGATGGGTTGGTTCTGAGGTACAGTGTCAAGTCACTGGGGGCACCTGGAGTGGTGACCTGAGAAAACCTGAATTTTGAGAAGGAACCTGTACTGTGAGGGTGTTGTCTATGGGGCATGTGGTACTTGTATTTAGGATTTTGGTAAAAAGTGACTATTCATAAGCTATTTAAAGTTTCTATTTTAAAAGTATAGGGTTTTTAGGTAGTGTGTTTTCTTTTGTTCTAATAGGAATTGTTTTGGTCATATTAGGGAAAATAATTGGCTTGTTGATACATTTTTATTTCCATTGATTAAATCTGGTAGCCATTATTTACTTTTATAGATTGAAAAATGGTTCAGTGTTTCAAAAGTATTTTGAGCTTGTCTTTGAAAAGAGATAGACAGGCAGGTGCAGTGGCTCAGACCTGTAATCGCAGCAGTTTGGGAGGCTGAGATGGGAGGATTGTTTGTCAGGAGCTCAAGGCCAGCCTGGGCATCATAGCGAGACCCCATCTCTACAAAAAGTAAAAAAATTAGCTGAGCGTGGTGGTGCACGCCTGTAGTCCCAGCTACTTGGGGGGTTGTGGTGGGAGGATGGCTTTTCCAATTATCCTACAGATATTTTTCAAAATGATTACTTTTAAACTATAATCTTTTTATTCAGAGGTAGGATGCTAGTTCTACAATTGCCTAGGTCTTCTTTAATTTGTATATGTTAAGAAATTTTAATGGGCAATTTAATAAGTGTTGAAATTTCTAAGAATTATTTCTGTATGTTAGAGTTGTGATAACGCAGACATTTTCCCTGAAGTACTTCTCTGAGTCTGATTTGTTTTCCTCCATGGGTGCCACATAGGTTTATTTTAAGAAGGTAAAAAATAAAAGCTGACTAAGGTACATATTGATTATTCCAGACAACATGCAGACATCACTCAATGAGTGCAGTTCTCATCAACTCACCATTTGTTTCAATTAGAAAAAATTCTCATCAAAACTAATTTTTCTGCATGAAATACCTTTTCAAATCACACTGAATGTGATTTATTAATTGTGATTTATCAAATTCAGTTTTCTGCTGGATACTAAAGGCACACCTCATTAAGACTAGTGATTATGGAAATAGTACAATATTTTAGAAACTTTTGATTGTAAAAATTTCTTTTAAAATGAATACATACAGATATGTTATTGTTCAGATATTTAGCACTTACGTAGAAACTCACTGATCTACTAACAAGTAGAAAAGAGACCTTTAGCCAAATGCCTCTGTACTCAGCAATAAAATGATTAATTACGTGTTGCTCTTTTCTCTGGTTAAGGCTTTTAACAAATTTTGTTTTTCCTTTTACTATTACACCATAACTTGTTTAAATTTTGTTGCTGTTGCAGAATTACAGCAGACATTACAGTTCATGTCTCCCTGTGTATACGAGGGAGAGTTTCTCTGGGCTGTGTACATGGGGGAGTGTGGGCCTGACCTGTCACATTCAATTTTTATTTCACAGTCTTATATCTAATGCTCATCATTGCATAATGTAACTAGCTGGGGTTAGTTTCCTCAGTCCCTGACTCTTCTCTTCAGAGCCTGTTTTCTCTCCGTTTACAGATGGGCCAAGGTTGCTCGGGTGATTGGTTTACTGGCTTCGCACAAAACTGATCTCCAGGAAAATACACCTGTTGTTGAGGTAATGTCTTTTATGACTGAAATGTGATGAATGACAAGAAATACTGTTGTTGATTCTGTAATTTAGAACATGCGGCTTTCCTTGACCTTCACTTGACTTTTCTTTGTGGGATTGTGGAAATTGTTCAAAAACTTATCACCTCAACAGACCTTTAGGCTTAAACATAGCAGCTCATTTACAATGTAGTCCATCATTAAAATGGCACAGCAGAGTTAACAAGGCTCGTGAACCCTACTCATCATTATTTCATTTGTTTTTGAATAAGACTTGTTCATTTCCCGTTTTCTTGTAGTCTGTCCAACATTTTGTTACAGCTAATGTATTTCCTAATTAAATCATAGCTTATAATTCAAAATTCAAATTCTTCTGGCTTTTAGTGTTTTCGTATGAAAGATTACTTTCTACCTATTCTGTTAATGTATATTACACTTTATTGGTAATAGAGTGTTATACCTTGAACTGGGAGAGGCTCAAGAGTCAGTGTAGGTGAAAAGAACCAAGGCTTTTTAGGGGAAATAGCAAGAGGTCCTGAAGGAGGTTAAAAAGGGTAAGGGAGAGAGGATTTTGTAGAGCTGAAGCTGGTTGTGTGGTATTTGGGGCTTTAAGAGGAATTGGAAAACTTTCTATGTCTGTGTTGTCCACTATAGTAGCCAATTGGTATTTGGAGCCTCAAGAGGAATTGGAAACTTTTCTCTCTGTGCCATTCACTGCAGTAGCCAATTGCTGGGATAGTATACCAGCTGGCCTTACAGTGTCTGGGTGGAGATTAATATAATTTCACTGTATTTCCCTTGCTTACAATTACATCTCTATTTCCTGCAAACTGTTGGATCTCTGAGCTACTAGTAAAATGCCACTAAGTCTAATTTTTTCCTTTTTTGGGGGGCCTAAAATAAATGAATTGTGACCTGTGTGATTACTGATGGTACCCAACTTGGTTCTCAGAGATGTGTCGAGTAGATTTTTATCTAAAAGATTGAGCATATAGGGCAGTATTACCAGGAAGATGAGAAGGCTTAGGATCTTAAAAATGGGGGTTCCTTCTGATGGCTCAGAGCAAAAGGTCTCCAGTGAGATGGAGTAGCTGTAGAAGATGGGAGAGAACATAAAGTCCAAGACAAAGTCCCAAGATTTTAGAGGATATTCATGCATCGTCAGAGCAGGCATTTGTTGCTCAGAAGCTGTGAAGAAAGAGCCTCTGAATATGTAAAATATGACTGTTGAATTAAATGATTCAGTAGTTGCAGTAGATTATGGATACTTTAGGAAGCTGAGTTAGTGAATTTGAAGATCAGTTGGATGAATTCTCTTAGGATTCAGAAAGAAAGAGGATAAAGATTGTGAATTAAAAAGGCATGGATGATAGTTTCAGATGTGTTCCACTATCCAGTATAGTAGCCACCAGCCACTGTGGCTATTGAGTGCTTGAAGAACAGCTAGTCTGAATTGAGATGATCAACTTATAGAAAAGAATACTATGGGCACCCTGTAATTTCCAAACCCCTTGTTCTACTTGATCTTTTTCACAGCATATATCACCACCTGGCATTTTATGTATTTATTTCTCTTTCCATACTAGACTACAAGCTCCATTGGAACAGGGATTGTGAATTGTCTTGTTCAACACTCCACCCCCGTGCCTAGACAGTGTCTTGTGTATATCTAGATACTGACAAATATTTTGAAATAAGTGAATGAAAGTGTATCAGTATGCTTGGGACTCCCTGTAGCAGTGCCTGGAAGATGGTATGTTTTGCTGCTGCAGGAATTCTCAAGGGACTGGGCAGAGGGCATGTGAAGTAATCTGGGACCTGCTTGTCACCCTGGGTGATGTGCTGCCCTTGTTCTACTGGTACTTGCTGTTGCGGCTGCTGCACTCCCACTTGGAGAGTTTGGCCCAGCAGTTCCTGGACCATATTTGTTACTTGTGCTCACTCAGGTTGAGTTCTGTGGCCAGTTTGTATTCTCAAAGTATTTCTGCTACTCCAGTTATACTTTGTCAACGTTGTATTCCTGGTCCTGCCTCAACTGAGAGGAAAGGGTGGGTGTTAATTCCCGAGGTTCTTGTATCTTTGATTCCGGTACTGTTCTCTTCATGGGTGTTTGCTGATGCTTTATTAATTTGAAATGCAAGACCTTAGGGAAAATCATACTTATTTCATTTAAAAAATGGTGTGTACTGAACTATCTGGTGAACTGTTTTGAATTACACACACTGTATTGTGAACTACATTTGGTTGGATAGTAGGGAGCTTATATAATAACTTGAAATTGAGCCACGTGCTCCTTTGTGATGCCATCTTAATTTTATTATTTCTCCACACCTTTTAGTTCTTTAGTTCGTTACTTTTAATGGCAAAATCTGTGAATTTCTTTTACATCAACCTATTTCCTGCTGTGAGCAATTGGCTGTGATAATTTAAGGAGCCACTAGAGGTCATTCAAGCACTAGAAAAAAAGTTGTGCAAGTTTTAAGAATTTGTTTCAACTTCCGGAAGCAGGATCTGTAGAGGCTGAGCAGGTACATGGTACCATGTTTCATCTTTTTCCTGGTTTTTTAGAAGTTTCTGCTACAGGATGTGTGGCTCCATTCCATTGGTGATTTTTACCATTTGAGAGGAATCAGATGAATGAAAACCATTATAGCCTCTCCAGAAAAATGCAGTCAGCACCTAGCACATGATTTCAGGGGATCTGAAAACTCTGCAGAGTCCACTGGTGAATCTTTGGTTCATAACTCCTGAGACCAGGTTTCTGTAAAACTCACAATTGGGTGCTTGTAGATAATTTTTCAGTAATCAGTAACAAAATTTCAAGTGTAAGATAAATCCTGAATTCTCTATTAGATTTACTATCAGTGAACAAGAAAAATTGTGGTTGAAGTTCCTGTAAGCATTTTATTTTTTATTTTACTTATTTATTCATTTATTTTTTGAGACAGAGTCTCGCTCTGTTGCCCAGGCTGTAGTGCAGTGGTGTGATCTCGGCTCACTGCAACCTCTGTTTCCCAGGTTCAAGAGATTCTCAGCCTCAGCCCCAGCCCCACAAGTAGCTGGGACTGCAGGTTCATGCCACCATGCCCCGCTAACTTTTGTATTTTTAGTAGAGACAGGGTTTCACTATATTGGCCAGGCTGGTCTTGAACTCCTGGCTTCAAGTGATCCACTTGCCTTGGCCTCCCAAAGTGCTGGGATTACAGGTGTGAGCCACTGCACCAGCCTGGTACTTTCTAATATTTTGGATGCTTTCTTACTTGCTAAGCACTTTCTCTTACCTGGAATGTTTTTTACATTACCCCCTCCCCCAGTGATCTAATTTCTACTTTCTCTTTAAAGCCCAGCTAACATTCCATTTTCTCCATCAGGCCTTCCCTAACAGTCCCAGAACTCCTACATTGCCTGGTGTGCTGACCTAAAGCCCTCATTAAGACCAGTAACAAATCAAGCCTATCTTATCAACTGACAACACATTCTGGAACCATGGCGTGTCCATGGATAAGACATGAAGTCCTTCTTTCAAGACTTGGTTTTCTGGTACTGGAAAATACCAATATGGATAAAAGACCTTCAAAGCTGCTACGATGGGTAAGGAACAATGCACACAGTATACCATTAAGGCAAAGAAGATAGTCTTAATCCTGTATGAAATGCCAATGAAGATGTAATTAATGAATAGACATTTCATTGAAATGAAATCAAAAGACATTTTCCTTCTCTGACATAACAGAGTAGAACTCTCTAGTAAGAACACAAAACTGACCAGCCTGACCAATGTGATAAAACCCCCTGTCTCTACTAAAAAGACAAAAATTAGCCATGCATGGTAGCAGATGCTTGTAATCCCAGCTACTCAAGAGGCTCAGGCATGAGAATCTCTTGAACCCAAAAGGTGGAGGCTGCAGTGAGTCGAGATCGCACAACTGCACTTCACCCTGGGCGACAAAGCAAGACTTTGTTTTTTAAAAAAAAGAAGAAGAAGAGAAAAAGAAAAAGAACACAAAACTCTGGTTACTGCTCTATGAGAATTAAGTGAATGTGAAGGAGAAGTTGGAATAATATTACAAGTTGGTGAAATATTGGAATTCTGGTCTGTTGGTGATTGGTCTTCATCTTTTCTATAAGAGATAGCTCATTACACAATGTATTCTCATTTGTCTGAACGGGATTATTTCCCTTAAGGCGATGGCCTCTTCTGCATCTTTATGTCTCTAATGTCTAGCATGGGAACTACTCAATATATATTTCAGGTTGTTGACAATGATTGCTGCTGTCTATTCCATCTAGGTAAGGGTTTTTGCATTCAAAAGGCCCTTTGCCTTAAGACCTAAAGAGGTTTTGGAACATCAGCAAGCATCCATCTCGAGGTAAATAACTGGAATCCCAATGGGCTGTGTGTGTGTGTCTGTGTGTGTGTGTGTGCGTGCTAACTGGAATCCCAGTGGGGTTTGTGTGTGTGTGTGTGTGTGTGTGTGTGTGCTAAATGGAATCCCAATGGGGTTTTGTGTGTGTGTGTGTGTGCGCTCATGCCTGCATACACATGCGTGCACTTCTGGTACATTTTGAACAGGCATCAGATTACGTTCCCACAGCCCCTCTTCATCAAAATGAAGACCTTGTACGTCTGAAATACAGTTTGTGAAAGTCAAATTGTTATCCCTGTGACATAGAACAGCCGTTAAAAATGTATTTCACTGGAATGTCATTCTAAATGAATATTTTTAAATAGATATCCAAAAATAAGAAAATACAGTGATTTTAGTGTAATAAAACTGATTTCACAATTGTTTCAAGAAACTCAGAAAATAAAACTTCAAACTGGAAAAATGTGGCCATAAGAATGCATGGAGCCGGACGCGGTGGCTCATGCCTGTAATCCCAGCACTTTGGGAGGCCGAGGCGGACAGATCACGAGGTCAGGAGATCAAGACCATCTTGGCTAACACGAGGAAACCGCGTCTCTACTAAAAAATACAAAAAATTAGCCGGGCGTGGTGGTGGGCGCCTGTAGTCCCAGCTACTCGGGAGGCTGAGGCAGGAGAATGGCCTGAACCTGGGAGGCGGAGCTTGCAGTGAGCCGAGATTGAGCCACCGCACTCCAGCCTGGGCAAAAGAGGAAGACTCCGTCTCAAAAAAAAACAAAAACAAAAACAAAAAAAGAATGCATGGAGTTAGTTCATTCTTCTCGCCCCCTGGAACTTCTGATCAAAAGTCAATACCTTTGTGACCTACAAGTCTCTTTATTTGCCCTCCATTATAGACTGAGCTGTTAATAACATTTAATGAGCTCACATGGATTCACTGGCTAATAAAGAAGAATAGAGTTGAGGACAGTGCTGCCCTGTTTATGCCCAAAAATTACCCTAAACTGAAAGTTGCTTTGTGTTCCTTCACTCCCCTCTGCTGGTAAATTTTAATATAGTTCTTAATTTTTTTAAGTCAAATTGATAGAAATATCAATTGTGTTTTTAAAACTGTAAGAAAAAATAATGTTGAACATCACAAAAATGTACTCAATCTTTCCCAAAACCCATTTCTTTCCAGTTAGTTTTCATAACTGTAGGTTCTTAAAAAAAAAAAAAATGAACACTTTGGCCGGGTGCGATGGCTCATGCCTGTAATCCCAGCACTTTGGGAGGCCGAGGCGGGTGGATCACGAGGTCAGGAGATCGAGACCATCCTGACTAACATGGTGAAACCCCGTCTCTACTAAGCCAAAATACAAAAAATTAGCCAGGCGTGGTGGCGGGCGCCTGTAGTCCCAGCTACTCGGGAGGTTGAGGCAGGAGAATGTTGTGAACCCGGGAGGCGGAGCTTGCAGTGAGCCAAGATCACGCCACTGCACTCCAGCGTGGGTGACAGAGCAAGACTCCGTCTCAAAAAAAAAAAAAAAAAAAATGAACATGTCATCCATACTTCTAAGGTGTTGTAAAGATGTGTAAAGTTTTCACTTTTTGCATCATATTCACATGTGGCTATATGCCCTTTTCTCTTCAAAGTTTTCTTTATCTTGATTACTTATCAGAGGCTTGACTGTTTTATTATCTCAGTCTTTTGAAAGAATCCTCCTTCAGTTTTATTTTTTAAATCTAGTGGTTTTTCTTTTTCCTTTTTCCTTATGTCTTAATTATTTCCCCCTTTTTGTTTGTTTTGCTTTTCCCAGTTTAGTGGATCAATGTAATTTAAATTGCTTTTTAAACAAACATGTAAGGGTATACATTTTCGTTGGGTGCTGTTTGACTTTGTTGCACAAGTTTTAAAATCTATTTTTTAATAGTTTGTATTTTCTAAATTATTTTATTACAACTTTTGTTCACATTGCTCTTACTATTAATTTTTTATTTTTATTAATTAATTAATTAATTTATTTATTTATTGAGATGGAGTCTTGCTCTGTAGCCAGGCTGGAGTGCAGCGGCATGATCTTGGCTCACTGCAAGCTCCACCTCGGGGGTTCATGTCATTCTCCTGCCTCAGCCTCCCAAGTAGCTGAGACTACAGTTGCCTGCCACCACATCCGGCCTTTTTTGTATTTTTAGTAGAGATGGGATTTCACCGTGTTAGCCAGGATGGTCTCGATCTCCTGACCTCATGATCCACCCACCTTGGGCTCTCAAAGTCCTGGAATTACAGGCATGAGCCACTGCACCCGGCCCAAAAGCTTTGTGTTTTTACAGATATTAGACATGTTTCTTGTTTAAGAAAAAAAAATCTTAATGAAAACGTAGGAGAATAAAAGAAACATTTTTCCAAAAAAGAGAAATCATTGTGATTATTTTATCTTATTAGAATGTTGGATAATATAGTCTGCTTCATTAATCATCAAGCATGCTATGCATTTTCCATTTTTATAGGATCTGTATCTCAGTTAAGGTAATACTGGTAATTTTTGTACTGTAATCAAAGATGAAGAATATAGGCCAAAATCATAGACCTTGCATAGAAGCTGGATAATGAAGACAGCTATGGAGAAAAACATAGATACACACACACGGACACACATATATATAAAGTATACACACATATATTTTTTAAAGTTTTAAAGCTTTTAAAGCAAAAGCCGGCCCCTCTTCTCTTCCAGAGTGGGAGGCCTCTCCCCTCTCTTAGAGTGGGTGGGGAGAGCGGTTGCCATGGGCAGCTTTCCTTGTGAGCCACAGGTCCCTCTGGACACACTGCTTTCTGGCCACGCCCCCTTTCCTTTTCATCTTTCTCATTGACCAATGGGCTTGGAGCATTAAGGCCACGCCCCTATTCCGCATTCTACTGGGGCCCTGGTTACGCCTCCTCTGGCTCAGTCACACAGCTGCCTGGTAGGTGACTGGAGGCCTTGATCGGTTCTCATTGAGATTTTGCTGCTGTGACCCCAACCCTGCCTCCCTCCCCACCCTGCGATGGCAGAAGAAACTCAACACAACAAATTGGCTGCAGCCAAGAAAAAGGTAAAAACGCACTAGGTCATAGCCCCTCAACCCAGCCACAGATCCCCTCTGATGACAAGACCCCTGCCAGAGTCTATACGACTCCTGAGGCACACTGGACTCGTCCCCCCTACCCCGGTGCCTCTGGGCTACCCCCACCAAAGTTTTGTCAGTCAGCCCCACCCCTTCAGCAAGCAGCCCAGTCCTTGCCCTCGCCAATCACCCCAGGGTGACTTTGGGTGGGTGAGTCCTGGGGCTTCCCGCTCCATTACTGGGCCCTCATCTCCTGCCGCCCCAAGCTTGATCTCCCTGGGCTCTTTGGGCTCTCATCTCCAAGGAGCCAGGCCCCACCCTCGCCAGTCATCCCTGGGTGACTTTGGACTGGTGACTCCTGGGACTCCCTGCTGCAGACTGTGCCCTCCCCTCCTGCTGCCTCAAGGTCGACCTCCCTGGGTTCTTTGTGCTGGCGTCTCCAAGGAGCTGGGTCCCAACCCTGTGCTTCCCTCCCCCATCGTGGAGCAGCGACTTGGACATGGTGCTGACATGGTCCCTCCCCCCGACCAGGAGGAGTGGAATGTTGTGATGTCACAGTCCACCTAGTAACTGCCGTTACTGCAAGACTGGCCTTTGATCTTACGACCCAGTCCCCTAAGCGTTCTCACCCCGTTTCTGGTTCCTCTGGTCACAGCACAAATTTCCAGCTGGAAGGGGAATGGAGACTATGGGACCTAGGAGGAAGAGGTTCCAGGCTGCCTCACTCCCTTACAGATGTTGACGGTGGGAAAAGCCTACACTTCCCCCATGAACTCAAAACGTTGACAGTATCTCTGGGTGGCAATGAGAGAATGGGTTTGGTTTGGTTTTCTCCCAGGCTTCTACTTTCCAGAGAGATTTTAACATTTTTTTCTGAGTTCTCCACCTCATATTCTAATTCTCCATGGTTCTGGGACCAGACTCTCCTTCAGTCAGTGGTCTCTGAAGTGACATTTGCTCATCTTCTGTGGAATAGATCTTGGGAAACTGAACTTGACACCTTGAATCTTCCTCATATTATCTCAACCTTGGGTACTTTGAGTGCCACAGGATAAATGTGGGACATCTTTCTGAAGCATCAGTTTCCCTTGATTCTCTTGAGATCAAGAGAAAAAACATGAATGTACTTAGGGATGACAGTCACATAGGTTTCTAAGAGTATACCAGACCTCTCTCTGAAATGAGGCTTGGGTTATCCTCTTTCTGATAAATTCTGATTTAAGAGAAAGGCTGCCTTCTGCCATGAGGACACATTGATATAAGAGTTTGAGAGGTACTGGTGCACTTCTTCACACTAACAGACGTGTGAGGATGTATGACTCTAAACCACATGGCATACAGTTCCTGCCTACTTAATGTTTACTTTTCTACCTCTGCCTCTGGTTTTGGTCCCTGGCAGCTGCTGATTCTTGGCAAAACCTCAGAGCTTGGAGTCAGAAGACTGAGTTTCAAAGTTCCAGTATTGCCTTTTTCTTTTTTTTTTTTCTAGCCATGATATCAATCCTTCTCAGTCACTAAATGAGTGTGACAACACCTTGTACAGTTGTTGGTGTCATTAAATCAGATGGTGTGTAAGTGTATTTTGTAAAAACTGTAAAGGAGGATGTGGCTGTAGGGGCTGATGGTTCTCATGAGTATTACTGCTCTTCTTTCCAACAGTTAAAAGAATATTGGCAGAAAAACAGCCCTAGAGTTCCAGCAGGAGCGAACAGGAACAGGAAAACAAATGGCAGTATCCCTGAGAAAGCCACTTCTGGTGGTTGCCAGCCACCTAGGGATGTGAGTCTTGGCTGACCAGGCTTCTGGGGACAGGGGGCCCAAGGGGCAATAGAGGGTAATTCTTAAGATTGTGGATGGACTGCTGGGTACTGGTTAAGAATTCTGGCTTTAGCCGGGTGTGGTGGCCCACGCCTGTAATCCTAGCACTTTGGGAGGCCAAGGCAGGCGGATCATGAGGTCAGGAGATCGAGACCATCCTGGTTAACACGGTGAAACCCTGTCTCTACTAAAAATACAAAACATTAGCCAAGCGTGGTGGCGTGTGCCTGTAGTCCCAGCTACTCAGAAGGCTGAGGCAAGAGAATGGTGTGAACCTGGGAGGTGGAGCTTGCAGTAGCCAAGATTATGCCACTGCACTCCAGCCTGGTGACAGAGCAAGACTCTGTCTCAAAGAAAAAAAAAAAAAAAGGAATTCTGGGTTTGAATCCTGCCTCTCCATCTGCTCTGCTAGGGATATGATTTAGGGCAAGTTGCTAGACCTCATCGGGCCTCTCTTTTCACATCTGTATAATAGAGGTGTTATTGTTTCACTTCCATTTGTGAAGTTTAAATGAGATTTGTTATTGTTGTTTTTATGTTAATCCCTAGTACATGGCCTGCTGTAAACACTCAGGACACCCAGGATATGGTTTGATTTTCCTCATCCCCAGTCTCAGGGGGAAACCAGGACAATGAGAACAGCCACTTGCCATCAGGAGTCACTGAAGGGGCCCCAGGATGGGATGGTGGGGAGATAAGAACCATGAGAGAAGTTGGCACAAAGGAGTTATGGGACAAAAGGTCCAAGATAGGCAGAAAAGAAAATGTTGCCAGTTGATGGGGAAGAAAGGAAGTCAGAGGGCTCAGACACTGTGGGGGACAGAACATCTCCATGTGCACTCTCATCTCTTGTAGTCAGCAACAGGTTTCCACAGGGAAGGCCCTACATCATCTGCTACCCTGAAAGATCTGGAGGTAAGAGGCTCTGGGCGGAGGTGCAGTGACCCTTCGGGTCAACCCTCCAACCTCCTCCTCCAGGTGGGACTGGGTGCCCCTCTGCCAGCTGAGACAGCCTACACACCCCAGCCCTAATGATTGTTCTCTCTACCTCTCCCCCCACTCCTGCTCCACCTCCTCCTCTCTGCATGCACCTCAGAGCCCGTGCCAAGAACGAGCAGTAGTCCTGGATTCAAGGTCCGTAGAAATCAGTCAACTGAAGAACACCATCAAATCTCTGGTAAGAGTCCACTGGGGTCCCCTGATTCCACGCTGCCAATCCTGGGCTCCAGTTTCCCCTTGGGGCCCTGAAGAAAGGGGCTGGGGGTCCCTGGTGCCTGGGACAAATAGGGAGCTTGGGTGCCCAGGCCTCACCTGGAGGGACCCCAGAGCATGCAGCATGGCTCTTCTTTTGCTGCCCTCTTTGCCGACTCTCTCCTCTCCAGACACCCCTGCTCGAGTCCTTGCTACACACGCCCTGGGGTTGTTGCCTCTTGGGGAAGTGCTAGCCTGACTGGTTGTCAAGGGCCCCGTATTTCTGCCATGACTCAGTCCCTAATTTGCTCTTTGATTCTGGACAAGCCACCTCTCCTTTTTGGGCTCGTGTTTCCAGAGGAGGTAGTGAGTATCAAAGGTCTCTGTTAGCTCTCGAGTCTGAGATTTAAAGGCCCCCTAGAACGGAAACCTCAGGGCTAAGGGCTCCTGTCTGTCCTTTTCCATCCTATATCTGCTGTAAAGAACCGTACCTGGCCCATACATGCTCAGTAAATGTTTATTGAATGAACCCACTTCTCTAAATCACAAGCTGCCAGAAGGAGGGGCCTTTCTGAAACTCCATCTCTAGAGGTTTATATTGCTGTCCTCTCAAGAGATTCCAGATTCAGACTTTGAGTTCTGTGGCTGTGGGCAAAAGCCAACAAAGACCCAAATCCTCTGTCCTTGGGAGCTTGAGGAGAGTTTACCGGTTCGTGTTCCCATTATGTCTGAGAACTTTGCCTTTAAAATCCATTCCTGGCCCCTGCCTACCGCTTCCTGGTCTGGGGAATAGAGTTGAGGGGGCCACCCTCCATCACCTTATTTGACTCTCCCCACAGAAACAACAGAAGAAACAAGTGGAACATCAGCTGGAAGAAGTAACGTGATTTCGTTTCCTCGCAACATGACTGCTGGGTTTGGGGGGCACTCAGACATACAGGCCCCAGTCTCGTCTCACCCACTCCCAGCCTGGGGATGAAGGCTCACCCTTCAGATTCCACCCCATCCCCACAGGGCCCCTGATAACCTGGTCCCATGGGTGGGCCTGTCCTGGGGCATTGGTGGCATTCTGGGGGCATGTCTCTTGCTGTGCCATCTCTGCCTCCCCCTGGTAAGAGCTCTGTCTTCCTCTTCCTACAGGAAAAGAAAGCAAACAACAAGAAACAGAAAGCCAAAAGGGTGCTAGAGGTGAGTGGAGGGTGTGCAGTTTCCTCCTGTCCTCCGGAGAAGGTTTCTTTCCTTCTCTTTCAGCACTTCCTTGGCTTTTCTCCCAAAGGTTCAAATCCAGACATTGAACATACAGAAAGAGGAACTAAATACGGACCTGTACCACATGAAACGTTCTCTCAGATACTTTGAAGGTGGGAATCTGGGCACCCTGTCATCCTTCAACCTGGCACTTTGACAGGTCTTCAGGGGGAGTCCTTTGGGCCCCATCTCAACTCTCTCATTACAGAAAAGTCCAAGGATCTGGCTGTCCGCCTGCAACATTCATTGCAGCGTAAAGGAGAGTTAGAGAGTGTTCTCTCTAATGTCATGGCCACACAGAAGAAGAAGGCAAACCAGGTGAGTCCAACCACCTGCCCCATCCCCTGGGAGCCTGGCTTTGCAGATGGAGGAGTGAGCCTAAAGGTCCCTTCTGCAGGATGGAGTGTCCTGCCCAGAAGGCAGCATGGCCATTTCTTGCTACTTTTTTGTATGGTTTTTAGTGGCAGCCTGGGGCTGAGTCAGCTGCTGTGGGTGAGTTGGGGGTCACTGTGTGGAGTGAGCACTGGACGCAGAGCTTGGAGGCCAAGTGCCTGCCCCGCCCTTACCTGTCTGTGGTCTTGGGCAAGTCCTAGTCCTAGGTGGGGTATTGGGTACTTGTACTGTGAAGGTACAGAAGAGTACCTTTAGTATGTTACCATTTCTGTAGAAAGAGGAAACGCGTGCATGTGTGTGTGTGTGTGTGTGTGTGTGTGTACATACTGTGATAATATACATAAAACATGTCTGCAAGGGTTCATAAAAAATTCAGGAGAGAGAACAAGATGGCTGGGAGATACTTCCCTTCTGTACCTTCTGAGTTTTGGACTATGTGAATGTATCATCCTTTCAAAAAGTGAACAAAAGATTAATTTTCCCCTTCCTATCTGTGCCCCCATCCCCAGCAAGAAAAATGGGCTTAGAGAATTGGATAGACCTGGGTGTTTATATCCCAGCTCTGCCTAAGTGAACTTAGGCAAGCACTTAACCTCAAATACTCCATGTTTTTTCATCTCCACAATAGAGGGAATCATAGTAACTGTCTCCTATGGTGGTTGCGAGGATTAAATGGGATTGTTAGCACGGTACCTGGTGAAGCATTCCACAAAGGTTCAAACAGTGGTAATAATGACAATAATAACAACAGCAATATTATCTGATCTCTCTGGGCCTCTGTTAGCCAGCTATAAACTCAGTCTCATTCCCTGTCCGTTCCAACTTTACTGTGTTCTTTTAAAAACCAGACCACGGGCTGGGAAATGCCTTGATCTTTACTGACCGAGTTGTATATTGGGCCTAGCCCTAGCCCTGTTAAGGGGCACTGTGTGGAAATGCCCAGGCTCTCCAGATTGAAACTTCTCACTCTTCACCATCCAGTTGTCCAGCCGCAGCAAAGCACGTACGGAGTGGAAGTTAGAGCAGTCCATGCGGGAGGAGGCACTACTGAAAGTGCAGCTGACACAGGTGAGGTTTTCTGAGGGAGTTATGTGGAAGGAAGATGACCCCAGGTGGCCAGGAGCAGGTGAGGACCAGTGACAGCCCTTCCTAAGTTCTGTGCCCATTCTTGCAGTTGAAGGAGTCTTTTCAACAAGTCCAATTAGAAAGAGATGAGTATTCTGAACATCTAAAAGGAGAGAGGGCCCGGTGGCAGCAGAGGATGAGAAAAATGTCGCAGGAGGTGAGATCTGACCCTTCAGCCCCCCCACATTAGATAGGTCACTGGATCTTTCTGGTCATCTGTAAAATGGGAATAGTAGAGCCAGAGGTGGTCATGGGTCTGGGCTTTGTGGAGGTGGGGGCAGAGAGGGAGAGGGCAGCCTGTCCAGCCTCCAGCCCCTCTCTCCAAGGCCCTTTCCCCTTGTGCTTTGGGCAGATTTGCACATTAAAGAAAGAGAAGCAGCAAGATATGCGTCGGGTAGAGAAGCTGGAGAGGAGCTTGTCCAAACTCAAAAACCAGATGGGTAAGATGGGGCTGGCATGACCTGGGAGCAGGACTGGCATCAGAGGGCTGTGAGGGTGGCTTAGAGTGCCCCAGGGAGGTGAGTGGATGGAAGGGCTTTGAGGCAGAGGGAAAGAGATCTGTGCCAGGAGACGGCGAGTCTTGTCATCTCAATGAGTCTCAGTGTCTCAGTGTCCCCATCAGCAAAGAGGGCCCGTTGCCAGCCACCCGCAGTGCTCTTTCTCTGAAAGTGCTTTGGAAGACTGGCTACCATCTGGGTGCGAGGAATCATTAGCAGTGAGGCCAAGTTTGAGGAGCCTGAGAGGAGCTGTGCGCCAAGAGGAGGGTTTTTCTTTTCCGAGAATCCAGAGGCCCTTATTATCTGCTTCCTTTCTCAGCTGAACCCTTGCCCCCGGAGCCCCCAGCAGTGCCCTCTGAGGTGGAGCTGCAGCACCTGAGGAAGGAACTAGAGAGAGTGGCAGGAGAGCTCCAGGCCCAGGTCAAAAAGAATCAGCGCATAAGTCTCCTGAACCAGCGACAAGAAGAGAGGATTCAGGAGCAGGAAGAGAGGCTTCGGAAGCAGGAGGAGAGGATTCAGGAGCAGCACAAGAGCCTTCAGCAGCTGGCCAAGCCACAGAGCGTCTTCGAGGAGCCGGTGCGTTGCCCAAACTGGGGAGCTTGCCCTCCTCCCTAGCCCTCCGGGCCTTTGTTTCCCCACCTCTAAAATGGGGCAGTGTAGCCCTCACATGAAATGTTACTTCTAAAGGCACCTGTGAGCCAGGTGGCTGTGGGAGAGAGGGAGTGATTTTTCTAACCTGCCTCCAGCCTTCCCAGTGCCATGGGAGGCAGACACCAAGTTCTGGGGTCTCCAGCTGCAGTGGGTGGCTGCTGATTGCTTCTCTCTGTCCAGAACAATGAGAACAAGAACGCACTGCAGTTGGAGCAGCAAGTAAAGGAGCTACAGGAGAAGCTTGGCGAGGTGAAGGAGACGGAAACCTCCACCCCATCCAAGAAGGGCTGGGAGGCGGGCAGCAGCCTCTTGGGAGGGGAGGTGCCAGGTCAGAGGCAGCTTCCAGCCTGGGGGCTGGTGACCACAGCACCCCCCAGGGCAGTCCTGTTTCTTGCTTCCTGCCTCTGACTTTTAAAGGTGGGTAGCCCTGGGCTCCTCTCAGGTCTGGACATCATCATCCTAGCTAGAGGCATGGAGCCCCCAATCACAGGGGAAGAGACAGTGGTATAACAGGCTCCTTATGCCAGGTGCAGTGGCTCATGCCTATAATCCCAGCACTTTGGGAGGCTGAGGCAGGAGAATCACTTGAGGTCGGGAGTTTGGGATCAGCCTGGCCAATGTGGTAAAACCTCATCTCTACTAAAATTACAAAAAAAAAAAAAAAATTAGCAGGACATTGTGGCGCATGCCTGTAATTCCACCTACTCGGGAGGCTGAGGCACGAGAATTGCTTCAACCCAGGAGGTGGAGGTTGCAGTGAGCTGAGATTGCACCACTGCACTCCAGCCTGGGCCACAGAGTGACACTCTTGTCTGAAAACAAAACAAAAAGACTCCTTAGATTAAAACTGGATTCCAGCCTCGGTTCCACTGGTCACCATTCAAGTACTTTGCATCTCTAAGTCTCTGTTTCTTTAACTTCAAAGGGAAGTTAGCATTTTCCTTACAGAGGTGCTGAGGATTAAATGAGAAGAGGGTATGAGATTTGAGGCTGGGGAAGGAGGCATGGGGTTCTAGGAAAGGGAGGCAGTCACTTAGGCCTGGAGTAAGGGGACAGGGGCCTGGGCAGCTGACAGAGCCCCACAGTGCCCTCGCTACCCTATTAATGGGCCCAGAATCTGGAAACCAGCCACCACATGCCCTCACACCCAGGGTCTTCCTGCAGGTGGAGCTGAAGAGCCAAGAGGCTCAGAGTCTGCAGCAGCAGCCAGACCATTACCTGGGTCACCTGCAGCAGTACGTGGCCACCTATCAGCAGCTGACCTGTGAGAAGGAGGCGCTGTACAGGCAGTGACTGCAGCAGACCCAGCTAATGAACCAGCTGCAGCAGCAGGAAGCTTGGGGCAAAGCGGTGGCTGAGATGGCCTGCCAAAAGTTGCAGGAGACCCAGGGGAGGGAGCTGCCGAGGATGGGGCTGTGAGGGGGATGACCTGGCAAACTCCACCCCTTCTCACTCTGTCCTGGCCCCTCAGGAGCACCTGGAAGCGGCCAGCCAGCAGAACCAGCAGCTAACGGCCCAGCTGAGCCTCATGGCTCTCCCTGGGGAAGGTACGGGAGACTGCTCAGAGGAAGAGGAGAGAGCCCCAGGAGGAAGGGGGGACTGCTAGCAGCATAGGATTGAGGAGTTGGAAGAGACCTTTAGAACAGCTGGTCATTATGCCGACCGGGTGCCTGCACTAAGTTCGGCATCAGTGTGGTGACCTCCTGTGAGCGGGGGGTCACCAAGTTGCCTAAGGATGGCTGAACTGGCCAAGGTCAGAAAGGGAGCAGGTCAGAACTCCCACATCGACCAGTAGTGGGAGTGTGCCTGGGCGGAATAGCAAGCTCTTGATTCTTAAAAGTAAAAATAAAGAACAACAGCTCATTCCTCTCTGGGGAGGGGCTGGCTCAGGGTTACACAGTGAGGGTGGAGGTAGAGGTGGGCCCACAGTACCTCCCTTGTTGGGTTGTCTGAAGACCCCTCTGGCCACCCCCCACAGGACACGGAGAACATCTGGACAGTGAGGGGGAGGAGGCACCTCAGCCCATGCCGAGTGTCCCAGAGGACCTGGAGAGCAGGGAGGCCATGGTGAGCCTGACTCCCCCTGCACCCATTTTGCCACCTTTCTCTGTGGTCCCTCCAAGACCCCTTTATGCTCTTCGTTTCCCTGCCTTCTGATTTCTCTGGACCCTCACCCCTTCCGAGAGCCAGTGGTCAGACACCATTTCACCTGTGGCCAACAGGTGCACTCTCTGAGGCCCCAAGGGAAGGGGCTGCGCTCCACCTCTCTGCCCCATTTCTTCTGTGTATGCCCCTAGAAGAATGCTCACATCTTGCCCTCAGGTGGCATTTTTCAAGTCCGCTGGAGCTAGTGCCCAGGAGAAGCAGGCACAGTTACAAGAGCAGGTGAAAGAGCAGAGGGTGTGCTGCCAGCGCCTGGCTCACCCGGTGGCCTCGGCCCAGAAGGAGCCAGAGGCGGCCAGAGGCCCTGGAGCCCCAGGGCCTGGGGGCGAGTCTGTGAGTGGGGAGACCCACTGGGCCCTGCAGGAAGTCACGGAGAAGCTGGCCCATGCCAGGACTCACCTCCGCCTTCTCCATGACTTGAAAATGCCACCTGAGGGCAGGTCGCTGCCGAGATGTGACTGCAATATTTTGGCTCCAGAGCAGCTTTATGGACCACCTGAAGGAGAAGGCAGACCTGAGTGAGCTGGTGAAAAAAGAACTCTGCTTCATCCACCACTGGCGAGACAGACGCCATCAGTGAGTGGGAGGCCAGGGCACAGCAGGGGGAGCTACAGGGCCGTCGGAGGGGCCCCAGCGTCTGAGCCCTGTCCTCCCGCAGGAAAACCCATCACCTTTTATCAGAACCAGGGGGCTGTGCCAAAGATGCGGCACTGGGAGGAGGACACCATCAGGCTGGAGCTCAGGGAGGAGATGAAGGTAGGGTGTGCAACATCTCTGTGGGGGTGGGGGTGGGGGTGGGTGTGAGGGTGGGCGCAGGCAGCGGCATGGCAGCTGAGCACCCCTCCCTCCAGGTGAAGCTGCTGGAGCTGCAGCAGATGGTATTGCGGCTTACAGCAACTACAACAATGGGCACAGAAAATTCCTGGCCGCTGCCCACAACCCTGCTGATGAGCCCGGTCCAGGAGCCCCAGCTCCCCAGGAGCTTGGGGCTGCAGACAAGCATGGTGGTGAGTAGAGCCCTCAGGTGGGGTGGGCAGGCAGGAAGAGGGGGCTCCCACTGTGCTCAGATCCCTGCCTCCCTCTCTCCAAAGATCTTCGTGAGGTGAGCCTCACCTCCTCTGCCCAAGGAGAGGCCAGGGAGGATCCTCTCCTTGACAAGCCTACTGCACAGCCGATCGTGCAGGACCACAAGGAGCACCCAGGCTTGGGCAGCAACTGCTGTGTGCCATTATTTTGTTGGGCTTGGCTGCCAAGAAGAAGGAGATAAACATCACCATCATCAAACAGCTGCTCAAGAAATTTTTAAATAAGAAACCAAGTTATGGGGTTAATCTCCTACACAATTCATTTACTTCCTTTGAATGTTAGACTCACTCATGATTATTTGTGTTTCTAATTTATAGTTTAAGTTTATTTGTAAAAAGTTAAAAGAGAGTGGGTGTCTGTGGCTCTCACTGATGTTCACTCTGGCATCCTTTAGCATTTTTCTTTTTTAATTTCATAATTGTAGGTCATTAGCGTGCATATCGAGTTTGCCCTTACGTGGTGGGAGTTCAAACACACAAAGACCCACTCTTTGCCCAAAACTGTTCTCTTTGGTTTGGAATAGGCTGCCATGCTTTTTTAATGTTATTGCAGCATGTATATTCACTACAGAATTCAGACAAAATTTGCCTATGTTCTGCTGTTGTTTGATCTAATCTTAATCACAGTGAGCTCTTCCTTAGCTCAATATGTAGTTTGCCCCCAAGTGTGCACTGTTTATTACTTTGTAATACGCCACTATGAGTACTGACATTTAGAGTTGTTTAAAGGCCAAGAACTGGAAACAGCCTTTCCTCCATTTTCTGTGTATTGGTGATGGGAGTGATAACCTTTTGGGGGAGCTTTTTAAATCTCACAGAAGAGGAAAGTGGCCTCCTCTGGCAGGTATGTGCAGGATAGAGTGTGTTTCATCTGTTCCGGTGCCAGGAATTAGCGGTGTATTATGGTGGTTCCCTTAGGATTTGTATGTGCTCTGGGCTCATGAAGATATTGCATCATGAGCTGCAGCAGTTGTACTCTTTTTCGATGACCTAAAAAGGGCTTATTTCTGAGGAATGAAAGGTTCCCATCGTTGACTGTGGATGTGGAAAACCTTTCCTAGCTTAGAGCATTTGTATCTACAATACATTTTAAAGTCAGAGTTCATGTTACCTGTTTTAATCACATGACTACATGTCCCAGTACACAAAAGGGCACTGGTTGGCATTCTTCTTAATGTATTTAGTGAAGATCATAAGAAATCCTTTATGAGTTCAAACGTCCCTGGAACAGGCATACAGGCTCTAGTCAAGAATGAATTAGAGTGAAGGAAAGCTGTGTGACACCTGGCATTCCTCTCTGTTCACGGAGATTCTTTGAGGCTTGAAGATTGATTTTACCATCTAGACCTCTTTGGCTAATACCTATTCTTCAACCACCTTGGTTACTCTGACATAGGAATTTACTTCTTTTTCCTTGAATGGAAAACACTTTAAAAAATAATAGAAACATTATTATAAACTAATATATGTGAGATACTTAGTTGAAACAAAAAGGAGTTTTAGTAGACGGTATTGTACTCTCTTTGAAAATCAAGGAGAAGTTTATGAAACTTAAAATGTGTACAAACTGCAGTGCAATCTACTGTTCATGAATGTCAATGTATTATCAGGAAACGTGTCTATACAATCACAGAGTTATATTTTCTCACAGACTTCTTTACAAAGTGAAATATGTTTTTGTACCTCTGGGTTTCTGTTCGGGACATATTTTGTGCGATATTTATGTGATTGTGCCTATGCATGATGAATGAATACATTTCAGTTATATATTGCCTAAATCGTAACTTGATGATGCTTGGGAAAGACTCAACAGTTAAAACTTCATGAAGTTCTAATGTCTGTGTTCCAAAACACATCACATTGTTAGGATGCAGGGAGATAGGTGTGTGTGCTCCCTGCGGTGGGGATTTCTAGTTACTAGATCATCTCCATTTTTAGCATTTGGCATCCTCATGATACTTCTATAAATATGACATTAACAGGAGAGCAACAATACGATTTTACCGATGGAATAACAGATTTGCTGGCATTCACTGAAAGAGTGCAAATATTCGGTCCTTGTGACTTCCACTGACTCTTCCAAATTTTATGAATGTATCAATGTATTAGATAAACCCAGTTTCAGAATGATAAAGAAAAAATCTTAGACCAAATAATGCGGCTAATTAACAGTGGTACGATTTGTAGCCCGTGGGTTTAAAATGCACTTAAAGTCCTGTTCTCGCCTTTTATTTTCTGAACTTGCCGCTTTTGCATTCTTTGAGTTCAGTTTAAAGACAGTTACTTTAAGAGCATTTTAAACCCTCGGGCTAGAAATCGGACCACTGTTAATCAGCCACATTATTTGGTCTAACGTTTTTTCTTTTATCATTCTGAAACTGGGTTTATCTAATACATTGATAAATTATTGCAAAGGTACTTTTATCGTTGAAATCACTTCACTTTTACCCTGATAAATATCAGTGACTAGGAATGACCTTCGGATAGCGTTTAGCATCTGTAACCAATCTGACAATAATGTGTTCATGAGGTGCCTATGGATTAAATCACACACTGGCATATTTAAGCTGAAGGTCAGTCTGGAAAATAAATTTACTATATTGACTGAAATACCACTCTTTGTGTAGGCATTTGTCATATACTTAAGAAAACGCTAAAAAGAATGGAAATTGTATGACAATAACTTAAGTCTTTCTCCAAAGTGCATGCAGTCTTTTGTGATACCTCATTCAGCCGAGTATTTGTGCTCTTCCTCATTCAGTATAAGGCAGCTTTCAGTTTGCTTAGAAGGCAACATTGGAATGTTAGAGTTCATCAGAAACATAGAATTTTAAACTGTGAGTTCCACTGAATACATTTTAATGTCTGTAGGAAGAATCAAAACACCTATTTAAAGATGGCAATATATAATAATCATTTTAAAAGTATTTGATTCAACCTGATAATTTTCCAGAAATGAAAAAAAAAATCAGCTCTAAAACCAAAGCTGATTTTAGAAAATTTGAAAATGTAAATCAGCCCTATCCATAATATAGTTTCTCTAAAACTTTATCTTAGTCATTTTAAAATAATATAACTATTAAAAAATGTAACTGCTATCTTAATGTTCTGAAATAATTTAAAACATTTTAAAATATGAATACTGTAGTATAAAAGAAAGAAATGGTGGGAACGAAAAGCAGAGAAAGAAATGCCAATTCCAGTCCAAAGTTTTATTTGCCAAGTTTTCTTAGAATGAATTTTACCAGTTTATGAATTATTGTAAAGAGAATGTGTCGTGGAAATACTGAAAGATTTTTCCCTAGAGTGGCCTTATTGACTGCTGGTGTGATGCCACTGTAATGTAATAAATTATTAAGTTGTTTCAATGTGTTGTTTTTGTCTTAAAATTTTATTTTGCGTTTCTTGAAAACTATAGTATTAAAGGTATTGATACTGTGCAAATGCTGGGCATGCTTGGCATGAGATAATGTGTTTCATTTTTACAAAGTTGTGATATAACTATGCAAGTGTTTCTTAAAAGAACACAAGATTTTAAAAGTTATGGGATTAAAAAAGTTATGGGGTGAAAAAGTTATGGGATAAAAAATGTAAAAACGTTGTGGCAAAAAAACTTGTGGGAACAAAGTAGAAAACAGTATTATGAAAAGTTACCAAAAAAGTTATGAAAAAGAAGTTACGGGATTCTTTTTTAAAAAGTCATGGAATAAAAATAAAAATTAAAAGCAGGCCCCTGTCAGCAAAGCCTGGAGAAGTGGGGCCGGAGTCTCCACCGCCACCATGTCCCTACCACCCCTTCCCAGGCACCCCTTTACAATGAGGGTAGCAGGACAAGACCTCTGTCTAATGGGGAAAGACAAACAGACCCTTTGCCACCCTGACCAGGGCTGAGTCCCTAAATTTCTGGATGATGATGATTGTTATTTAAGAGCCAGAGGCTGGTGGAGTTGGTTTGTTTGGAGGAGGCCTGATGTCCCCCTTACTCTCACCATAGCAACTTTTCCCTCAGGGGGCTCCCTTCTTATTCAGAGAGGCAGGACAGTGCGGCTAACTGTGGACCAGGCGAGGGCACGGGCTGCTGGGGTGGCCCCCGTTCCCCGGTGTACACATTGTGTCTGTGTAAGGTTTTGTATATTCCAGAGGGTAGGGCCACCCCTGTGTCATACCTAGCTGAGGTTGAGGCCGGCACATGGGGAGGAGGTTGTAATAATTATTTGTGGCTGGGAAACTTATTTATTGCTAGCATAGGACAGAGGAAGGAGGCGGGGATGGGGTCGTGGCTCCCTGGTGATGCGACTCCTGTTTATTTTGCTTTTTATTTTGGAATAAATGGATTTAGCCATACTGCTCGGCCTGGTGTGTTCCCGTTTCCCTCACTGGGTCCTGGAGTTTGTGCCACCAAACGAGGAGCCCCAGAGTGTCTTGAGTGTGTCCAGCTAGGCTGTTAGGGACCTTCCAGGCGTGTTACCTGTATGCTGCCTAGTGGCGCCTGGGGGATTCCACGGGGACTGCCATGGTGCCTATGGGGCGCAGTCCAGCCCTGACAGCCAACAGGCTCAGAAGCCTGTTGTAGCGGTGGCCAGGAAGACAGGTACCAGCACCTAAGGGCACTGACTTCCACCCACCCCAGGCGTCTTCCCTTCCGTCACCTTGCCTCCCTCCCCTGTCTGCACCTGGTGGCCTGTTCTCTCTGTCCCTCCAGAGTGCCGGCTGCCCGGCAGGCTCCCTTCAGGCTGAGTTCGTGGCCCTGCCCCCTGGTGGCCAGAGCCGGCTTCACAGGACAAGAGCCAGCTAAGTTCCAGGGGCTTTCCAGGAAAAGTGTCCCTTGGAAAGGGTATGGCCTTTTCACCCCTCCAAACAGCACCCTAGAAATGGCTTGGCCTTTCCCCTCCCCTGAGCTCCACAGAGAACACAGCCAGCAGAGGACACACTTCCCCGTCATCCAGAAATGGGTTTGATTCTCAGCCAAGGGACAGCAGGACTGGTAGAGACTGTCAGGCCACTCAGCTGCCTGCACAGCACTCCCATGCTTGGTGGGGGGGCGGGAGGGATGGCGGGGGCTGACTCTCCATAGGCCAGGCGTGACAGGGAGACTCACCGGAGGTCTTGCACTTTGGAGGGGCAATGTCGGGACAGCTTTCTCTTGTTGGGCCACAAGACTCCAAGAGGACAGCACGGTGACTGATTCCCAGCACTAGAGGCGAGGCCGTTGGCCACATGTAGGTGTAGGGGTGTGTGTGTGTGTGTGTGTGTGTGTGTATGGGTATTTATAGATATTTATAGAACAATGCGAGGGCATACCACAGAGGGGGGCACAAGTTTCACAACAGTCACACCTGGACGTGTCAGCTCACCACTACAACAGACTAAGTCACAGATGAAGGGGGCTGGCTTTGGGGCTGGGGGAGCCACTGCCAAGTCACAGAACAGCCGCCCAGGCAGGCTTGGAAAGGGAGGCCTCCGAGAAGAGAAGGGATCTGTTTAGAGGTCGAAGGGGGGCGTGGGGCTCTCAGGATGGGATGGACTTGCGTGACCTGATCGGCTGGCAGTTGGAGAGAAAGCAGAGAGAAAAGAGGAGAGAGAAAAGGGAGCAGAGAGCTGGTGAGGCCAGTGCAGAGCACAGGTGTGCCACAGCAGCTGTGGGAGGGCCAGGGAGGGGAGGGCGCAGGTGCGGCTGTGGCAAGGTTCCTGGAAAAGAGGGGCTGGAAGGGAAAGGGGAGGAAGATGGAGGGAGGAGCCGGAGCTTCACAGGTAGTGCCTGGGGACTGTGGCGGCCCTCCCCACCCCACACATGCTGGCCTCTTCCATTGCACCCAGGCAGTGTACCCACAGGTCAGACCAACGCTCGGCCCCTTTGGGCTTCCCTCTTCTCTGGTCACCAACCAACTTGTCTTCCAAGTCGTCTTCCAACCTGTCTTCCAACCAACTGGTCTAGGGCCACCTCTCACCTTGGGGAGCCCAACATAACAGCCACCAGGCCTGACAGAAGGAAAATTGCTCGAACAAGGATGATGAAGCTAAATGGGATGGATGGTTGGAGTGATCGCCGGAGCCCCCTCTGGGTGGTCAGGAAGCTGAGGACCCTCTGAAGGGACCCTGGGGGAGGCAGGGTGGGCAGGCAGCCGGATGCCACTGGCTATAAACTTATAAGTCTAAGAGGGGAGCCTCAGCTTGTTGGAGATTGCAGGTCCCATAGGTGAGGCTGGGTCCTTCCTCCCAGGGAAAGGAGACGGAGACCATGGCAAGGGAGGTGGGTGGGCTTGCTGGGCAGAGCTCAGCTGGGCCAGCAGGCACTGGGCTCCCCTCGGCTGAATAGGAGGGCCAATCTCTAGGAGCAACAAGCCAAGGTGCGTGAGCCTGCTGGCTGGTGGTAGTGCTTCAGCGGGGCCCAGGGACCCTGCCTTCAGTCACATGCTAGCAGCTGTGATGGTACCTGGGAGGGAGGGAAGGGGGCTGTGTGCCCCTACCTGACCTGTGAGGTGTGTTTTGGGTTGACCATGTGTATGGGACTCTCGAGGTTTTATCCTAGATCACCACTGTTTTGCCAACAGATAGAGGAGGTGGGACCCTATCACCCCTGCTCTGCAGTGGATTTGGCCCTCAGCACTCCAAGGCATCCAGGCTGGGAGCTGGATGCCCCACCCTGGCAGCATGGCTCAGACAGCACAAAAGGCATGGCGTGCCCAGGATGACATTCCTGGGCCTCTGGCCACCTCAGAGTACAGCCCCACACACAACCCCCTCCAAGCTCTCAGCCCTTACACCATAAACCACGAGCTCCCTGATGGCTCCAGAGACCACCCACATCTGCCAGCTTGGGCACGGAGCCTGTTCCAAGAGCCCCCAGGCTCAGCCATGGGGGCTGGGGAGACTTGGGGCCATAGGGGCCAGCCCTGGTACCTGCGTCTGGCAAGGACGCTCTGCACCTGCAGCCAGGAGTTGTCCACGGGCCCCCATGTGCGTGCTGATGGTGGTTGTGTTGATGTCACCGATGATGCTGAGCACCTCCTTCAGCACGTGGTACATGCGCAGCATCTCATCTCGCCACTGTGCCTGCTCTGCCAACTCCTCCATCAGCGTGTTCTGGTTCCCATGCAAGTACAGGTTGGACAGCAACTCTGATAATATGAGCTCCTTGGTCTGAGAGGGGGCAAAGAGGGAAGGAGGTTGGGACCTGATGCATGTGCTGGCCTGATGCCTGTGCTGGGACAGTGTGCTGGACTTGGAGCCCTGAGTATGGCTTTGCACACGCGGCTTCTACACCGCTTAGACTCAAAGATCTGCCACCCCACCGCCCTTTTCTCACTCAGATAGGGACACTGAGGTCCAGAGGAAAAGTCACCTGTCCAAGGTCACACATCTGGGAGGGGACCCAGGACCTATCATGCCACCAGGACACCTGTCTACTCAGTTTCTTAAAAATGTTTTTTGGAGATAGGATCTCGCTCTGTTGCTGGGCTGGAGTACAGTGAGCAAGATCACCACTCACTGTAGCCTGAACCTCTTGGGCTCAAAGTGATCCTCCAATGTCAGCCTGTCGAATAGCTAAGACTATAGGCATGTGCCATCACTAAGCCTAGCTATTTTTAAAATTTTTGTGTAGAGACCAGGTCTCACTATGTTGCCCAAGCTGGTCTCGAACTCCTGGGCTCAAGCTATCCTCCTACCTTGGCCTCCCAAAGTTCTGGGATTACAGGCATGGACCACTGTCCCTAGTCCCACATTATAGTTCTATGAGACAGCTCTGGTCTGGACTGTGCCTCCCTCCCTGAACCTGGTCCCATAGGGCTGGTCGGCATCTCCCCCAGGCCAACATGGCCACCTGCATCCCCAGTGCCACAGGAGCCCCCTGCCCCTATGAGGTGGTGCATGCACGTTGTTGATCATGACGTGCATGACGGTCTTGGGCATGAAACCAACTATGAGGTCCCACACAGTCTTGTTGACAATGGCCTTGTAGGAGTCCACAAGGTTCTGGGTGGTTTCCATTTGCCGCTTCAGCTGTGGGTCCATGGAGTGGACTTAAGATTGAGTCTAGACCTAGACTGCTGCCGGGCTTTGCAAAACCCAACTGGAGTTGGGTCCTGGGCTGCTCTCTGTGGTTCTGAAGCACCATCTCCCACCAGTGTGGCTGGTCCCCCTTAATCTGCATCTCTGGTGTCTCCTATACAGCCTCTGCCAGAAATTCAAAAGCAGAGAGGGCTTTTATTTTCTATCTTCCAAAATAAATTTCAAAGTATTATTGGCAAACTTGAATAGTGACTTCTGTTTCATAATTTTTCATCGCCTTTTGGTTTCATCTTTAGAAAGTTTTTTAAGTTATGAGAATTTTTCTTTCCCTTAGAAATTGATGCACATAAATCCCCTTGTTTGCCACATTAATGGCAGACCTTACTTTCCCCTCCCCGATTCCTGCAGGGGCTCTCCAAAAATCTAAGCGTTAGGAAAGAGCCCAGCCAATCGCATCCCAGTGGTATCCCCACCCTTCTTCACCTCTCCCAGACTGTAGCCTTGCCCCACCCTCTCAGCCACCAGGGACACTCACAGGGAATCTTGTTAATCTCATTGAAGAACTTCTCCTTCAGTTTGGCAAACATGTCCTCCTGGCTCTCCCCAGCACTCCCACTCTCGGTGGAGTTGTCCACGGGTCCAATGGGCATCGTGACGTGGTGGTGGCAGGAGCCACAATAGGCTCTTGGTTCCTCTTGAAAATGTTCCTCATGGTGGCAGAGGGGACAGATGGGGATGAGAGGGGAAGAGGGCAGGGTGAGCATCCCAGAGGTCGTCTTCCCCTCAGAAAGCCATGCCCAAAGGACCAGGAGAAGCTCTTTATCGATCAAAGATATTTTGCATAATATTAACAACTGTAGTAAACCAATAATAATAGACATCATCCAATTAGTACACAGTCAGCCTGGGTAGCATAGCAAGACCCTATCTTTAGAAATTTTTTTTTTTTTAATTAGGCATGGTGGAGGCTGAAGTGACAGAGGATCACTTGAGTCCAGGAGTTTGAGGTTACATGAACTATGGGTGACTAAGTAAGGTTCTATCTCTTAAAAAAAATAGTAGTACATATATGTGCCAAGCACTATGCAAAGCACTTTCCATGCATTATTCATCTAATCCAAAAAATAACCTAATGGTTTTTATTGTTTCCATTTAACAGATGGGGAAACAGGTTCAGAGAGGTTAGAAAGTTTTTCCAAGGTCACTTAGCTGTAAGTTCTGAAACTGAGGTTTGAACTGGTCTGCCCAACTCCAGAGCTTGTATAGCTAATCACTCTCCTATATCTCATTTAAATCTAACCTCACCACTCTAGGAAGGAGACAAGGTTTTACACTGAGGGCTCCTCTTTCAACCTCTCTCCTTGACTTCCAAGGATTTCTAGATATTACTCTGCCTAGAATCTCTGCCCAGCTCCATGACACTTGAACTCTCCACATCCCTGACTCCAATTCCTCCTCCTGCCCTCCGAGACTCCTCAGCCCTCTGTAGTTTCTTCATGGGCTCCCTCAGTGCCCACTCAGGGTTTGTTTTGACCTCTCCTGTAGGAAGACGGCACCCACATCTCCATCTCTAGCCCTTCCTCCTGGGTCCACTCTGTAGCCCCTACTCCAAGTTCATCTCTAGCCCTGCCCCCACATGCAGCTGCACATTAGCCTTCCTGCATCAAAGATGTGATGTTTATTAATAACATAACACAGACTTACTGTAGAAAATTTGGGGAGAGAGAGAAATCCCCCCATAATTCTACCCTCCAAAGTCAACTAGCATTTGGGGCATTCTATGCTGGTATTTTTTCTGAGTATGTTTTACATGTTGAGGCCATGCTATGCATAGTTTTTTTGAAGATTTTTTACATAAAATTTCATCATAAGCCTTTTCCTTTATTGTTTTGTATTATTAAATAGCTACAGAATATCGTACTACATGGTAACACCATAATTTGTTTAGCCATTCCACTATTAGACATTTAGGCAGTTTTCAACTTTTTGCTAGTAAAACACTGAGCATATATATTGGTCTTCATTTAAGGCAATGTTCTTACGAGCTTCCAAACTCTGCCCCCCCATGATTCTGTCCTCTCCACTGAGCTCTTTTTGCTCCTCGGGGCTATGCACTCATTTCTCAACTGAAAGTCCTATGAGGGAAGATCCTGTGTTGGCAACAGCACCCCTCCTGCCAAGCACACAGTGGGCACTCAGGGTATTTGTTGATTGAGGTCCTCTGAGGCAACATAGCAGCATACACCCACAGGTATTCCAGGATGCAGGAATAAACAGCACAACTCCCTGAAGCATCCGTTTTACTGAATGGCAATTTACAGTATTTTTAAATTAAAACAAGCTGGAAATATAGAGTAGGATGCATACAGCACAAGAATTTAAAGAAAAAATGTGAGACTTTTCTTACTGCATGTTAGGGATGTGTTAACTCTCCTCTGGACTCAGGGTTCTTCTGAAGGAACATTTTAGAAGCTCTTAGGTTCTGTCCCTTCCTTTCAAAACCTGCTGAGATCCCCTCCCCAGCCCTGGAGACTGCTCCAGCCTTAAGTACTTTTGGTGACCTGTACATTGATGCAATGTAGGTTCATTCACCAAGCATTTATTAAACTCTTACTACCTGCCATGTTGAAATAGCCTTGACCCCAAAACTGGTCTTGAAGTGAAAAACCAAGGTCCACTGGACTTCACCTCTGGGGACAAAGAGATGGGTGCAGTTTGGCGGGAACTGCAAGTAGCCACACAAGGGGATAAATATATGTCCAGGGCCTTCCGCCATGTCCATCTCCCCTCACTTCTACAAAACTGTTAAGGGCTCTGTGACCTTTTTTTCAAAAAACAGCTTTATTGAGATGTAATTCATATATAAGTCACCCATTAAAGTATACAGTTCAGTGCATTTTATTGTATTCACAGAATTGTGGAACAATTTGCATAACCTAAGTAGAACATTTTTGCCACCTCAAAAAGAAACCCAGTCCCATTAGCAGTCACTCTTCGTTCCCATCCTCTTCCCAGCTCCAGCAACCACTAATCTACTTTCTGACTCTATAGATTTGTCTATCCTAAACATTTCCTATCAATGGAATTATAAAATATGTGGTCTTTGTGACTGGCTTCTTTCATTTAGTATGATGTTTTCAAGGTTCATCCATGTTGTAGCATGTATCAGTATCTCATTCCCTTTTTATTGCCACATAATATTCCATGGTGTAGGTAGAACACTTTTTTTTTTTTTTTGAGACAGGGTCTCACTCTGTCGCACAGCTGGAGTGCAGTGGTGCAACCATGGCTTACTATAGCCTCCACCTCCAGGGCTCAAGTGATCATCCCACCGCAGCTTCCTGAGTAGCTGGGACTACAGGTGCATGCCATCACACCAGGCTAATTTTTTAATTTTTTGTAGATATGGGGTCTCCCTATATTGCCCAGGCTGGTCTCAAGCTCCTGGCCTCAAGCAATCCTCCCACTTCAGCCTCCGAAATTTTGGCATTACAGGCATGAGCCACCGCACCTTGCCTAGAACACATTTTATATTTATCCGTTCATCAATTTATAAACATTTGGGTTATTTCCACTTTGGGCTATTTTATAACTAAATATGGCTAATAATATCCCACTTGTGGGATATTATGAATAATGCTGCTGTGAACATCCATGTATGTTTTTGCATGGACATACGTTTTCATTTCTCTTGGGTATATACGTAGGTATGGAATTGCTGGGTCATAACTATGTTTGACATTTTAAGGTGCCAGCACCAATTTATGTTCCCACCAGCCATGTATGAGGGTTCCAAGTTTTCCACATCCCAGACAACACTTCTTTTTTTTTTAAATTATACTTTAAGTTTTAGGGTACATGTGCACAACGTGCAGGTTAGTTACATATGTATACATGTGCCATGTTGGTGTGCTGCACCCATTAACTCATCATTTAACAGTAAGTATATCTCCTAATGCTATCCTTCCCCCCTCCCCCCACCCCACAACAGGCCCCAGTGTGTGATGTTCTCCTTCCTGTGTCCATGTGTTCTCATTGTTCAATTCCCACCTATGAGTGAGAACATGTGGTGCTTGGTTTTTTGTCCTTGCAATAGTTTGCTGAGAATGATGGTTTCCAGCTTCATCCATGTCCCTACAAAGAATATGAACTCATCATTTTTTATGGCTGCATAGTATTCCATGGTGTATATGTGCCACATTTTCTTAATCCAGTCTTATCATTGCTGGACATTTGGCTTGGTTCCAAGTCTTTGCTATTGTGAATAGTGCTGCAATAAATATACGTGTGCATGTTTCTTTATAGCAGCATGACTTATAATCCTTTGGGTATATACCCAGTAATGGGATGGCTGGGTCAAATGGTATTTCTAGTTCTAGATCCCTGAGGAATCGCCACACTGACTTCCACAATGGTTGAACTAGTTTACAGTCCCACCAACAGTACAAAAGTGTTCCTATTTCTCCACATCCTCTCCAGCACCTGTTGTTTCCTGACTTTTTAATGATTGACATTCTAACTGGTGTGAGATGGTATCTCATTGTGGTTTTGATTTGCATTTCTCTGATGGCCAGTGATGATGGCATTTTTTCATGTGTCTTTTGGCTGCATAAATGTCTTCTTTTGAGAAGTGTCTGTTCATATCCTTTGCCCACTTTTTGATGGGGTTGTTTGTTTTTCTCTTGTAAATTTGTTTGAGTTCATTGTAGATTCTGTATATGAGCCCTTTGTCAGATGAGTAGGTTGCAAAAATTTTCTCCCATCCTGTAGGTTGCCTGTTCAATCTGATGGTAGTTTGTTTTGCTCTGCAGAAGCTCTTTAGTTTAATTAGATCCCATTTGTCAATTTTGGCTTTTGTTGCCATTGCTTTTGGTGTTTTAGATATGAAGCCCTTGTCCATGCCTATGTCCCGAATGGTATTGCCTAGGCTTTCTTCTAGGGTTTTTATGGTTTTAGGTCTAACATTTAAGTCTTTAATCCATCTTGAATTAATTTTTGTATAAGGTGTAAGGAAGGGATCCAGTTTCAGCTTTCTACATATGGCTAGCCAGTTTTCCCAGCACCATTTATTAAATAGGGAATCGTTTCCCCATTTCTTGTTTTTGTCAGGTTTGTCAAAGATCAGATGGTTGTAGACATGTGGCATTATTTCTGAGGGCTCTGTTCTGTTCCAGTGGTCTATATGTCTGTTTTGGTACCAGTACCATGCTGTTTTGGTTACTGTAGCCTTGTAGTATTGTTTGAAGTCAGGTAGCATGATGCCTCCAGCTTTGCTATCTATGACAAACCCACAGCCAATATCATACTGAATGGGCAAAAACTGGAAGCATTCCCTTTGAAAACTGGCACAAGACAGGGATGCCCTCTCTCACCACTCCTATTCAACATAGGGTTGGAAGTTCTGGCCAGGGCAATCAGGCAGGAGAAGGAAATAAAGGGTATTCAATTCAGAAAAGAGGAAGTCAAATTGTCCCTGTTTGCAGATGACATGATTGTATATCCAGAAAACCCCATTGTCTTAGCCCAAAATCTCCTTAAGCTGATAGGCAACTTCAGCAAAGTCTCAGTATACAAAATCAATGTGCAAAAATCACAAGCATTCTTATACGCTAATAACAGACAGACAGAGAACCAAATCATGAGTGAACTCCCATTCACAATTGCTTCAAAGAGAATAAAATACCTAGGAATCCAACTTACATGGGACATGAAGGACCTCTTCAAGGAGAACTGCAAACCACTGCTCAATGAAATAAAAGAGGATACAAACAAATGGAAGAACATTCCACGCTCACGGGTAGGAAAAATCAATATCATGAAAATGGCCACACTGCCCAAGGTAATTTATAGATTCAATGCCATCCCCATCAAGCTACCAATGACTTTCTTCACAGAATTGGAAAAAACTACTTTAAAGTTCATATGGAACCAAAAAAGAGCCCACATTGCCAAGTCAATCCTAAGCCAAAAGGACATTTGCTATTATGTCTTTTTGTTTACAGTGATCCTGGTGGAGGTGAAGTGGCATTTCATTGTAGTTTTGATTTGCATTTCCCTGATGTCTAATGATGTTGCATATCTTTTCATGTGCTTAAGGGCCATTTGTGTGTCTTCCATAGAGAAATACCTATTCAAATCCTTTGGTCATCTTAAAATATTTTGTCTTTTTATTATTGAGTTGTAAGAATTTGTATATATTCTGCATACCAGTTCCTTGTTGAACATATAATTTGCAAATATTTTCTCCCATTCTAGGGTTATATTTTCATTTTGTGTGTGTGGTGTTTTTTTGTTATTTGTTTTTGAGATGGAGTTTCACTCTTGTTGCCCAGGCTGGAGTGCAATGGCACAATCTCAGTTCACTGCAACCTCTGCTTCCCAGGTTCAAGTGATTCTCCTGCCTCAGCCTCCCAAGTAGCTGGGATTATTATAGGCGCTCACCAACATGCCTGGCTAATTTTTGTATTTTTAGTAGAGACGGGGTTTCACCATGTTGGCCAGCCTGGTCCCAAACTCCTGACCTCAGTTGATCTGGCCTCCTTGGCCTCCCAGAGTGCTGGGATTACAGGCATGAGCCACTGTGCCCGGTCATATTTTCAGCTTTTAATGGTGTCCTTTGAAGCAAAAAAGTTTTCAATTTTGATGATGTCCAATTTAGCTATTTCTTTTGTTGCCATATTTTTGGTGCTATATCCAAGAAACCATCACTAAACCTAAGGGCACTAAGATTTACTCCTTTGTTTTCTTATGGGAGTTGTATAGTTTTCAGTCTCACATTCAAGTCTACAATCCACTTATTTTTTAAGACACGGTCTCACTCTGTCACCCAGGCTGAAGTGCGGTGGCACAATCATGGCTCACTGCAGCCATGGCCTCCTGAGCTCAAGTGATCCTCCAGCCTCAGCCTCCCGAGTAGCTAGACTACAGCTATGTGCCATTACACCTGGCTAATTTTTAATTTTCTTCTAGAAATTAGGTTTCACTATGTTTCTACAATCCACTTTGAGTATGGCATAAGGAAGGCGTTCACATTCATTCGTTTGTATGTGGATATCCATTTGGTGTATAACATTTGTTGAAAAGACTATTCTGTCCTCCATCCAATTGTCTTATTCCCTTGTAAAATAGCAACTGACCACAAATATGAGGGTTTATTTCTGGACTCTCAATTCTATCTGTATGTCTAACCTCATGGCAATACCACACTGGTTTTATTTTTTATTATTTTTTTAATAGCACCTGCCTACTATTGACCATACTGTCTTGATTACTGTAGCTTTGTAGTAAGTTTTGAAATCAGGCAGAATGGGTCTTCCAACTTTGTTTTTTGTTTGTCTGTTTTTGAGCCAAGGTCTCACTCTGTCACCCAGGCTGGAGTACATGGCGTGAACATGGCTCACTGCAGCCTTGACCTCCCGGGCTCAATTGATCCTCCAACCTCAGCCTTCTGAGTAGCTAGGACTACAGCCCCATGCCACCACAACTGGCTAATTTTTGTATTTTTGTAGAGAAGGGGTTTCACCATGCTGCCCAGGCTGGTCTTGAACTCCTGGGCTCATGCAATCCACCCGCCTTGGCCTCCCAAAATGCTGGTACTACAGGCATGAACCACTGCACCAGGCCTTTTCTTCTTTAATCAGGATGTTTTGGCTATTCTGGGTTCCTTGCATTTCCATATGAATTTTAGGACCAGCTTGTTAATTTCTACAAAATAGCTGGAATTTTGATAGGCATTGTGTTGAATCTGTAGATCAGCTCAGGGATCATATCAACAATGTTGAGTTTTCCACTATTTTCCCACTTATTTAGACCTTTAATTTCCTTCAAGATTGTTTTGTAGTTTTCAACTACAAATCTTGCACTTCTTTTGTTCCTAGGTATCTTACTCTTTTTGATGTCATTATAAGTGGAACTGTTTTCTTAATTTCACTTTCAGATTGTTCATTGCTAGTGTATAGAAATATAATAGATTTTTGTATCTCAGTCTTGTACCCGGCCACATTGCTGAACTCATTGGTTCTTTTTTTTTTTTTTTTTTTTTTTCAGACAGAGTCTCACTCTATCGCCCAGGCTGGAGAACAGTGGTGCAATCTCAGCTCACTGCAACCTCTGCCTCCTGGGCTCTAGCAATTCTCATGCCTCAGCCTCTCTAGTAGCTGGGATTATAGGCATGTGCCACCATGCAGGGCTAATTTTTGTATTTTTAGTAGAGATGGGGTTCCACCATATTGGCCAGGCTGGTCTTGAACTCCTGACCTCAGGTGATCCGCCTGCCTCCACCTCCCGAAGTGCTGGGATTATAGGTATGAGCCACTGCGTTCAGCCTGAAATCATTTGTTCTAATAATTTGTGTGTGTGTGCGTGTGTGTGTGTTGGTGGATTCCTTAGGATTTTCTAGATATAGAATCATGCAAATGAAGACAGTTTTCCATTTTCTTTTTCTTCCCTAATTGCCGTGACTAGAACTTCCAGTCCACTGTTGAACAGAAGTGGTGACATTGGGAATTCTTGTCTTTTTCCTGATCTTTGGGGGAAAATCTTTCAATCTTTCTTCACTTAACATAATGTTAGCTGTTAGCTGTGGGCTTTTTGTAGATGCCATTTATCAGGTTGAGCCTAGCTCCTCCATTCTACCCTTGCCCCTGGATTGGCAGTCCTCCTCCCCTTTCTGCAGACAGCTGCCCACAGCCGGTCCACGGTCCCTACAGCACCCCACCCTCTCACTCTCCACTGCAGGGTGGGCAGGAGGCAGCACGGGCTGCGGGAAGAGGCTGAATGTAGTCCCAAGAATGCCAACCACTTGTCATTTGACTCCAAACAAATCCCCTTGTGAAACTTGATTTCTTCAATATACAATTGTGGAAAATAATACCTACTTTTCAGAACTGCTGTGAAAAATTTAAAAATAAATTTGGTTGTGTCTGGCACATAGAGGGCATTCAATAAATGTGGGTTGGATGTGAATCTGAGAAGTGTTCATTGAACCTTATCTGAGGCACCTGGAAGTGGCCCTGGCACTGTAGAGGGACCCAAGGTTCATGGTGGATGCGGGCTTTCTCTCCAAGACTGACCATCCAGAAATGGTCCTGTAGCAAAGTAAAGCTGCTTGGAGTGAAATAAACCAGCCAGGAATGAAGATGTTTAATGCTCCAGAGGTTCAGGGAACCTGCAGGCCAGGAATGAAGGGGGAGAACTGCATTTCAGGAGTGTTGGAGTCCAAGAAAAGGAGATTAGACTTCCCTCTATATCTAGCAGGAACCACTGAAGGGTGCTGAGCAGTTATAAGTGGGGTTTGTGAAGTTAGCTCCATGGGGAGTGGAGCAGGGAGGCTGGTTCCACAGACCAGAAATGGTAAAGACCTGCACTAGGGTGGGAAGGTAAGGAATGGAGTAGAGAGAACAGATGTGAGAGACACATTCATTCATTCATTCATTCATTCACTCACTCAAGTATTTACTGAGCTCATATCCTGCTTCCCTCATGGAATTTACCATGCACTTCACATAAGTGCATATGAAATTGTAATTATGAGAAGTGCAAGAAAGGAGAGCCATCTGGTGGTGGTGAGCATTTATAAAGGGGCATACCTGAACTAATCTGGGAAAGCAAAAGTGCTTTCTTGAAAAATTGATGATTGAACTGAGACCCAAAGGGTGGGTATTTATCCAGGTAAAGAGGAGATGAAAGGGCAGCCTAGGCAGAGAGCACAGCCTATGCAAAGGCCCAGAGGTGGGATGCAGTGTGGTGAGTCCAAAGCCTGAGGGAAGGCCAGGGCAGCTGGAGTGGATGGAGCATGGTTCAGGGTGAGGCTGGCAGGCTGGGCAGGGCAGGATCAGGGGCATCATAGGCTGCGTCAAGGAGTTTTGTCCTTCGCAAAGAGGAATGAGAAGCTGTGGGAGGCCTTTTAGGGTGGGGGCAGGGGTAACATGTACAAATGCATATTTTGAAAGTTTCACTTTGGCTGTCATAAGTAAAAAGACTAGGATGGAGCATAACTCCAGAGGAAAGGGGGGAAAGAGTTGAAAACAGCCAATAACAAATGTCATCCCCGAGCTCTTATGAAAGACAGACAGTGTTCCCGGGGAACCTGCCAGAGGAAGATGACTTAGAGCTGCAGAGAGGGAATGTGGGGAGTCCATGAAGCAGCAGCAGCAGATTCGAGGCTTTTCCAGACTCCAAAAAAACCAGGAGGCTATAGCTGCCCAGACAGCAAGGGAATAAAAGATGCCTGAGAAGGAGGCTCTCGGTCAAAGGCAGGCATGGGCAGTGGGCCCAGAGAGTGGATGGGGTGGATTCAGGGCCCACCTCTCAGTTATGCACCCAGTACATGGCACCAGGTGCTGAGACCAGAAGCCTTGGGGTCATCCTTCCCATCCATGTGGGGTCACCCCCCACATCCCAGGTGTCTGCAAACTCATCAACAACCCACAGTGCCTTCCAAATCTGGCCGCTTTCCACCCTCCACCTGGAGTACCACAGTAGCCTCCAATCTGGAAGCTTCCACTCCCCTCCACTCAGCCTGATCTCCACACTGCAGCCAGACTGATCTATTTAAAACCCTCCTGTGGCATCTTGTCACATTTAGAATAAGATCCCTGCCTGGCCTGGCCCCTGGCTGGCTCCCACAGGCATCTCCTGTCCCTGCTCTCAGTCACTCAGTTCCTGCCATGCTGGCCTCTTGCTACCAGCCACAAACCCACCAAACAGACCCCCAGCCCACAGCCTCGGCACTTACTCTCCCTCAGCCTAGAATGCTCTTCCTGGAGAAATCTCCCTGACCTTCCCGGGCCACCATCAGCCCCTCTAGTCTTCTTTTCCCACCATGGTCTGTGGTGCCTACAACTTGTTCACAATTCCCTGCACTCCCTTGGCATTTTTGTGGTATTCACCTGGCAAAGCGCCAGCCCTGGAGAAATCCCACTGACAGCTTTCTCCTTCTCCATGGCTACCCCTGACTGCTGAGCCCCCTGGTGAGAGTCTCCCCACAGTACGAGGGCAGCCCG
Organism: Homo sapiens; assembly: GCF_000001405.40. NCBI lineage: Eukaryota > Metazoa > Chordata > Mammalia > Primates > Hominidae > Homo > Homo sapiens. Next base: position 32,373,950 of record NC_000015.10, on the reverse strand, counting down.
TGCCCCATCAGTCCCCAGGATCATCCAGGCCCTCTGCACTGCACAGAAACTGCAGGAAACGCCTCCCCACCAGCTTTGCCTCCTCCTCCAGTCTCCGCAGGCCTGTGGCTCCCTCACACCCCTCCTGTCTCTTTCCTGTTGTTTTAAAGAAAAATAAAGGTGAGAAATCTCTCAAAATGTCCCAGCCTCGGGTCAAACCACAGACCTTTCCTCCTGACCCCTTCTCAGTTGAGGGCTTTTCCTCTGGTTAAGCCAGTTCCCGCTCCTGCACAGGATCCCTCCTGACTTCTCAGGAAGTCTTTGCCATCCCTGCCCTTTCTTGTGCCTAACATTTCCCCCTTCCCTCGGCTGAGGCTGGACCAGTCCAGTTTATCACATCACCCACCAAAAATGAGCTCCACCTGCTGCCTTGTTCTCCCTTTCCCTTTGTGACCACACACACACACACACACTTGCGCACACACATACACACATGCACACACATACACACACGTGCACACACACACACATACACGCAACACATGGTCCCCATTTCATCACGTCCGCCTCACTCATCAGCCCCTCCGTTGTGGCTTCTGCCCCATCCCTCTGCTGAAGTAGTTCTTTGTAAAGTCATGGATGATGAACACAAGGTCACTAAACCCAGGCCACATTTTCATTTTCCTTGAGCTGGACCCCTGAGCTGTGGTCACCAGCTGGCCGCTGCCTGCTTTCATCATAACTGTGACTACTCCTCCTTCGGTTGCCTCAGGCTTGCCCTTGGGGTCCTTCCCTTCTCAGCCATGGTGTCTCCCTGAGTGGTTCCTTCCACACCCTGGCATCAGTGCCATCCTCTTCGGTCAGATTCAAGCCACTTCTGAGCTCCAGGCCCACAGGTCAACTGGCCCCCGACATAGCCGCCTGATCTGGGTCTCCTCTTGCTCACCTCCAGTCAGTTCCGTATTTGCCACCAAGGCAATCTTCATAAAATGCAAAGCCGGTCATGCCGCCGTAATGAAAAGCCATCCCAGGGAGACAGGCCAAAAGCCCTAGCGTCGCCTACAGCCCCTCATGCTCTCCATCCAGCAGCACCTCGGCTTTCCCTCCCTGGGTTGCTAACACCAGCCCATACTCCTTCTTTTGTTTCCCCTAATACACTGTATTACCCTCCTCGGGGCCTTTGCACATGCTGTGCCCCCTTCATGGAGCTAAAGCCTATGATACAGTTTGCATCTGTGTCCCTGCCCAAATCTCGTGTCAAATGGTAATCCCTGATGTTGGAGGTGAGGCCTCGTGGGAGGTGATTGGATCACAGGGTCAGATCTAGTGATAGTGAGTTCTCATGAGACTGGTCATTTAAAAGTGTGTAGCACCCTCCAACCCCCACTCCCCTGCCTCTTCCTCCTGCTCTGGCCATGTGAAGTGCTGGCTCCCTCTTCACCTTCCGCCATGATTGTAAGTTTCCTGAGGCCTCTCCAGAAGCCGAGCAGATGCCAGCATCATGCTTCCTGTACAGCCTGTGGAACTTCGAACCAACCAAACCTCCTTTCTTCATAAATTACCCAGTCTTAGGTGTTTCTTTATAGCAGTGCAAGATCAGACTAATACAGTCTACACATCTTTCTCAGCTCAAACAGCACTTCCAAGTGCGCCTTCCTCCACACACCCATGGCTCCCTCCTCCCCTACCCCGCATCAAGGCCCCAACCACCTACTTTCCCGGCTCTCCATTCTCATCCCCATGGTACTCATGCAGCTTGTGACTGTATAAGCAGCCACCTCATTTGTCTTGCTCACTGCTGCTGCTCTAGTGCAGGTGTTGGCCAACAGCAGTCCAGGGGCTAAATCCAGTCCCCCACCTAATTTTTGTAAGTAAAATTTTGTTGGGACGCTCACTTGTTTACACATTTGTTGTTGTTGTTGTTGAGACGGAGTCTCGCTGTCTGCCAGGCTGGAGTACAGTGGCATGATCTTGGCTCACTGCAACCTCTGTCTCCCGGGTTCAAGCGATTCTCCTGCCTCGGTCTCCCAAGTAGCTGGGATTACAGTTGCCCACCACCACGCCCAGCTAATTTGCTGTAGTTTTGTACAGAAGGGGTTTCACCATGTTGGCCAGGCTGGTCTCGAACTCCTGACCTCAGGTAATCTGCCCACATTCAATAAATATGTGGGTCTGTAAATGATCAAGCAGGAAAGACTTGAGATTGGGTCACATTATGTCATTTCACAGAAGACACTGAATTCTGTGGGGAAGTGGCCTTCCTAGGGTTCCCCCGTGCAGTACAGGCTGGCTCTGGGCCCGGGGCTCTTTCCACAAACCATGTTAAGACTCAGTCGTCATCAGGCTGTATCCAGGGGCACCCACTCAAGCATAGATTGGGAAGGAACCAAGGCCTGGTGTGAGAGTGTGTGTGTGTGTGTGTGTGTGTGTGTGTGTACAGTGAGACCCCAAAGCTGGCATGGGAGGTAGGGGAATTGCGCACAGCTTTGGGAACTGCCCACCCTTCCTCTCCTCTTGCAGCAGGCCTAGGACTATAGAGAGTCAGACATACCCCCTTATGAACCATTTCACCTCATGTGGTTTCTTTCACCTCTCTGAGTGTCAGACTTCTAAACTATTGGAATGCAGCTTTTATTCCTAAACCCTCGAGTTGAGGCTGGGATTAAATGAGACGTTGCATGGGTGGAGACCACATGTCCTTCCCACAGCCCACGTCTACCCAGCATGTAGAGAACCACTGCTTATTTTTCCCAGGCTGCCCTTGGGTTGCATTTCCATTTTCCCTGGGAGACATGCCAGTAGCTGAGAGACCAAGATTCCCTCGGCTGTCTCTCCTTCTGATGTGACCCCCTATCACCTGGCTCTGCTGTCCCTTCTAGAGTCAGAGAAAAAAAAATGTAGAAAGAAGGAAAACAGCAGGAGCCCTTTCATACCCCACATGCCACCCCCAAGACTCCTGGAGGCCCGGAGAAGTGAAGCCAGTTGTCCAGGGTCGCACAGGCATTTGGTGGAGGAAGAATCTAAATCCCTGGACCCCCAGTCCAGTGCTTCCTTCCACAGCCCAGCAGCCTCCTCCGCCTCCAGGACTATTTCCCCCACTCTAGGAGGCAGGGCTCCCATGGCTGTGGAGGAATGGCGGTGAGAACGGTGTGAGGGAGAGCCAAATTATCGGGAACTCACAGCTGCCTCGCCTCCCGCATGGCTGGGAGCTGCAGTCCCTGGGAGAGCAGCCAGCTGGAAGACTCAAGGACGATAAATGGATCTGGGTGCCAGGGCTCCCAGGACAGAGTGAACTCCTCTGTCTGGTCAGAATCACCCGAGCAGGAAAGCATGAAATGGCACCATTAGGTGAAGGCTGCAGCTGTCCGGGGAGGGAGGCTGGGGGTGTGGAGAGATGCCTGCTCCCAGCCTGCTGGGCCACAGGTCAAGGTCTGAAGAGGAAGGGGCCTGGGAGGCCCCAACAAGGGAGAAGACACACAAGGGAAGGGACTGAGGAAGGGTCTCTCAGGCTTGGCCTGCATCAAGCCCCCCTGGGGAGTTTGTTAAAATGTAGACCCTCTGCCATCGCACCTGTCTCCCAGAGCCTAACTCAGAAAACTCAGTGGACTGGAATGTGCCCAGGGATCTGCATGGTAACAAGCACCCCCATTTCCTCTCATGCAGGTGATCTGGGCACCACACTTTGAAAAAATGAGGTTCTAAGTAATTCAGAAATTCTTGCCAGAGAGGTCAAAGTCCAAGCCCAGTTGCTGGAAGTAAAATAAGCCTCAGAGGCACTGCGGACCTGGAGGGCATCAAGGCAGGGCAGGCAGGAGGACATTGGTGGCAACAACAGGTTCAATCACCATAACTCTGTTTGGTGAGCACACAGATGTTCTCATCTAACCCACCTGGGAGGAGGGCACAATTACCAGCATCATTTCAAAGACAAGGCAAATTCTGCTCAGACAGGTCGTAAGTGACCTGCCCAAGGTCACACAGTTGATCAGAATAAAGAACCGGGTCTAAATTTGACTGAGGCCAGGTCTCCTGCTCAGGAGCAAGGTAGGGGGCCCAGTCCTCAGGGAAAGCTCAGGAAGGGGGAGTCTCCAATAGTGGGAAATGATGCTGGAGAAGCAGGGGTGGACCAGAAGCAAGGTCACTAAACAGAATCCACGCAGGAATTCCCTTCTCTCCCTGGTCCACTGGCCACTGTCCTTCTGTCTGCCCAGGATGGCCACTTGGCCCCTGTGACAGTGTCAGTCCCAAGCACTCAGGCCTCTGCAAGTGGCCCCAAGGCTGGGAGCAATGGGTCCAGGAGGAACCATGCTTGGCATGCATATCCCAGCACAGACCCTAGAACATGCCTGGGTCTCGGAGTGCTAGTTAACTGCCTCTGGCCCCCTTTGCTGGGGAGAACAGCCACATTTGGCCTGGGTTGGGTGAGGAGTTGGGGAGCAGGTGACAACCTGGTTGGCTTATCCTTTATCTTATCCTTTTCTTTCTATCATGTAGAGAGCTGTCAGGGCAGAAAGCAGGACTTCAGGTGAGTATCAAAAAGAATGCTCTCAACAGAGAGCCTAGGGATACACCAGGATGGGGAGTGCAGGGGGAAGGGGCCACCATCTCTCCCCCTATTATGAGCCCTCTTATAACAAGCAGAAACAGCATGTCTAGAGGCTCTCTCTTTCCTTAACTCCAAATGCCCAGATGTGCTCAGAGCTCAGCCACAGTTCTTGTACCTAAACTAAAGAGAGACTTGATTGACAATCAAGTTGAGTAGGAGGGAAGGGGAGCTAGGCTGGAGGAGGAAGGTGGGGTGAGACGACCTCACACACTCACCCTCACACTCTCAGTAGTTCTGGGATGTTCTGCTTTGAGGGTCTTTACTCTGCCCATGGTCAGCCCACATGGGAGAATCACAGAAGACCCAGATGCCCTGGAGCTTTGCTCTGTGTGGGTGAACAGGGAATGATCTCCAAGGGAGATAGTGGAAGAATCAGTGTGCAGGGGAGTGAGCATGATACCTGTGTAAAAGGGTGGGGGAGAAGCATATGTATGCTTGTATGCTTCTATATTCACAGCACGGCTCTGGAAAAGTGCATAAGGAATCGATGACATTAGCTGTAGTTGCTTCTGGGGAGCAGAGTTGGGAAAGCAGGAGCTGGAAAATATTTCACTGGGTATCTTTCTGTATCTTTAAAATTTTGAAGCCCATGAAAATCTGCCTGTCTCTTCCACCCTCTGGTACTTCAGAACCCTGGAGCTGGATCCTCAGCCTTGAGAAGGAGAAAACAAATGAGGGGGGTTTGTGTGTTTTTAAATTTATTTAATTTTATTTTATTTTTTACAGACAGCGTCTCACTCCCTTGCTCAGGCTGGAATACAGAGGCGTGATCATAGCTCACTGCAGCCTTCAAACTCCTGGGCCCAAGCAATCCTCCCACCTCAGCCTCCCAAGGAGCTAGGACCACACACATGCATCACCATGCCTGGCTAGTTTTAAAATTTTTTGTAGAGACAGGGTACCACTATGTTGCTCAGGCTGGTCTTGAACTCCTGGCCTCATGCGATCTTGCCGCCTTGACCTCCCAAAGTGCTGGGATTATAGGCATGAGCCACTGCGCCCGGCCAAAAGAGAGAACAAATGAGTGGGTTTGTGTAGCTCACCCGGAAATCGCCTGACCTGCTCCAGGTGGGAGGCATGCTGCAGGGAGAATGCCACCAGGACCTGCCCCCCTCACCCTCAGAGGACACCTGGACTCTCACTTTGCCTCTTCTTCCCTACAAAAAGTCGGGAGACTAGAAGCCCTGTTGTCTCCTCTAGCAGGCTTCTGGGATTCCCTTGGTGTGCCCCCAAATGAGACTGCCTCCAAAATGGGATCCTGATGCCACATCAAAGATGAGTAAGTTCGATCCTCACCCTCACCAAAAGCATATGTGTGTGTGTGTGCACACATGTACACACACTCACCATCAACTGCCACCCCAAATCAATTAAATATGATCTGGGGACTAGGCACTTCTGTGGATTATCCCACTCAGTACTGGCCTCGATTAATGCAGATAATGGAGAGCTGACTGGATACAGCTTACAGTATTTAATCTTTCCCGGCATTGTATTTGCAGAAGCCAAAGTAATGAGATGGAAATAGGTTAACCAGCAAGACACCTGTCGCCGAAGCTCGTAGGCTAAAAAGATCAATACT